>NC_000020.11:26971044-27295535 GCF_000001405.40 Homo sapiens | reverse complement strand
TCTGTCTTCTTTTTATGGGAAGATATTTCCTTTTTCACCATAGACCTCAATGCGCTCCAAATGTGCACTTCCAGATACTACAAAAAGAGTGTTTCAAACGTGCTCTATGAAAGGGAATGTTCAACTCTGTGACTTGAATGCAAACATCACAGAGATGTTTCTGAGAATGCTTCTGTCTAGATTTTATATGAAGATATTCCCGTTTCCAACGAAATCCTCAAAGCTATCCAAATATCCCCTTGCAGATTCTACAAAAAGAGTGCTTCAAAACTGCTCTATCAAAAGAAAGGTTCAACTCTGTTAGTTGAGTACACACATCACAAACAAGTTTCTGAGAATGCTTCTATCTAGTTTTTATGGGAAGATATTTCCTTTTTCACCATAGGCCACAAAGCGCTCCAAATGTCCACTTCCAGATACTACAAAAAGAGTGTTTCAAACCTGCTGTATGAAAGCGAATGTTCAACTCTGTGACTTGAATGCAATCATCACAAAGAAGTTTCTGATAATGCTGCTGTCTCCTTTTTATATGTAATCCCGTTTCCAACGAAATCCTCAAAGCTAGCCAAATATCCACTTGCAGATTCCACGAAAACAGTGTTTCAAAACTGCTCCTTCAAAACGATGGTTCAATTCTGTTAGTTGAGCAAACACATCACAAGTAAGTTTCTGAGAATTATTCCGTCTAGTTTTTATGGGAAGATATTTCCTTTTTCAACATAGGCCTGAAAGCGCTCCAAATGTCCACTTCCAGATACTACAAAAAGAGTGTTTCAAATCTGCTCTATGAATGGGAATGTTCTACTCTGTGACTTGAATGCAACATCCCAAAGAAGTTTCTGAGAATGCTTCTGTCTAGAGTTTATCTGAAGACATTCCCGTTTCCCAAGAAATCCTCAAAGCTATCCAAATATCCTCTTGCACATTCTACAAAAAGAGTGTTTCAAAACTGCTCTTTGCAAAGAAAGGTTCAACTCTGTCAGTAGAGGGCACACATCACGAACAAGTTTCTGAGAATGCTTCTGTCTAGTTTTTATGGGAAGATATTTCCTTTTTCACCTTAGGCGTGAAAGCAATCCAAATGTTCACTTACAGACACTACAAAAAGAGTGTTTCAAACCTGCTCTGTGAAAGGGAGTGTTCAATTCTGTGACTTGAATGCAAACATCACAAAGTAGTTTCTGACAATGCTGCTGTCTGCTTTTTATACGTATTCCCGTTTCCAACGAAATCCTCCAAGCTGGCCTAATACCCACTTGCATATTCCACAAAAAGAGTGTTTCAAAACTGCTCTCTCAAAACAAAGGTTCAACTCTGTTTGCTGAGTAGATACATCATGAAAAAAGTTCTGACATTGCTTCTATCTAGTTTTTATTAGAAGATATCTCCTTTTTCACCGTAGACCTGAAAGCGCTCCAAATGTCCACTTCCAGATAGTACAAAAAGAGTGTTTCAAACCTGCTCTATGAAAGGGAATGTTCAACACTGGGACTTCAATTGAAACATCCCAAAGCAGTTTCTGAGAATGCTTCTGTCTAGAGTTTACATGAAGACATTCCCGTTTCCAACGGAATCCTCAAAGCTATGCAAATATCCTCTTGCAGATTTTCCAAAAAGTGTGTTTCAGAACTGCTCTATCAAAACAAAGGTTCAACACTGTCAGTTGAGGGCACACATCACAAATAAGTTTCTGAGAATGCTTCTGTCTAGTTTTCATGGGAAGATATTTCCTTTTTCACCATAGGCCTGAAAGCGATCCAAATGTCCACATCCAGATACTACAAAAAGTGTGTTTCAAACCTGCTCTATGAAAGGGAATTTTCAACTCTGTGACTTGAATGCAAACATCACAAAGAAGTTTCTGAGAATGCTGCTGTCTGCTTTTTGTATGTAATCCCGTTTCCAACGAAATCCTCCCAGCTAGCCAAATATCCACTTGCAGATTCCGCAAAAAGAGTGTTTCAAAACTGCTCCTTCAAAACGATGGTTTAGTTCTGTTAGTTGAGTACATACATCACAAATAAGTTTCTGAGAATGCTTCTGTCTAGTTTTTCTGGGAGGATATTTCCTTTTTCAACACAAGCCTGAATGCGCTCCGAATGGACACTTCCAGATATGACAAAAGGCGTGTTTCAAACCTGCTCTCTCAAAGGGAATGTTCAACTCTGTGACTTCAATGCAAACATCACAAAGAAGTTTCTGAGAATGCTGCTGTCTGCTTTTTACATGTATTCCCGTTTCCAACGAAATCCTCAAAGCTGCCCTAATATCCACTTGCATATTCCACAAAAAGAGTGTTGCAAAACTGCTCTCTCAAAAGAAAGGTTCAACTCTGTTAGCTGAGTAGATCCATCACATAAAAGTTTCTGACGTTGCTTCTATCTAGATTTTATTGGAAGATATTTCCATTTTCACCGTCGTCCTGAAAGCGCTCCAAATGTCCACTTCCAGGGAATGCAGAAAGAGTGTTTCCAACCTGCTCTATAAAAGGGAATGTTCAACACTGGGACTTCAATCGAAACATCCCAACGAAGTTTCTGAGAATGCTTCTGTCTAGATTTTATATGAAGCCATTCCCGTTTGCAACGAAATCCTCAAAGCTATCCAAATATCCTCTTGCAGATTTTACAAAAAGAGTGTTTCAAAACTGCTCTATCAAAAGAAAGGTTCAACTCTGTTAGTTGAGGGCACACATCACAAATAAATTTCTGAGAATGCTTCTGTCTAGTTTTTACGGGAAGATATTTCCTTTTTCACCATACGCCTGAAAGCGCTCCAAATGTCCTCATCCAGATACTACAAAAAGAGTGTTTCCAACCTGCTCTATGAAAGGGAATGCTCAACTCTGTGACTTGAATGCAGACATCACAAAGAAGTTTCTGAGAATGCTGCTGTCTCCTTTTTATATGTAATCCCGTTTCCAACGAAATCCTCAAAGCTAGCCAAATATCCACTTGCAGATTCCACGAAAACAGTGTTTCAAAACTGCTCCTTCAAAACGATGGTTCAATTCTGTTAGTTGAGCAAACACATCACAAGTAAGTTTCTGAGAATGCTTCCGTCTAGTTTTTATGGGAAGATATTTCCTTTTTCAACATAGGCCTGAAAGCGCTCCAAATGTCCACTTCCAGATACTACAAAAAGAGTGTTTCAAATCTGCTCTATGAATGGGAATGTTCTACTCTGTGACTTGAATGCAACATCCCAAAGAAGTTTCTGAGAATGCTTCTGTCTAGAGTTTATCTGAAGACATACCCGTTTCCAACGAAATCCTCAAAGCTATCCAAATATCCTCTTGCAGATTCTACAAAAAGAGTGTTTCAAAGCTGCTCTTTGCAAAGAAAGGTTCAACTCTGTCAGTAGAGGGCACACATCACGAACAAGTTTCTGAGAATGCTTCTGTCTAGTTTTTATGGGAAGATATTTCCTTTTTCACGTTACGCCTGAAAGCACGCCAAATGTTCACTTATAGACACTACAAAAAGAGTGTTTCAAACCTGCTCTGTGAAAGGGAATGTTCAACACTGTGACTTCAATTGAAACATCCCAAAGAAGTTTACTGAGAATGCTTCTGTCTAGAGTTTATCTGAAGACATTCCCGTTTCCCAAGAAATCCTCAAAGCTATCCAAATATCCTCTTGCAGATTCTACAAAAAGAGTGTTTCAAAACTGCTCTTTGCAAAGAAAGGTTCAACTCTGTCAGTAGAGGGCACACATCACAAACAAGTTTCTGAGAATGCTTCTGTCTAGTTTTTATGGGAAGATATTTCCTTTTTCACCTTAGGCCTGAAAGCAATCCAAATGTTCACTTACAGACACTACAAAAAGAGTGTTTCAAACCTGCTCTGTGAAAGGGAGTGTTCAATTCTGTGACTTGAATGCAAACATCACAAAGTAGTTTCTGACAATGCTGCTGTCTGCTTTTTATACGTATTCCCGTTTCCAACGAAATCCTCCAAGCTGGCCTAATACCCACTTGCATATTCCACAAAAAGAGTGTTTCAAAACTGCTCTCTCAAAAGTAAGGTTCAACTCTGTTTGCTGAGTAGATACATCATGAAAAAAGTTCTGACATTGCTTCTATCTAGTTTTTATTGGAAGATATCTCCTTTTTCACCGTAGACCTGAAAGCGCTCCAAATGTCCACTTCCAGATAGTACAAAAAGAGTGTTTCAAACCTGCTCTATGAAAGGGAATGTTCAACACTGGGACTTCAATTGAAACATCCCAAAGCAGTTTCTGAGAATGCTTCTGTCCAGAGTTTACATGAAGACATTCCCGTTTCCAACGAAATCCTCAAAGCTATCCAAATATCCTCTTGCAGATTTTACAAAAAGTGTGTTTCAGAACTGCTCTATCAAAACAAAGGTTCAACACTGTCAGTTGAGGGCACACATCGCAAATAAGTTTCTGAGAATGCTTCTGTCTAGTTTTCATGGGAAGATATTTCCTTTTTCACCATAGGCCTGAAAGCGATCCAAATGTCCACATCCAGATACTACAAAAAGAGTGTTTCAAACCTGCTCTATGAAAGGGAATGCTCAACTCTGTGACTTGAATGCAAACATCACAAAGAAGTTTCTGAGAATGCTGCTGTCTGCTTTTTGTATGTAATCCCGTTTCCAACGAAATCCTCCCAGCTAGCCAAATATCCACTTGCAGATTCCGCAAAAAGAGTGTTTCAAAACTGCTCCTTCAAAACGATGGTTTAGTTCTGTTAGTTGAGTACATACATCACAGATAAGTTTCTGAGAATGCTTCTCTCTAGTTTTTATGGGAGGATATTTCCTTTTTCAACACAAGCCTGAATGCGCTCCGAATGGACACTTCCAGATATGACAAAAGGCGTGTTTCAAACCTGCTCTCTCAAAGGGAATGTTCAACTCTGTGACTTCAATGCAAACATCACAAAGAAGTTTCTGAGAATGCTGCTGTCTGCTTTTTACATGTATTCCCGTTTCCAACGAAATCCTCAAAGCTGCCCTAATATCCATTTGCATATTCCACAAAAAGAGTGTTGCAAAACTGCTCTCTCAAAAGAAAGGTTCAACTCTGTTAGCTGAGTAGATCCATCACATAAAAGTTTCTGACGTTGCTTCTATCTAGATTTTCTTGGAAGATATTTCCATTTTCACCGTCGTCCTGAAAGCGCTCCAAATGTCCACTTCCAGGGAATGCAGAAAGAGTGTTTCCAACCTGCTCTATAAAAGGGAATGTTCAACACTGGGACTTCAATCGAAACATCCCAACGAAGTTTCTGAGAATGCTTCTGTCTAGAGTTTATATGAAGCCATTCCCGTTTGCAACGAAATCCTCAAAGCTATCCAAATATCCTCTTGCAGATTTTACAAAAAGAGTGTTTCAAAACTGCTCTATCAAAAGAAAGGTTCAACTCTGTTAGTTGAGGGCACACATCACAAATAAATTTCTGAGAATGCTTCTGTCTAGTTTTTACGGGAAGATATTTCCTTTTTCACCATACGCCTGAAAGCGCTCCAAATGTCCTCATCCAGATACTACAAAAAGAGTGTTTCCAACGTGCTCTAGGAAAGGGAATGCTCAACTCTGTGAATTGAATGCAGACATCACAAAGAAGTTTCTGAGAATGCTGCTGTCTCCTTTTTATATGTAATCCCGTTTCCAACGAAATCCTCAAAGCTAGCCAAATATCCACTTGCAGATTCCACGAAAACAGTGTTTCAAAACTGCTCCTTCAAAACGATGGTTCAATTCTGTTAGTTGAGCAAACACATCACAAGTAAGTTTCTGAGAATGCTTCCGTCTAGTTTTTATGGGAAGATATTTCCTTTTTCAACATAGGCCTGAAAGCGCTCCAAATGTCCACTTCCAGATACTACAAAAAGAGTGTTTCAAATCTACTCTATGAATGGGAATGTTCTACTCTGTGACTTGAATGCAACATCCCAAAGAAGTTTCTGAGAATGCTTCTGTCTAGAGTTTATCTGAAGACATACCCGTTTCCAACGAAATCCTCAAAGCTATCCAAATATCCTCTTGCAGATTCTACAAAAAGAGTGTTTCAAAGCTGCTCTTTGCAAAGAAAGGTTCAACTCTGTCAGTAGAGGGCACACATCATGAACAAGTTTCTGAGAATGCTTCTGTCTAGTTTTTATGGGAAGATATTTCCTTTTTCACGTTAGGCCTGAAAGCACGCCAAATGTTCACTTATAGACACTACAAAAAGAGTGTTTCAAACCTGCTCTGTGAAAGGGAATGTTCAACACTGTGACTTCAATTGAAACATCCCAAAGAAGTTTCTGAGAATGCTTCTGTCTAGAGTTTATCTGAAGACATACCCGTTTCCAACGAAATCCTCAAAGCTATCCACATATCCTCTTGCAGATTCTACAAAAAGAGTGTTTCAAAGCTGCTCTTTGCAAAGAAAGGTTCAACTCTGTCAGTAGAGGGCACACATCACGAACAAGTTTCTGAGAATGCTTCTGTCTAGTTTTTATGGGAAGATATTTCCTTTTTCACGTTAGGCCTGAAAGCACGCCAAATGTTCAATTATAGACACTACAAAAAGAGTGTTTCAAACCTGCTCTGTGAAAGGGAATGTTCAACACTGTGACTTCAATTGAAACATCCCAAAGAAGTTTCTGAGAATGCTTCTGTCTAGAGTTTATCTGAAGACATTCCCGTTTCCCAAGAAATCCTCAAAGCTATCCAAATATCCTCTTGCAGATTCTACAAAAAGAGTGTTTCAAAACTGCTCTTTGCAAAGAAAGGTTCAACTCTGTCAGTAGAGGGCACACATCACAAACAAGTTTCTGAGAATGCTTCTGTCTAGTTTTTATGGGAAGATATTTCCTTTTTCACCTTAGGCCTGAAAGCAATCCAAATGTTCACTTACAGACACTACAAAAAGAGTGTTTCAAACCTGCTCTGTGAAAGGGAGTGTTCAGTTCTGTGACTTGAATGCAAACATCACAAAGTAGTTTCTGACAATGCTGCTGTCTGCTTTTTATACGTATTCCCGTTTCCAACGAAATCCTCCAAGCTGGCCTAATACCCACTTGCATATTCCACAAAAATAGTGTTTCAAAACTGCTCCCTCAAAAGAAAGGTTCAACTCTGTTTGCTGAGTAGATACATCATGAAAAAAGTTCTGACATTGCTTCTATCTAGTTTTTATTGGAAGATATCTCCTTTTTCACCGTAGGACCTGAAAGCGCTCCAAATGTCCACTTCCAGATAGTACAAAAAGAGTGTTTCAAACCTGCTCTATGAATGGGAATGTTCAACACTGGGACTTCAATTGAAACATCCCAAAGCAGTTTCTGAGAATGCTTCTGTGTAGAGTTTACATGAAGACATTCCCGTTTCCAACGAAATCCTCAAAGCTATCCAAATATCCTCTTGCAGATTTTACAAAAAGTGTGTTTCAGAACTGCTCTATCAAAACAAAGGTTCAACACTGTCAGTTGAGGGCACACATCACAAATAAGTTTCTGAGAATGCTTCTGTCTAGTTTTCATGGGAAGATATTTCCTTTTTCACCATAGGCCTGAAAGCGATCCAAATGTCCACATCCAGATACTACAAAAAGAGTGTTTCAAACCTGCTCTATGAAAGGGAATGTTCAACTCTGTGACTTGAATGCAAACATCACAAAGAAGTTTCTGAGAATGCTGCTGTCTGCTTTTTGTATGTAATCCCGTTTCCAACGAAATCCTCCCAGCTAGCCAAATATCCACTTGCAGATTCCGCAAAAAGAGTGTTTCAAAACTGCTCCTTCAAAACGATGGTTTAGTTCTGTTAGTTGAGTACATACATCACAGATAAGTTTCTGAGAATGCTTCTGTCTAGTTTTTATGGGAGGATATTTCCTTTTTCAACACAAGCCTGAATGCGCTCCGAATGGACACTTCCAGATATGACAAAAGGCGTGTTTCAAACCTGCTCTCTCAAAGGGAATGTTCAACTCTGTGACTTCAATGCAAACATCACAAAGAAGTTTCTGAGAATGCTGATGTCTGCTTTTTACATGTATTCCCGTTTCCAACGAAATCCTCAAAGCTGCCCTAATATCCACTTGCATATTCCACAAAAAGAGTGTTGCAAAACTGCTCTCTCAAAAGAAAGGTTCAACTCTGTTAGCTGAGTAGATCCATCACAGAAAAGTTTCTGACGTTGCTTCTATCTAGATTTTCTTGGAAGATATTTCCATTTTCACCGTCGTCCTGAAAGCGCTCCAAATGTCCACTTCCAGGGAATGCAAAAAGAGTGTTTCCAACCTGCTCTATAAAAGGGAATGTTCAACACTGGGACTTCAATCGAAACATCCCAACGAAGTTTCTGAGAATGCTTCTGTCTAGAGTTTATATGAAGCCATTCCCGTTTGCAACGAAATCCTCAAAGCTATCCAAATATCCTCTTGCAGATTTTACAAAAAGAGTGTTTCAAAACTGCTCTATCAAAAGAAAGGTTCAACTCTGTTAGTTGAGGGCACACATCAGAAATAAACTTCTGAGAATGCTTCTGTCTAGTTTTTACGGGAAGATATTTCCTTTTTCACCATACGCCTGAAAGCGCTCCAAATGTCCTCATCCAGATACTACAAAAAGAGTGTTTCCAACCTGCTCTATGAAAGGGAATGCTCAACTCTGTGAATTGAATGCAGACATCACAAAGAAGTTTCTGAGAATGCTGCTGTCTCCTTTGTATATGTAATCCCGTTTCCAACGAAATCCTCAAAGCTAGCCAAATATCCACTTGCAGATTCCACGAAAACAGTGTTTCAAAACTGCTCCTTCAAAACGATGGTTCAATTCTGTTAGTTGAGCAAACACATCACAAGTAAGTTTCTGAGAATGCTTTCCGTCTAGTTTTTATGGGAAGATATTTCCTTTTTCAACATAGGCCTGAAAGCGCTCCAAATGTCCACTTCCAGATACTACAAAAAGAGTGTTTCAAATCTGCTCTATGAATGGGAATGTTCTACTCTGTGACTTGAATGCAACATCCCAAAGAAGTTTCTGAGAATGCTTCTGTCTAGCAGTTTATCTGAAGACATACCCGTTTCCAACGAAATCCTCAAAGCTATCCAAATATCCTCTTGCAGATTCTACAAAAAGAGTGTTTCAAAGCTGCTCTTTGCAAAGAAAGGTTCAACTCTGTCAGTAGAGGGCACACATCATGAACAAGTTTCTGAGAATGCTTCTGTCTAGTTTTTATGGGAAGATATTTCCTTTTTCACGTTAGGCCTGAAAGCACGCCAAATGTTCACTTATAGACACTACAAAAAGAGTGTTTCAAACCTGCTCTGTGAAAGGGAATGTTCAACACTGTGACTTCAATTGAAACGTCCCAAAGAAGTTTCTGAGTATGCTTCTGTCTAGAGTTTATCTGAAGACATTCCCGTTTCCCAAGAAATCCTCAAAGCTATCCAAATATCCTCTTGCAGATTCTACAAAAAGAGTGTTTCAAAACTGCTCTTTGCAAAGAAAGGTTCAACTCTGTCAGTAGAGGGCACACATCACAAACAAGTTTCTGAGAATGCTTCTGTCTAGTTTTTATGGGAAGATATTTCCTTTTTCACCTTAGGCCTGAAAGCAATCCAAATGTTCACTTACAGACACTACAAAAAGAGTGTTTCAAACCTGCTCTGTGAAAGGGAGTGTTCAGTTCTGTGACTTGAATGCAAACATCACAAAGTAGTTTCTGACAATGCTGCTGTCTGCTTTTTATACGTATTCCCGTTTCCAACGAAATCCTCCAAGCTGGCCTAATACCCACTTGCATATTCCACAAAAAGAGTGTTTCAAAACTGCTCTCTCAAAAGAAAGGTTCAACTCTGTTTGCTGAGTAGATACATCATGAAAAAAGTTCTGACATTGCTTCTATCTAGTTTTTATTGGAAGATATCTCCTTTTTCACCGTAGACCTGAAAGCGCTCCAAATGTCCACTTCCAGATAGTACAAAAAGAGTGTTTCAAACCTGCTCTATGAATGGGAATGTTCAACACTGGGACTTCAATTGAAACATCCCAAAGCAGTTTCTGAGAATGCTTCTGTCTAGAGTTTACATGAAGACATTCCCGTTTCCAACGAAATCCTCAAAGCTATCCAAATATCCTCTTGCAGATTTTACAAAAAGTGTGTTTCAGAACTGCTCTATCAAAACAAAGGTTCAACACTGTCAGTTGAGGGCACACATCACCAATAAGTTTCTGAGAATGCTTCTGTCTAGTTTTCATGGGAAGATATTTCCTTTTTCACCATAGGCCTGAAAGCGATCCAAATGTCCACATCCAGATACTACAAAAAGAGTGTTTCAAACCTGCTCTATGAAAGGGAATGTTCAACTCTGTGACTTGAATGCAAACATCACAAAGAAGTTTCTGAGAATGCTGCTCTCTGCTTTTTGTATGTAATCCCGTTTCCAACGAAATCCTCCCAGCTAGCCAAATATCCACTTGCAGATTCCGCAAAAAGAGTGTTTCAAAACTGCTCCTTCAAAACGATGGTTTAGTTCCTGTTAGTTGAGTACATACATCACAGATAAGTTTCTGAGAATGCTTATCTGTCTAGTTTTTATGGGAGGATATTTCCTTTTTCAACACAAGCCTGAATGCGCTCCGAATGGACACTTCCAGATATGACAAAAGGCGTGTTTCAAACCTGCTCTCTCAAAGGGAATGTTCAACTCTGTGACTTCAATGCAAACATCACAAAGAAGTTTCTGAGAATGCTGCTGTCTGCTTTTTACATGTATTCCCGTTTCCAACGAAATCCTCAAAGCTGCCCTAATATCCACTTGCATATTCCACAAAAAGAGTGTTGCAAAACTGCTCTCTCAAAAGAAAGGTTCAACTCTGTTAGCTGAGTAGATCCATCACATAAAAGTTTCTGACATTGCTTCTATCTAGATTTTCTTGGAAGATATTTCCATTTTCACCGTCGTCCTGAAAGCGCTCCAAATGTCCACTTCCAGGGAATGCAGAAAGAGTGTTTCCAACCTGCTCTATAAAAGGGAATGTTCAACACTGGGACTTCAATCGAAACATCCCAACGAAGTTTCTGAGAATGCTTCTGTCTAGAGTTTATATGAAGCCATTCCCGTTTGCAACGAAATCCTCAAAGCTATCCAAATATCCTCTTGCAGATTTTACAAAAAGAGTGTTTCAAAACTGCTCTATCAAAAGAAAGGTTCAACTCTGTTAGTTGAGGGCACACATCACAAATAAACTTCTGAGAATGCTTCTGTCTAGTTTTTACAGGAAGATATTTCCTTTTTCACCATAGGCCAGAAAGCGCTCCAAATGTCCTCATCCAGATACTACAAAAAGAGTGTTTCCAACCTGCTCTATGAAAGGGAATGCTCAACTCTGTGAATTGAATGCAGACATCACAAAGAAGTTTCTGAGAATGCTGCTGTCTCCTTTGTATATGTAATCCCATTTCCAACGAAATCCTCAAAGCTAGCCAAATATCCACTTGCAGATTCCACGAAAACAGTGTTTCAAAACTGCTCCTTCAAAACGATGGTTCAATCCTGTTAGTTGAGCAAACACATCACAAATAAGTTTCTGAGAATGCTTCCGTCTAGTTTTTATGGGAAGATATTTCCTTTTTCAACATAGGCCTGAAAGCGCTCCAAATGTCCACTTCCAGATACTACAAAAAGAGTGTTTCAAATCTGCTCTATGAATGGGAATGTTCTACTCTGTGACTTGAATGCAACATCCCAAAGAAGTTTCTGAGAATGCTTCTGTCTAGAGTTTATCTGAAGACATACCCGTTTCCAACGAAATCCTCCAAGCTATCCAAATATCCTCTTGCAGATTCTACAAAAAGAGTGTTTCAAAGCTGCTCTTTGCAAAGAAAGGTTCAACTCTGTCAGTAGAGGGGACACATCAAGAACAAGTTTCTGAGAATGCTTCTGTCTAGTTTTTATGGGAAGATATTTCCTTTTTCACGTTACGCCTGAAAGCACGCCAAATGTTCACTTATAGACACTACAAAAAGAGTGTTTCAAACCTGCTCTGTGAAAGGGAATGTTCAACACTGTGACTTCAATTGAAACATCCCAAAGAAGTTTCTCAGAATGCTTCTGTCTAGAGTTTATCTGAAGACATTCCCGTTTCCCAAGAAATCCTCAAAGCTATCCAAATATCCTCTTGCAGATTCTACAAAAAGAGTGTTTCAAAACTGCTCTTTGCAAAGAAAGGTTCAGCTCTGTCAGTAGAGGGCACACATCACAAACAAGTTTCTGAGAATGCTTCTGTCTAGTTTTTATGGGAAGATATTTCCTTTTTCACCTTAGGCCTGAAAGCAATCCAAATGTTCACTTACAGACACTACAAAAAGAGTGTTTCAAACCTGCTCTGTGAAAGGGAGTGTTCAATTCTGTGACTTGAATGCAAACATCACAAAGTAGTTTACTGACAATGCTGCTGTCTGCTTTTTATACGTATTCCCGTTTCCAACGAAATCCTCCAAGCTGGCCTAATACCCACTTGCATATTCCACAAAAAGAGTGTTTCAAAACTGCTCTCTCAAAAGAAAGGTTCAACTCTGTTTGCTGAGTAGATACATCATGAAAAAAGTTCTGACATTGCTTCTATCTAGTTTTTATTGGAAGATATCTCCTTTTTCACCGTAGACCTGAAAGCGCTCCAAATGTCCACTTCCAGATAGTACAAAAAGAGTGTTTCAAACCTGCTCTATGAATGGGAATGTTCAACACTGGGACTTCAATTGAAACATCCCAAAGCAGTTTCTGAGAATGCTTCTGTCTAGAGTTTACATGAAGACATTCCCGTTTCCAACGAAATCCTCAAAGCTATCCAAATATCCTCTTGCAGATTTTACAAAAAGTGTGTTTCAGAACTGCTCTATCAAAACAAAGGTTCAACACTGTCAGTTGAGGGCACACATCACAAATAAGTTTCTGAGAATGCTTCTGTCTAGTTTTCATGGGAAGATATTTCCTTTTTCACCATAGGCCTGAAAGCGATCCAAATGTCCACATCCAGATACTACAAAAAGAGTGTTTCAAACCTGCTCTATGAAAGGGAATGTTCAACTCTGTGACTTGAATGCAAACATCACAAAGAAGTTTCTGAGAATGCTGCTGTCTGCTTTTTGTATGTAATCCCGTTTCCAACGAAATCCTCCCAGCTAGCCAAATATCCACTTGCAGATTCCGCAAAAAGAGTGTTTCAAAACTGCTCCTTCAAAACGATGGTTTAGTTCTGTTAGTTGAGTACATACATCACAGATAAGTTTCTGAGAATGCTTCTGTCTAGTTTTTATGGGAGGATATTTCCTTTTTCAACACAAGCCTGAATGCGCTCCGAATGGACACTTCCAGATATGACAAAAGGCGTGTTTCAAACCTGCTCTCTCAAAGGGAATGTTCAACTCTGTGACTTCAATACAAACATCACAAAGAAGTTTCTGAGAATGCTGCTGTCTGCTTTTTACATGTATTCCCGTTTCCAACGAAATCCTCAAAGCTGCCCTAATATCCACTTGCATATTCCACAAAAAGAGTGTTGCAAAACTGCTCTCTCAAAAGAAAGGTTCAACTCTGTTAGCTGAGTAGATCCATCACATAAAAGTTTCTGACGTTGCTTCTATCTAGATTTTCTTGGAAGATATTTCCATTTTCACCGTCGTCCTGAAAGCGCTCCAAATGTCCACTTCCAGGGAATGCAGAAAGAGTGTTTCCAACCTGCTCTATAAAAGGGAATGTTCAACACTGGGACTTCAATCGAAACATCCCAACGAAGTTTCTGAGAATGCTTCTGTCTAGAGTTTATATGAAGCCATTCCCGTTTGCAATGAAATCCTCAAAGCTATCCAAATATCCTCTTGCAGATTTTACAAAAAGAGTGTTTCAAAACTGCTCTATCAAAAGAAAGGTTCAACTCTGTTAGTTGAGGGCACACATCACAAATAAATTTCTGAGAATGCTTCTGTCTAGTTTTTACGGGAAGATATTTCCTTTTTCACCATAGGCCTGAAAGCGCTCCAAATGTCCTCATCCAGATACTACAAAAAGAGTGTTTCCAACCTGCTCTATGAAAGGGAATGCTCAACTCTGTGAATTGAATGCAGACATCACAAAGAAGTTTCTGAGAATGCTGCTGTCTCCTTTTTATATGTAATCCCGTTTCCAACGAAATCCTCAAAGCTAGCCAAATATCCACTTGCAGATTCCACGAAAACAGTGTTTCAAAACTGCTCCTTCAAAACGATGGTTCAATCCTGTTAGTTGAGCAAACACATCACAAATAAGTTTCTGAGAATGATTCCGTCTAGTTTTTATGAGAAGATATTTCCTTTTTCAACATAGGCCTGAAAGCGCTCCAAATGTCCACTTCCAGATACTACAAAAAGAGTGTTTCAAATCTGCTCTATGAATGGGAATGTTCTACTCTGTGACTTGAATGCAACATCCCAAAGAAGTTTCTGAGAATGCTTCTGTCTAGAGTTTATCTGAAGACATACCCGTTTCCAACGAAATCCTCAAAGCTATCCAAATATCCTCTTGCAGATTCTACAAAAAGTGTGTTTCAAAGCTGCTCTTTGCAAAGAAAGGTTCAACTCTGTCAGTAGAGGGCACACATCACGAACAAGTTTCTGAGAATGCTTCTGTCTAGTTTTTATGGGAAGATATTTCCTTTTTCACGTTAGGCCTGAAAGCACGCCAAATGTTCACTTATAGACACTACAAAAAGAGTGTTTCAAACCTGCTCTGTGAAAGGGAATGTTCAACACTGTGACTTCAATTGAAACATCCCAAAGAAGTTTCTGAGAATGCTTCTGTCTAGAGTTTATCTGAAGACATTCCCGTTTCCCAAGAAATCCTCAAAGCTATCCAAATATCCTCTTGCAGATTCTACAAAAAGAGTGTTTCAAAACTGCCCTTTGCAAAGAAAGGTTCAACTCTGTCAGTAGAGGGCACACATCACAAACAAGTTTCTGAGAATGCTTCTGTCTAGTTTTTATGGGAAGATATTTCCTTTTTCACCTTAGGCCTGAAAGCAATCCAAATGTACACTTACAGACACTACAAAAAGAGTGTTTCAAACCTGCTCTGTGAAAGGGAGTGTTCAATTCTGTGACTTGAATGCAAACATCACAAAGTAGTTTCTGACAATGCTGCTGTCTGCTTTTTATACGTATTCCCGTTTCCAACGAAATCCTCCAAGCTGGCCTAATACCCACTTGCATATTCCACAAAAAGAGTGTTTCAAAACTGCTCTCTCAAAAGAAAGGTTCAACTCTGTTTGCTGAGTAGATACATCATGAAAAAAGTTCTGACATTGCTTCTATCTAGTTTTTATTGGAAGATATCTCCTTTTTCACCGTAGACCTGAAAGCGCTCCAAATGTCCACTTCCAGATAGTACAAAAAGAGTGTTTCAAACCTGCTCTATGAAAGGGAATGTTCAACACTGGGACTTCAATTGAAACATCCCAAAGCAGTTTCTGAGAATGCTTCTGTCTAGAGTTTACATGAAGACATTCCCGTTTCCAACGAAATCCTCAAAGCTATCCAAATATCCTCTTGCAGATTTTACAAAAAGTGTGTTTCAGAACTGCTCTATCAAAACAAAGGTTCAACACTGTCAGTTGAGGGCACACATCACAAATAAGTTTCTGAGAATGCTTCTGTCTAGTTTTCATGGGAAGATATTTCCTTTTTCACCATAGGCCTGAAAGCGATCCAAATGTCCACATCCAGATACTACAAAAAGAGTGTTTCAAACCTGCTCTATGAAAGGGAATGTTCAACTCTGTGACTTGAATGCAAACATCACAAAGAAGTTTCTGAGAATGCTGCTGTCTGCTTTTTGTATGTAATCCCGTTTCCAACGAAATCCTCCCAGCTAGCCAAATATCCACTTGCAGATTCCGCAAAAAGAGTGTTTCAAAACTGCTCCTTCAAAACGATGGTTTAGTTCTGTTAGTTGAGTACATACATCACAGATAAGTTTCTGAGAATGCTTCTGTCTAGTTTTTATGGGAGGATATTTCCTTTTTCAACACAAGCCTGAATGCGCTCCGAATGGACACTTCCAGATATGACAAAAGGCGTGTTTCAAACCTGCTCTCTCAAAGGGAATGTTCAACTCTGTGACTTCAATGCAAACATCACAAAGAAGTTTCTGAGAATGCTGCTGTCTGCTTTTTACATGTATTCCCGTTTCCAACGAAATCCTCAAAGCTGCCCTAATATCCACTTGCATATTCCACAAAAAGAGTGTTGCAAAACTGCTCTCTCAAAAGAAAGGTTCAACTCTGTTAGCTGAGTAGATCCATCACAGAAAAGTTTCTGACGTTGCTTCTATCTAGTTTTTATTGGAAGATATCTCCTTTTTCACCGTAGACCTGAAAGCGCTCCAAATGTCCACTTCCAGATAGTACAAAAAGAGTGTTTCAAACCTGCTCCTATGAAAGGGAATGTTCAACACTGGGACTTCAATTGAAACATCCCAAAGCAGTTTCTGAGAATGCTTCTGTCTAGAGTTTACATGAAGACATTCCCGTTTCCAACGAAATCCTCAAAGCTATCCAAATATCCTCTTGCAGATTTTACAAAAAGTGTGTTTCAGAACTGTTCTATCAAAACAAAGGTTCAACACTGTCAGTTGAGGGCACACATCACAAATAAGTTTCTGAGAATGCTGCTGTCTGCTTTTTGTATGTAATCCCGTTTCCAACGGAAATCCTCCCAGCTAGCCAAATATCCACTTGCAGATTCCGCAAAAAGAGTGTTTCAAAACTGCTCCTTCAAAACGATGGTTTAGTTCTGTTAGTTGAGTACATACATCACAGATAAGTTTCTGAGAATGCTTCTGTCTAGTTTTTCTGGGAGGATATTTCCTTTTTCAACACAAGCCTGAATGCGCTCCGAATGGACACTTCCAGATATGACAAAAGGCGTGTTTCAAACCTGCTCTCTCAAAGGGAATGTTCAACTCTGTGACTTCAATGCAAACATCACAAAGAAGTTTCTGAGAATGCTGCTGTCTGCTTTTTACATGTATTCCCGTTTCCAACGAAATCCTCAAAGCTGCCCTAATATCCACTTGCATATTCCACAAAAAGAGTGTTGCAAAACTGCTCTCTCAAAAGAAAGGTTCAACTCTGTTAGCTGAGTAGATCCATCACAGAAAAGTTTCTGACGTTGCTTCTATCTAGATTTTCTTGGAAGATATTTCCATTTTCACCGTCGTCCTGAAAGCACTCCAAATGTCCACTTCCAGGGAATGCAGAAAGAGTGTTTCCAACCTGCTCTATAAAAGGGAATGTTCAACACTGGGACTTCAATCGAAACATCCCAACGAAGTTTCTGAGAATGCTTCTGTCTAGAGTTTATATGAAGCCATTCCCGTTTGCAACGAAATCCTCAAAGCTATCCAAATATCCTCTTGCAGATTTTACAAAAAGAGTGTTTCAAAACTGCTCTATCAAAAGAAAGGTTCAACTCTGTTAGTTGAGGGCACACATCACAAATAAATTTCTGAGAATGCTTCTGTCTAGTTTTTACGGGAAGATATTTCCTTTTTCACCATACGCCTGAAATCGCTCCAAATGTCCTCATCCAGATACTACAAAAAGAATGTTTCAAACCTGCTCTATGAAAGGGAATGCTCAACTCTGTGACTTGAATGCAGACATCACAAAGAAGTTTCTGAGAATGCTGCTGTCTCCTTTTTATAGGTAATCCCGTTTCCAACGAAATCCTCAAAGTTAGCCAAATATCCACTTGCAGATTCCACGAAAACAGAGTTTCAAAACTGCTCCTTCAAAACGATGGTTCAATTCTGTTAGTTGAGCAAACGCATCAGAAATAAGTTTCTGAGAATGCTTCCCGTCTAGTTTTTATGGGAAGATATTTCCTTTTTCAACATAGGCCTGAAAGCGCTCCAAATGTCCACTTCCAGATACTACAAAAAGAGTGTTTCAAATCTGCTCTATGCATGGGAATGTTCTACTCTGTGACTTGAATGCAACATCCCAAAGAAGTTTCTGAGAATGTTTCTGTCTAGAGTTTATCTGAAGACATACCCGTTTCCAACGAAATCCTCCAAGCTATCCAAATATCCTCTTGCAGATTCTACAAAAAGTGTGTTTCAAAGCTGCTCTTTGCAAAGAAAGGTTCAACTCTGTCAGTAGAGGGCACACATCACGAACAAGTTTCTGAGAATGCTTCTGTCTAGTTTTTATGGGAAGATATTTCCTTTTTCACGTTAGGCCTGAAAGCACGCCAAATGTTCACTTATAGACACTACAAAAAGAGTGTTTCAAACCTGCTCTGTGAAAGGGAATGTTCAACACTGTGACTTCAATTGAAACATCCCAAAGAAGTTTCTGAGAATGCTTCTGTCTAGAGTTTATCTGAAGACATTCCCGTTTCCCAAGAAATCCTCAAAGCTATCCAAATATCCTCTTGCAGATTCTACAAAAAGAGTGTTTCAAAACTGCTCTTTGCAAAGAAAGGTTCAACTCTGTCAGTAGAGGGCACACATCACAAACAAGTTTCTGAGAATGCTTCTGTCTAGTTTTTATGGGAAGATATTTCCTTTTTCACCTTAGGCCTGAAAGCAATCCAAATGTTCACTTACAGACACTACAAAAAGAGTGTTTCAAACCTGCTCTGTGAAAGGGAGTGTTCAATTCTGTGACTTGAATGCAAACATCACAAAGTAGTTTCTGACAATGCTGCTGTCTGCTTTTTATACGTATTCCCGTTTCCAACGAAATCCTCCAAGCTGGCCTAATACCCACTTGCATATTCCACAAAAAGAGTGTTTCAAAACTGCTCTCTCAAAAGAAAGGTTCAACTCTGTTTGCTGAGTAGATACATCATGAAAAAAGTTCTGACATTGCTTCTATCTAGTTTTTATTGGAAGATATCTCCTTTTTCACCGTAGACCTGAAAGCGCTCCAAATGTCCACTTCCAGATAGTACAAAAAGAGTGTTTCAAACCTGCTCTATGAATGGGAATGTTCAACACTGGGACTTCAATTGAAACATCCCAAAGCAGTTTCTGAGAATGCTTCTGTCTAGAGTTTACATGAAGACATTCCCGTTTCCAACGAAATCCTCAAAGCTATCCAAATATCCTCTTGCAGATTTTACAAAAAGTGTGTTTCAGAACTGCTCTATCAAAACAAAGGTTCAACACTGTCAGTTGAGGGCACACATCACAAATAAGTTTCTGAGAATGCTTCTGTCTAGTTTTCATGGGAAGATATTTCCTTTTTCACCATAGGCCTGAAAGCATCCAAATGTCCACATCCAGATACTACAAAAAGAGTGTTTCAAACCTGCTCTATGAAAGGGAATGTTCAACTCTGTGACTTGAATGCAAACATCACAAAGAAGTTTCTGAGAATGCTGCTGTCTGCTTTTTGTATGTAATCCCGTTTCCAACGAAATCCTCCCAGCTAGCCAAATATCCACTTGCAGATTCCGCAAAAAGAGTGTTTCAAAACTGCTCCTTCAAAACGATGGTTTAGTTCTGTTAGTTGAGTACATACATCACAGCATAAGTTTCTGAGAATGCTTCTGTCTAGTTTTTATGGGAGGATATTTCCTTTTTCAACACAAGCCTGAATGCGCTCCGAATGGACACTTCCAGATATGACAAAAGGCGTGTTTCAAACCTGCTCTCTCAAAGGGAATGTTCAACTCTGTGACTTCAATGCAAACATCACAAAGAAGTTTCTGAGAATGCTGCTGTCTGCTTTTTACATGTATTCCCGTTTCCAACGAAATCCTCAAAGCTGCCCTAATATCCACTTGCATATTCCACAAAAAGAGTGTTGCAAAACTGCTCTCTCAAAAGAAAGGTTCAACTCTGTTAGCTGAGTAGATCCATCACATAAAAGTTTCTGACATTGCTTCTATCTAGATTTTCTTGGAAGATATTTCCATTTTCACCGTCGTCCTGAAAGCGCTCCAAATGTCCACTTCCAGGGAATGCAGAAAGAGTGTTTCCAACCTGCTCTATAAAAGGGAATGTTCAACACTGGGACTTCAATCGAAACATCCCAACGAAGTTTCTGAGAATGCTTCTGTCTAGAGTTTATATGAAGCCATTCCCGTTTGCAACGAAATCCTCAAAGCTATCCAAATATCCTCTTGCAGATTTTACAAAAAGAGTGTTTCAAAACTGCTCTATCAAAAGAAAGGTTCAACTCGGTTAGTTGAGGGCACACATCACAAATAAATTTCTGAGAATGCTTCTGTCTAGTTTTTACGGGAAGATATTTCCTTTTTCACCATACGCCTGAAAGCGCTCCAAATGTCCTCATCCAGATACTACAAAAAGAGTGTTTCCAACCTGCTCTATGAAAGGGAATGCTCAACTCTGTGACTTGAATGCAGACATCACAAAGAAGTTTCTGAGAATGTTGCTGTCTCCTTTTTATATGTAATCCCGTTTCCAACGAAATCCTCAAAGCTAGCCAAATATCCACTTGCAGATTCCACGAAAACAGTGTTTCAAAACTGCTCCTTCAAAACGATGGTTCAATTCTGTTAGTTGAGCAAACACATCACAAGTAAGTTTCTGAGAATGCTTCCGTCTAGTTTTTATGGGAAGATATTTCCTTTTTCAACATAGGCCTGAAAGCGCTCCAAATGTCCACTTCCAGATACTACAAAAAGAGTGTTTCAAATCTGCTCTATGAATGGGAATGTTCTACTCTGTGACTTGAATGCAACATCCCAAAGAAGTTTCTGAGAATGCTTCTGTCTAGAGTTTATCTGAAGACATACCCGTTTCCAACGAAATCCTCAAAGCTATCCAAATATCCTCTTGCAGATTCTACAAAAAGAGTGTTTCAAAGCTGCTCTTTGCAAAGAAAGGTTCAACTCTGTCAGTAGAGGGCACACATCATGAACAAGTTTCTGAGAATGCTTCTGTCTAGTTTTTATGGGAAGATATTTCCTTTTTCACGTTAGGCCTGAAAGCACGCCAAATGTTCACTTATAGACACTACAAAAAGAGTGTTTCAAACCTGCTCTGTGAAAGGGAATGTTCAACACTGTGACTTCAATTGAAACATCCCAAAGAAGTTTCTGAGAATGCTTCTGTCTAGAGTTTATCTGAAGACATTCCCGTTTCCCAAGAAATCTTCAAAGCTATCCAAATATCCTCTTGCAGATTCTACAAAAAGAGTGTTTCAAAACTGCTCTTTGCAAAGAAAGGTTCAACTCTGTCAGTAGAGGGCACACATCACAAACAAGTTTCTGAGAATGCTTCTGTCTAGTTTTTATGGGAAGATATTTCCTTTTTCACCTTAGGCCTGAAAGCAATCCATATGTTCACTTACAGACACTACAAAAAGAGTGTTTCAAACCTGCTCTGTGAAAGGGAGTGTTCAATTCTGTGACTTGAATGCAAACATCACAAAGTAGTTTCTGACAATGCTGCTGTCTGCTTTTTATACGTATTCCCGTTTCCAACGAAATCCTCCAAGCTGGCCTAATACCCACTTGCATATTCCACAAAAAGAGTGTTTCAAAACTGCTCTCTCAAAAGAAAGGTTCAACTCTGTGTGCTGAGTAGATACATCATGAAAAAAGTTCTGACATTGCTTCTATCTAGTTTTTATTGGAAGATATCTCCTTTTTCACCGCAGACCTGAAAGCGCTCCAAATGTCCACTTCCAGATAGTACAAAAAGAGTGTTTCAAACCTGCTCTATGAATGGGAATGTTCAACACTGGGACTTCAATTGAAACATCCCAAAGCAGTTTCTGAGAATGCTTCTGTGTAGAGTTTACATGAAGACATTCCCGTTTCCAACGAAATCCTCAAAGCTATCCAAATATCCTCTTGCAGATTTTACAAAAAGTGTGTTTCAGAACTGCTCTATCAAAACAAAGGTTCAACACTGTCAGTTGAGGGCACACATCACAAATAAGTTTCTGAGAATGCTTCTGTCTAGTTTTCATGGGAAGATATTTCCTTTTTCACCATAGGCCTGAAAGCGATCCAAATGTCCACATCCAGATACTACAAAAAGAGTGTTTCAAACCTGCTCTATGAAAGGGAATGTTCAACTCTGTGACTTGAATGCAAACATCACAAAGAAGTTTCTGAGAATGCTGCTGTCTGCTTTTTGTATGTAATCCCGTTTCCAACGAAATCCTCCCAGCTAGCCAAATATCCACTTGCAGATTCCGCAAAAAGAGTGTTTCAAAACTGCTCCTTCAAAACGATGGTTTAGTTCTGTTAGTTGAGTACATACATCACAGATAAGTTTCTGAGAATGCTTCTGTCTAGTTTTTATGGGAGGATATTTCCTTTTTCAACACAAGCCTGAATGCGCTCCGAATGGACACTTCCAGATATGACAAAAGGCGTGTTTCAAACCTGCTCTCTCAAAGGGAATGTTCAACTCTGTGACTTCAATGCAAACATCACAAAGAAGTTTCTGAGAATGCTGCTGTCTGCTTTTTACATGTATTCCCGTTTCCAACGAAATCCTCAAAGCTGCCCTAATATCCACTTGCATATTCCACAAAAAGAGTGTTGCAAAACTGCTCTCTGAAAAGAAAGGTTCAACTCTGTTAGCTGAGTAGATCCATCACATAAAAGTTTCTGACGTTGCTTCTATCTAGATTTTCTTGGAAGATATTTCCATTTTCACCGTCGTCCTGAAAGCGCTCCAAATGTCCACTTCCAGGGAATGCAGAAAGAGTGTTTCCAACCTGCTCTATAAAAGGGAATGTTCAACACTGGGACTTCAATCGAAACATCCCAACGAAGTTTCTGAGAATGCTTCTGTCTAGAGTTTATATGAAGCCATTCCCGTTTGCAACGAAATCCTCAAAGATATCCAAATATCCTCTTGCAGATTTTACAAAAAGAGTGTTTCAAAACTGCTCTATCAAAAGAAAGGTTCAACTCTGTTAGTTGAGGGCACACATCACAAATAAACTTCTGAGAATGCTTCTGTCTAGTTTTTACGGGAAGATATTTCCTTTTTCACCATACGCCTGAAAGCGCTCCAAATGTCCTCATCCAGATACTACAAAAAGAGTGTTTCCAACCTGCTCTATGAAAGGGAATGCTCAACTCTGTGAATTGAATGCAGACATCACAAAGAAGTTTCTGAGAATGCTGCTGTCTCCTTTGTATATGTAATCCCGTTTCCAACGAAATCCTCAAAGCTAGCCAAATATCCACTTGCAGATTCCACGAAAACAGTGTTTCAAAACTGCTCCTTCAAAACGATGGTTCAATCCTGTTAGTTGAGCAAACACATCACAAATAAGTTTCTGAGAATGCTTTCCGTCTAGTTTTTATGGGAAGATATTTCCTTTTTCAACATAGGCCTGAAAGCGCTCCAAATGTCCACTTCCAGATACTACAAAAAGAGTGTTTCAAATCTGCTCTATGAATGGGAATGTTCTACTCTGTGACTTGAATGCAACATCCCAAAGAAGTTTCTGAGAATGCTTCTGTCTAGAGTTTATCTGAAGACATACCCGTTTCCAACGAAATCCTCCAAGCTATCCAAATATCCTCTTGCAGATTCTACAAAAAGAGTGTTTCAAAGCTGCTCTTTGCAAAGAAAGGTTCAACTCTCTCAGTAGAGGGGACACATCAAGAACAAGTTTGCTGAGAATGCTTCTGTCTAGTTTTTATGGGAAGATATTTCCTTTTTCACCTTAGGCCTGAAAGCACGCCAAATGTTCACTTATAGACACTACAAAAAGAGTGTTTCAAACCTGCTCTGTGAAAGGGAGTGTTCAATTCTGTGACTTGAATGCAAACATCACAAAGTAGTTTCTGACAATGCTGCTGTCTGCTTTTTATACGTATTCCCGTTTCCAACGAAATCCTCCAAGCTGGCCTAATACCCACTTGCATATTCCACAAAAAGAGTGTTTCAAAACTGCTCTCTCAAAAGAAAGGTTCAACTCTGTTTGCTGAGTAGATACATCATGAAAAAAGTTCTGACATTGCTTCTATCTAGTTTTTATTGGAAGATATCTCCTTTTTCACCGTAGACCTGAAAGCGCTCCAAATGTCCACTTCCAGATAGTACAAAAAGAGTGTTTCAAACCTGCTCTATGAAAGGGAATGTTCAACACTGGGACTTCAATTGAAACATCCCAAAGCAGTTTCTGAGAATGCTTCTGTCTAGAGTTTACATGAAGACATTCCCGTTTCCAACGAAATCCTCAAAGCTATCCAAATATCCTCTTGCAGATTTTACAAAAAGTGTGTTTCAGAACTGCTCTATCAAAACAAAGGTTCAACACTGTCAGTTGAGGGCACACATCACAAATAAGTTTCTGAGAATGCTTCTGTCTAGTTTTCATGGGAAGATATTTCCTTTTTCACCATAGGCCTGAAAGCGATCCAAATGTCCACATCCAGATACTACAAAAAGAGTGTTTCAAACCTGCTCTATGAAAGGGAATGTTCAACTCTGTGACTTGAATGCAAACATCACAAAGAAGTTTCTGAGAATGCTGCTGTCTGCTTTTTGTATATAATCCCGTTTCCAACGAAATCCTCCCAGCTAGCCAAATATCCACTTGCAGATTCCGCAAAAAGAGTGTTTCAAAACTGCTCCTTCAAAACGATGGTTTAGTTCTGTTAGTTGAGTACATACATCACAGATAAGTTTCTGAGAATGCTTCTGTCTAGTTTTTATGGGAGGATATTTCCTTTTTCAACACAAGCCTGAATGCGCTCCGAATGGACACTTCCAGATATGACAAAAGGCGTGTTTCAAACCTGCTCTCTCAAAGGGAATGTTCAACTCTGTGACTTCAATGCAAACATCACAAAGAAGTTTCTGAGAATGCTGCTGTCTGCTTTTTACATGTATTCCCGTTTCCAACGAAATCCTCAAAGCTGCCCTAATATCCACTTGCATATTCCACAAAAAGAGTGTTGCAAAACTGCTCTCTCAAAAGAAAGCTTCAACTCTGTTAGCTGAGTAGATCCATCACATAAAAGTTTCTGACATTGCTTCTATCTAGATTTTCTTGGAAGATATTTCCATTTTCACCGTCGTCCTGAAAGCGCTCCAAATGTCCACTTCCAGGGAATGCAGAAAGAGTGTTTCCAACCTGCTCTATAAAAGGGAATGTTCAACACTGGGACTTCAATCGAAACATCCCAACGAAGTTTCTGAGAATGCTTCTGTCTAGAGTTTATATGAAGCCATTCCCGTTTGCAACGAAATCCTCAAAGCTATCCAAATATCCTCTTGCAGATTTTACAAAAAGAGTGTTTCAAAACTGCTCTATCAAAAGAAAGGTTCAACTCTGTTAGTTGAGGGCACACATCACAAATAAACTTCTGAGAATGCTTCTGTCTAGTTTTTACGGGAAGATATTTCCTTTTTCACCATAGGCCTGAAAGCGCTCCAAATGTCCTCATCCAGATACTACAAAAAGAGTGTTTCCAACGTGCTCTATGAAAGGGAATGCTCAACTCTGTGAATTGAATGCAGACATCACAAAGAAGTTTCTGAGAATGCTCCTGTCTCCTTTTTATATGTAATCCCGTTTCCAACGAAATCCTCAAAGCTAGCAAAATATCCACTTGCAGATTCCACGAAAACAGTGTTTCAAAACTGCTCCTTCAAAACGATGGTTCAATTCTGTTAGTTGAGAAAACACATCACAAGTAAGTTTCTGAGAATGCTTCCGTCTAGTTTTTATGGGAAGATATTTCCTTTTTCAACATAGGCCTGAAAGCGCTCCAAATGTCCACTTCCAGATACTACAAAAAGAGTGTTTCAAATCTGCTCTATGAATGGGAATGTTCTACTCTGTGACTTGAATGCAACATCCCAAAGAAGTTTCTGAGAATGCTTCTGTCTAGAGTTTATCTGAAGACATACCCGTTTCCAACGAAATCCTCAAATCTATCCAAATATCCTCTTGCAGATTCTACAAAAAGTGTGTTTCAAAGCTGCTCTTTGCAAAGAAAGGTTCAACTCTGTCAGTAGAGGGCACACATCACGAACAAGTTTCTGAGAATGCTTCTGTCTAGTTTTTATGGGAAGATATTTCCTTTTTCACGTTAGGCCTGAAAGCACGCCAAATGTTCACTTATAGACACTACAAAAAGAGTGTTTCAAACCTGCTCTGTGAAAGGGAATGTTCAACACTGTGACTTCAATTGAAACATCCCAAAGAAGTTTCTGAGAATGCTTCTGTCTAGAGTTTATCTGAAGACATTCCCGTTTCCCAAGAAATCCTCAAAGCTATCCAAATATCCTCTTGCAGATTCTACAAAAAGAGTGTTTCAAAACTGCTCTTTGCAAAGAAAGGTTCAACTCTGTCAGTAGAGGGCACACATCACAAACAAGTTTCTGAGAATGCTTCTGTCTAGTTTTTATGGGAAGATATTTCCTTTTTCACCTTAGGCCTGAAAGCAATCCAAATGTTCACTTACAGACACTACAAAAAGAGTGTTTCAAACCTGCTCTGTGAAAGGGAGTGTTCAATTCTGTGACTTGAATGCAAACATCACAAAGTAGTTTCTGACAATGCTGCTGTCTGCTTTTTATACGTATTCCCGTTTCCAACGAAATCCTCCAAGCTGGCCTAATACCCACTTGCATATTCCACAAAAAGAGTGTTTCAAAACTGCTCTCTCAAAAGAAAGGTTCAACTCTGTTTGCTGAGTAGATACATCATGAAAAAAGTTCTGACATTGCTTCTATCTAGTTTTTATTGGAAGATATCTCCTTTTTCACCGTAGACCTGAAAGCGCTCCAAATGTCCACTTCCAGATAGTACAAAAAGAGTGTTTCAAACCTGCTCTATGAAAGGGAATGTTCAACACTGGGACTTCAATTGAAACATCCCAAAGCAGTTTCTGAGAATGCTTCTGTCTAGAGTTTACATGAAGACATTCCCGTTTCCAACGAAATCCTCAAAGCTATCCAAATATCCTCTTGCAGATTTTACAAAAAGTGTGTTTCAGAACTGCTCTATCAAAACAAAGGTTCAACACTGTCAGTTGAGGGCACACATCACAAATAAGTTTCTGAGAATGCTTCTGTCTAGTTTTCATGGGAAGATAT
The DNA here is from genome assembly GCF_000001405.40 of Homo sapiens. NCBI lineage: Eukaryota > Metazoa > Chordata > Mammalia > Primates > Hominidae > Homo > Homo sapiens. Next base: position 27,268,477 of record NC_000020.11, on the reverse strand, counting down.
TTCCTTTTTCACCATAGGCCTGAAAGCGATCCAAATGTCCACATCCAGATACTACAAAAAGAGTGTTTCAAACCTGCTCTATGAAAGGGAATGTTCAACTCTGTGACTTGAATGCAAACATCACAAAGAAGTTTCTGAGAATGCTGCTCTCTGCTTTTTGTATGTAATCCCGTTTCCAACGAAATCCTCCCAGCTAGCCAAATATCCACTTGCAGATTCCGCAAAAAGAGTGTTTCAAAACTGCTCCTTCAAAACGATGGTTTAGTTCTGTTAGTTGAGTACATACATCACAGATAAGTTTCTGAGAATGCTTCTGTCTAGTTTTTATGGGAGGATATTTCCTTTTTCAACACAAGCCTGAATGCGCTCCGAATGGACACTTCCAGATATGACAAAAGGCGTGTTTCAAACCTGCTCTCTCAAAGGGAATGTTCAACTCTGTGACTTCAATGCAAACATCACAAAGAAGTTTCTGAGAATGCTGCTGTCTGCTTTTTACATGTATTCCCGTTTCCAACGAAATCCTCAAAGCTGCCCTAATATCCACTTGCATATTCCACAAAAAGAGTGTTGCAAAACTGCTCTCTCAAAAGAAAGGTTCAACTCTGTTAGCTGAGTAGATCCATCACATAAAAGTTTCTGACATTGCTTCTATCTAGATTTTCTTGGAAGATATTTCCATTTTCACCGTCGTCCTGAAAGCGCTCCAAATGTCCACTTCCAGGGAATGCAGAAAGAGTGTTTCCAACCTGCTCTATAAAAGGGAATGTTCAACACTGGGACTTCAATCGAAACATCCCAACGAAGTTTCTGAGAATGCTTCTGTCTAGAGTTTATATGAAGCCATTCCCGTTTGCAACGAAATCCTCAAAGCTATCCAAATATCCTCTTGCAGATTTTACAAAAAGAGTGTTTCAAAACTGCTCTATCAAAAGAAAGGTTCAACTCTGTTAGTTGAGGGCACACATCACAAATAAACTACTGAGAATGCTTCTGTCTAGTTTTTACGGGAAGATATTTCCTTTTTCACCATAGGCCTGAAAGCGCTCCAAATGTCCTCATCCAGATACTACAAAAAGAGTGTTTCCAACCTGCTCTATGAAAGGGAATGCTCAACTCTGTGAATTGAATGCAGACATCACAAAGAAGTTTCTGAGAATGCTGCTGTCTCCTTTTTATATGTAATCCCGTTTCCAACGAAATCCTCAAAGCTAGCCAAATATCCACTTGCAGATTCCACGAAAACAGTGTTTCAAAACTGCTCCTTCAAAACGATGGTTCAATCCTGTTAGTTGAGCAAACACATCACAAATAAGTTTCTGAGAATGCTTCCGTCTAGTTTTTATGGGAAGATATTTCCTTTTTCAACATAGGCCTGAAAGCGCTCCAAATGTCCACTTCCAGATACTACAAAAAGAGTGTTTCAAACCTGCTCTGTGAAAGGGAATGTTCAACACTGTGACTTCAATTGAAACATCCCAAAGAAGTTTCTGAGAATGCTTCTGTCTAGAGTTTATCTGAAGACATTCCCGTTTCCCAAGAAATCCTCAAAGCTATCCAAATATCCTCTTGCAGATTCTACAAAAAGAGTGTTTCAAAACTGCTCTTTGCAAAGAAAGGTTCAACTCTGTCAGTAGAGGGCACACATCACAAACAAGTTTCTGAGAATGCTTCTGTCTAGTTTTTATGGGAAGATATTTCCTTTTTCACCTTAGGCCTGAAAGCAATCCAAATGTTCACTTACAGACACTACAAAAAGAGTGTTTCAAACCTGCTCTGTGAAAGGGAGTGTTCAATTCTGTGACTTGAATGCAAACATCACAAAGTAGTTTCTGACAATGCTGCTGTCTGCTTTTTATACGTATTCCCGTTTCCAACGAAATCCTCCAAGCTGGCCTAATACCCACTTGCATATTCCACAAAAAGAGTGTTTCAAAACTGCTCTCTCAAAAGAAAGGTTCAACTCTGTTTGCTGAGTAGATACATCATGAAAAAAGTTCTGACATTGCTTCTATCTAGTTTTTATTGGAAGATATCTCCTTTTTCACCGTAGACCTGAAAGCGCTCCAAATGTCCACTTCCAGATAGTACAAAAAGAGTGTTTCAAACCTGCTCTATGAATGGGAATGTTCAACACTGGGACTTCAATTGAAACATCCCAAAGCAGTTTCTGAGAATGCTTCTGTCTAGAGTTTACATGAAGACATTCCCGTTTCCAACGAAATCCTCAAAGCTATCCAAATATCCTCTTGCAGATTTTACAAAAAGTGTGTTTCAGAACTGCTCTATCAAAACAAAGGTTCAACACTGTCAGTTGAGGGCACACATCACAAATAAGTTTCTGAGAATGCTTCTGTCTAGTTTTCATGGGAAGATATTTCCTTTTTCACCATAGGCCTGAAAGCGATCCAAATGTCCACATCCAGATACTACAAAAAGAGTGTTTCAAACCTGCTCTATGAAAGGGAATGTTCAACTCTGTGACTTGAATGCAAACATCACAAAGAAGTTTCTGAGAATGCTGCTGTCTGCTTTTTGTATGTAATCCCGTTTCCAACGAAATCCTCCCAGCTAGCCAAATATCCACTTGCAGATTCCGCAAAAAGAGTGTTTCAAAACTGCTCCTTCAAAACGATGGTTTAGTTCTGTTAGTTGAGTACATACATCACAGATAAGTTTCTGAGAATGCTTCTGTCTAGTTTTTATGGGAGGATATTTCCTTTTTCAACACAAGCCTGAATGCGCTCCGAATGGACACTTCCAGATATGACAAAAGGCGTGTTTCAAACCTGCTCTCTCAAAGGGAATGTTCAACTCTGTGACTTCAATGCAAACATCACAAAGAAGTTTCTGAGAATGCTGCTGTCTCCTTTTTACATGTATTCCCGTTTCCAACGAAATCCTCAAAGCTGCCCTAATATCCACTTGCATATTCCACAAAAAGAGTGTTGCAAAACTGCTCTCTCAAAAGAAAGGTTCAACTCTGTTAGCTGAGTAGATCCATCACATAAAAGTTTCTGACATTGCTTCTATCTAGATTTTCTTGGAAGATATTTCCATTTTCACCGTCGTCCTGAAAGCGCTCCAAATGTCCACTTCCAGGGAATGCAGAAAGAGTGTTTCCAACCTGCTCTATAAAAGGGAATGTTCAACACTGGGACTTCAATCGAAACATCCCAACGAAGTTTCTGAGAATGCTTCTGTCTAGAGTTTATATGAAGCCATTCCCGTTTGCAACGAAATCCTCAAAGCTATCCAAATATCCTCTTGCAGATTTTACAAAAAGAGTGTTTCAAAACTGCTCTATCAAAAGAAAGGTTCAACTCTGTTAGTTGAGGGCACACATCACAAATAAACTTCTGAGAATGCTTCTGTCTAGTTTTTACGGGAAGATATTTCCTTTTTCACCATACGCCTGAAAGCGCTCCAAATGTCCTCATCCAGATACTACAAAAAGAGTGTTTCCAACCTGCTCTATGAAAGGGAATGCTCAACTCTGTGAATTGAATGCAGACATCACAAAGAAGTTTCTGAGAATGCTGCTGTCTCCTTTTTATATGTAATCCCGTTTCCAACGAAATCCTCAAAGCTAGCCAAATATCCACTTGCAGATTCCACGAAAACAGTGTTTCAAAACTGCTCCTTCAAAACGATGGTTCAATCCTGTTAGTTGAGCAAACACATCACAAATAAGTTTCTGAGAATGCTTCCGTCTAGTTTTTATGGGAAGATATTTCCTTTTTCAACATAGGCCTGAAAGCGCTCCAAATGTCCACTTCCAGATACTACAAAAAGAGTGTTTCAAATCTGCTCTATGAATGGGAATGTTCTACTCTGTGACTTGAATGCAACATCCCAAAGAAGTTTCTGAGAATGCTTCTGTCTAGAGTTTATCTGAAGACATACCCGTTTCCAACGAAATCCTCCAAGCTATCCAAATATCCTCTTGCAGATTCTACAAAAAGTGTGTTTCAAAGCTGCTCTTTGCAAAGAAAGGTTCAACTCTGTCAGTAGAGGGGACACATCAAGAACAAGTTTCTGAGAATGCTTCTGTCTAGTTTTTATGGGAAGATATTTCCTTTTTCACGTTAGGCCTGAAAGCACGCCAAATGTTCACTTATAGACACTACAAAAAGAGTGTTTCAAACCTGCTCTGTGAAAGGGAATGTTCAACACTGTGACTTCAATTGAAACATCCCAAAGAAGTTTCTGAGAATGCTTCTGTCTAGAGTTTATCTGAAGACATTCCCGTTTCCCAAGAAATCCTCAAAGCTATCCAAATATCCTCTTGCAGATTCTACAAAAAGAGTGTTTCAAAACTGCTCTTTGCAAAGAAAGGTTCAACTCTGTCAGTAGAGGGCACACATCACAAACAAGTTTCTGAGAATGCTTCTGTCTAGTTTTTATGGGAAGATATTTCCTTTTTCACCTTAGGCCTGAAAGCAATCCAAATGTTCACTTACAGACACTACAAAAAGAGTGTTTCAAACCTGCTCTGTGAAAGGGAGTGTTCAATTCTGTGACTTGAATGCAAACATCACAAAGTAGTTGCTGACAATGCTGCTGTCTGCTTTTTATACGTATTCCCGTTTCCAACGAAATCCTCCAAGCTGGCCTAATACCCACTTGCATATTCCACAAAAAGAGTGTTTCAAAACTGCTCTCTCAAAAGAAAGGTTCAACTCTGTTTGCTGAGTAGATACATCATGAAAAAAGTTCTGACATTGCTTCTATCTAGTTTTTATTGAAAGATATCTCCTTTTTCACCGTAGACCTGAAAGCGCTCCAAATGTCCACTTCCAGATAGTACAAAAAGAGTGTTTCAAACCTGCTCTATGAATGGGAATGTTCAACACTGGGACTTCAATTGAAACATCCCAAAGCAGTTTCTGAGAATGCTTCTGTGTAGAGTTTACATGAAGACATTCCCGTTTCCAACGAAATCCTCAAAGCTATCCAAATATCCTCTTGCAGATTTTACAAAAAGTGTGTTTCAGAACTGCTCTATCAAAACAAAGGTTCAACACTGTCAGTTGAGGGCACACATCACAAATAAGTTTCTGAGAATGCTTCTGTCTAGTTTTCATGGGAAGATATTTCCTTTTTCACCATAGGCCTGAAAGCGATCCAAATGTCCACATCCAGATACTACAAAAAGAGTGTTTCAAACCTGCTCTATGAAAGGGAATGTTCAACTCTGTGACTTGAATGCAAACATCACAAAGAAGTTTCTGAGAATGCTGCTGTCTGCTTTTTGTATGTAATCCCGTTTCCAACGAAATCCTCCCAGCTAGCCAAATATCCACTTGCAGATTCCGCAAAAAGAGTGTTTCAAAACTGCTCCTTCAAAACGATGGTTTAGTTCTGTTAGTTGAGTACATACATCACAGATAAGTTTCTGAGAATGCTTCTGTCTAGTTTTTATGGGAGGATATTTCCTTTTTCAACACAAGCCTGAATGCGCTCCGAATGGACACTTCCAGATATGACAAAAGGCGTGTTTCAAACCTGCTCTCTCAAAGGGAATGTTCAACTCTGTGACTTCAATGCAAACATCACAAAGAAGTTTCTGAGAATGCTGCTGTCTGCTTTTTACATGTATTCCCGTTTCCAACGAAATCCTCAAAGCTGCCCTAATATCCACTTGCATATTCCACAAAAAGAGTGTTGCAAAACTGCTCTCTCAAAAGAAAGGTTCAACTCTGTTAGCTGAGTAGATCCATCACAGAAAAGTTTCTGACGTTGCTTCTATCTAGATTTTCTTGGAAGATATTTCCATTTTCACCGTCGTCCTGAAAGCGCTCCAAATGTCCACTTCCAGGGAATGCAGAAAGAGTGTTTCCAACCTGCTCTATAAAAGGGAATGTTCAACACTGGGACTTCAATCGAAACATCCCAACGAAGTTTCTGAGAATGCTTCTGTCTAGAGTGTATATGAAGCCATTCCCGTTTGCAACGAAATCCTCAAAGCTATCCAAATATCCTCTTGCAGATTTTACAAAAAGAGTGTTTCAAAACTGCTCTATCAAAAGAAAGGTTCAACTCTGTTAGTTGAGGGCACACATCACAAATAAATTTCTGAGAATGCTTCTGTCTAGTTTTTACGGGAAGATATTTCCTTTTTCACCATACGCCTGAAAGCGCTCCAAATGTCCTCATCCAGATACTACAAAAAGAGTGTTTCCAACCTGCTCTATGAAAGGGAATGCTCAACTCTGTGACTTGAATGCAGACATCACAAAGAAGTTTCTGAGAATGCTGCTGTCTCCTTTTTATATGTAATCCCGTTTCCAACGAAATCCTCAAAGCTAGCCAAATATCCACTTGCAGATTCCACGAAAACAGTGTTTCAAAACTGCTCCTTCAAAACGATGGTTCAATTCTGTTAGTTGAGCAAACACATCACAAGTAAGTTTCTGAGAATGCTTCCGTCTAGTTTTTATGGGAAGATATTTCCTTTTTCAACATAGGCCTGAAAGCGCTCCAAATGTCCACTTCCAGATACTTCAAAAAGAGTGTTTCAAATCTGCTCTATGAATGGGAATGTTCTACTCTGTGACTTGAATGCAACATCCCAAAGAAGTTTCTGAGAATGCTTCTATCTAGAGTTTATCTGAAGACATACCCGTTTCCAACGAAATCCTCAAAGCTATCCAAATATCCTCTTGCAGATTCTACAAAAAGAGTGTTTCAAAGCTGCTCTTTGCAAAGAAAGGTTCAACTCTGTCAGTAGAGGGCACACATCACGAACAAGTTTCTGAGAATGCTTCTGTCTAGTTTTTATGGGAAGATATTTCCTTTTTCACGTTAGGCCTGAAAGCACGCCAAATGTTCACTTATAGACACTACAAAAAGAGTGTTTCAAACCTGCTCTGTGAAAGGGAATGTTCAACACTGTGACTTCAATTGAAACATCCCAAAGAAGTTTCTGAGAATGCTTCTGTCTAGAGTTTATCTGAAGACATTCCCGTTTCCCAAGAAATCCTCAAATCAATCCAAATATCCTCTTGCAGATTTTACAAAAAGAGGGTTTCAAAACTGCTCTTTGCAAAGAAAGGTTCAACTCTGTCAGTAGAGGGCACACATCACAAACAAGTTTCTGAGAATGCTACTGTCTAGTTTTTATGGGAAGATATTTCCTTTTTCACCTTAGGCCTGAAAGCAATCCAAATGTTCACTTACAGACACTACAAAAAGAGTGTTTCAAACCTGCTCTGTGAAAGGGAGAGTTCAATTCTGTGACTTGAATGCAAACATCCCAAAGAAGTTTCTGACAATTCTGCTGTCTGCTTTTTATACGTATTCCCGTTTCCAACGAAATCCTCCAAGCTGGCCTAATACCCACTTGCATATTCCACAAAGACTGTGTCAAAACTGCTCTCTCAAAAGAAAGGTTCAACTCTGTTTGCTGAGTAGATACATCATGAAAAACGTTCTGACATTGCTTCTATCTAGTTTTTATTGGAAGATATCTCCTTTTTCACCGTAGACCTGAAAGCGCTCCAAATGTCCACTTCCAGATAGTACAAAAAGAGTGTTTCAAACCTGCTCTATGAATGGGAATGTTCAACACTGGGACTTCAGTTGAAACATCCCAAAGCAGTTTCTGAGAATGCTTCTGTCTAGAGTTTACATGAAGACATTCCCGTTTCCAACGAAATCCTCAAAGCTATCCAAATATCCTCTTGCAGATTTTACAAAAAGTGTGTTTCAGAACTGCTCTATCAAAACAAAGGTTCAACACTGTCAGTTGAGGGCACACATCACAAATAAGTTTCTGAGAATGCTTCTGTCTAGTTTTCATGGGAAGATATTTCCTTTTTCACCATAGGCCTGAAAGCGATCCAAATGTCCACATCCAGATACTACAAAAAGAGTGTTTCAAACCTGCTCTATGAAAGGGAATGTTCAACTCTGTGACTTGAATGCAAACATCACAAAGAAGTTTCTGAGAATGCTGCTGTCTGCTTTTTGTATGTAATCCCGTTTCCAACGAAATCCTCCCAGCTAGCCAAATATCCACTTGCAGATTCCGCAAAAAGAGTGTTTCAAAACTGCTCCTTCAAAACGATGGTTTAGTTCTGTTAGTTGAGTACATACATCACAGATAAGTTTCTGAGAATGCTTCTGTCTAGTTTTTATGGGAGGATATTTCCTTTTTCAACACAAGCCTGAATGCGCTCCGAATGGACACTTCCAGATATGACAAAAGGCGTGTTTCAAACCTGCTCTCTCAAAGGGAATGTTCAACTCTGTGACTTCAATGCAAACATCACAAAGAAGTTTCTGAGAATGCTGCTGTCTGCTTTTTACATGTATTCCCGTTTCCAACGAAATCCTCAAAGCTGCCCTAATATCCACTTGCATATTCCACAAAAAGAGTGTTACAAAACTGCTCTCTCAAAAGAAAGGTTCAACTCTGTTAGCTGAGTAGATCCATCACATAAAAGTTTCTGACATTGCTTCTATCTAGATTTTCTTGGAAGATATTTCCATTTTCACCGTCGTCCTGAAAGCGCTCCAAATGTCCACTTCCAGGGAATGCAGAAAGAGTGTTTCCAACCTGCTCTATAAAAGGGAATGTTCAACACTGGGACTTCAATCGAAACATCCCAACGAAGTTTCTGAGAATGCTTCTGTCTAGAGTTTATATGAAGCCATTCCCGTTTGCAACGAAATCCTCAAAGCTATCCAAATATCCTCTTGCAGATTTTACAAAAAGAGTGTTTCAAAACTGCTCTATCAAAAGAAAGGTTCAACTCTGTTAGTTGAGGGCACACATCACAAATAAACTTCTGAGAATGCTTCTGTCTAGTTTTTACGGGAAGATATTTCCTTTTTCACCATAGGCCTGAAAGCGCTCCAAATGTCCTCATCCAGATACTACAAAAAGAGTGTTTCCAACCTGCTCTATGAAAGGGAATGCTCAACTCTGTGAATTGAATGCAGACATCACAAAGAAGTTTCTGAGAATGCTGCTGTCTCCTTTTTATATGTAATCCCGTTTCCAACGAAATCCTCAAAGCTAGCCAAATATCCACTTGCAGATTCCACGAAAACAGTGTTTCAAAACTGCTCCTTCAAAACGATGGTTCAATCCTGTTAGTTGAGCAAACACATCACAAATAAGTTTCTGAGAATGCTTCCGTCTAGTTTTTATGGGAAGATATTTCCTTTTTCAACATAGGCCTGAAAGCGCTCCAAATGTCCACTTCCAGATACTACAAAAAGAGTGTTTCAAATCTGCTCTATGAATGGGAATGTTCTACTCTGTGACTTGAATGCAACATCCCAAAGAAGTTTCTGAGAATGCTTCTGTCTAGAGTTTATCTGAAGACATACCCGTTTCCAACGAAATCCTCCAAGCTATCCAAATATCCTCTTGCAGATTCTACAAAAAGAGTGTTTCAAAGCTGCTCTTTGCAAAGAAAGGTTCAACTCTGTCAGTAGAGGGGACACATCAAGAACAAGTTTCTGAGAATGCTTCTGTCTAGTTTTTATGGGAAGATATTTCCTTTTTCACGTTAGTCCTGAAAGCACGCCAAATGTTCACTTATAGACACTACAAAAAGAGTGTTTCAAACCTGCTCTGTGAAAGGGAATGTTCAACACTGTGACTTCAATTGAAACATCCCAAAGAAGTTTCTGAGAATGCTTCTGTCTAGAGTTTATCTGAAGACATTCCCGTTTCCCAAGAAATCCTCAAAGCTATCCAAATATCCTCTTGCAGATTCTACAAAAAGAGTGTTTCAAAACTGCTCTTTGCAAAGAAAGGTTCAACTCTGTCAGTAGAGGGCACACATCACAAACAAGTTTCTGAGAATGCTTCTGTCTAGTTTTTATGGGAAGATATTTCCTTTTTCACCTTAGGCCTGAAAGCAATCCAAATGTTCACTTACAGACACTACAAAAAGAGTGTTTCAAACCTGCTCTGTGAAAGGGAGTGTTCAATTCTGTGACTTGAATGCAAACATCACAAAGTAGTTTCTGACAATGCTGCTGTCTGCTTTTTATACGTATTCCCGTTTCCAACGAAATCCTCCAAGCTGGCCTAATACCCACTTGCATATTCCACAAAAAGAGTGTTTCAAAACTGCTCTCTCAAAAGAAAGGTTCAACTCTGTTTGCTGAGTAGATACATCATGAAAAAAGTTCTGACATTGCTTCTATCTAGTTTTTATTGGAAGATATCTCCTTTTTCACCGTAGACCTGAAAGCGCTCCAAATGTCCACTTCCAGATAGTAGAAAAAGAGTGTTTCAAACCTGCTCTATGAAAGGGAATGTTCAACACTGGGACTTCAATTGAAACATCCCAAAGCAGTTTCTGAGAATGCTTCTGTCCAGAGTTTACATGAAGACATTCCCGTTTCCAACGAAATCCTCAAAGCTATCCAAATATCCTCTTGCAGATTTTACAAAAAGTGTGTTTCAGAACTGCTCTATCAAAACAAAGGTTCAACACTGTCAGTTGAGGGCACACATCACAAATAAGTTTCTGAGAATGCTTCTGTCTAGTTTTCATGGGAAGATATTTCCTTTTTCACCATAGGCCTGAAAGCGATCCAAATGTCCACATCCAGATACTACAAAAAGAGTGTTTCCAACCTGCTCTATGAAAGGGAATGTTCAACTCTGTGACTTGAATGCAAACATCACAAAGAAGTTTCTGAGAATGCTGCTGTCTGCTTTTTGTATGTAATCCCGTTTCCAACGAAATCCTCCCAGCTAGCCAAATATCCACTTGCAGATTCCGCAAAAAGAGTGTTTCAAAACTGCTCCTTCAAAACGATGGTTTAGTTCTGTTAGTTGAGTACATACATCACAGATAAGTTTCTGAGAATGCTTCTGTCTAGTTTTTATGGGAGGATATTTCCTTTTTCAACACAAGCCTGAATGCGCTCCGAATGGACACTTCCAGATATGACAAAAGGCGTGTTTCAAACCTGCTCTCTCAAAGGGAATGTTCAACTCTGTGACTTCAATGCAAACATCACAAAGAAGTTTCTGAGAATGCTGCTGTCTGCTTTTTACATGTATTCCCGTTTCCAACGAAATCCTCAAAGCTGCCCTAATATCCACTTGCATATTCCACAAAAAGAGTGTTGCAAAACTGCTCTCTCAAAAGAAAGGTTCAACTCTGTTAGCTGAGTAGATCCATCACATAAAAGTTTCTGACATTGCTTCTATCCAGATTTTATTGGAAGATATTTCCATTTTCACCGTCGTCCTGAAAGCGCTCCAATTGTCCACTTCCAGGGAATGCAGAAAGAGTGTTTCTAACCTGCTCTATAAAAGGGAATGTTCAACACTGGGACTTCAATCGAAACATCCCGACGAAGTTTCTGAGAATGCTTCTGTCTAGAGTTTATATGAAGCCATTCCCGTTTGCAACGAAATCCTCAAAGCTATCCAAATATCCTCTTGCAGATTTTACAAAATGAGTGTTTCAAAACTGCTCTATCAAAAGAAAGGTTCAAGTCTGTTAGTTGAGGGCACACATCACAAATAAACTTCTGAGAATGCTTCTGTCTAGTTTTTACGGGAAGATATTTCCTTTTTCACCATACGCCTGAAAGCGCTCCAAATGTCCTCATCCAGATACTACAAAAAGAGTGTTTCCAACCTGCTCTATGAAAGGGAATGCTCAACTCTGTGAATTGAATGCAGACATCACAAAGAAGTTTCTGAGAATGCTGCTGTCTCCTTTTTATATGTAATCCCGTTTCCAACGAAATCCTCAAAGCTAGCCAAATATCCACTTGCAGATTCCACGAAAACAGTGTTTCAAAACTGCTCCTTCAAAACGATGGTTCAATCCTGTTAGTTGAGCAAACATATCACAAATAAGTTTCTGAGAATGCTTCCGTCTAGTTTTTATGGGAAGATATTTCCTTTTTCAACATAGGCCTGAAAGCGCTCCAAATGTCCACTTCCAGATACTACAAAAAGAGTGTTTCAAATCTGCTCTATGAATGGGAATGTTCTACTCTGTGACTTGAATGCAACATCCCAAAGAAGTTTCTGAGAATGCTTCTGTCTAGAGTTTATCTGAAGACATACCCGTTTCCAACGAAATCCTCCAAGCTATCCAAATATCCTCTTGCAGATTCTACAAAAAGAGTGTTTCAAAGCTGCTCTTTGCAAAGAAAGGTTCAACTCTGTCAGTAGAGGGGACACATCAAGAACAAGTTTCTGAGAATGCTTCTGTCTAGTTTTTATGGGAAGATATTTCCTTTTTCACGTTAGGCCTGAAAGCACGCCAAATGTTCACTTATAGACACTACAAAAAGAGTGTTTCAAACCTGCTCTGTGAAAGGGAATGTTCAACACTGTGACTTCAATTGAAACATCCCAAAGAAGTTTCTGAGAATGCTTCTGTCTAGAGTTTATCTGAAGACATTCCCGTTTCCCAAGAAATCCTCAAAGCTATCCAAATATCCTCTTGCAGATTCTACAAAAAGAGTGTTTCAAAACTGGTCTTTGCAAAGAAAGGTTCAACTCTGTCAGTAGAGGGCACACATCACAAACAAGTTTCTGAGAATGCTTCTGTCTAGTTTTTATGGGAAGATATTTCCTTTTTCACCTTAGGCCTGAAAGCAATCCAAATGTTCACTTACAGACACTACAAAAAGAGTGTTTCAAACCTGCTCTGTGAAAGGGAGTGTTCAATTCTGTGACTTGAATGCAAACATCACAAAGTAGTTTCTGACAATGCTGCTGTCTGCTTTTTATACGTATTCCCGTTTCCAACGAAATCCTCCAAGCTGGCCTAATACCCACTTGCATATTCCACAAAAAGAGTGTTTCAAAACTGCTCTCTCAAAAGAAAGGTTCAACTCTGTTTGCTGAGTAGATACATCATGAAAAAAGTTCTGACATTGCTTCTATCTAGTTTTTATTGGAAGATATCTCCTTTTTCACCGTAGACCTGAAAGCGCTCCAAATGTCCACTTCCAGATAGTACAAAAAGAGTGTTTCAAACCTGCTCTATGAAAGGGAATGTTCAACACTGGGACTTCAATTGAAACATCCCAAAGCAGTTTCTGAGAATGCTTCTGTCCAGAGTTTACATGAAGACATTCCCGTTTCCCAAGAAATCCTCAAAGCTATCCAAATATCCTCTTGCAGATTCTACAAAAAGAGTGTTTCAAAACTGCTCTTTGCAAAGAAAGGTTCAACTCTGTCAGTAGAGGGCACACATCACAAACAAGTTTCTGAGAATGCTTCTGTCTAGTTTTTATGGGAAGATATTTCCTTTTTCACCTTAGGCCTGAAAGCAATCCAAATGTTCACTTACAGACACTACAAAAAGAGTGTTTCAAACCTGCTCTGTGAAAGGGAGTGTTCAATTCTGTGACTTGAATGCAAACATCACAAAGTAGTTTCTGACAATGCTGCTGTCTGCTTTTTATACGTATTCCCGTTTCCAACGAAATCCTCCAAGCTGGCCTAATACCCACTTGCATATTCCACAAAAAGAGTGTTTCAAAACTGCTCTCTCAAAAGAAAGGTTCAACTCTGTTTGCTGAGTAGATACATCATGAAAAAAGTTCTGACATTGCTTCTATCTAGTTTTTATTGGAAGATATCTCCTTTTTCACCGTAGACCTGAAAGCGCTCCAAATGTCCACTTCCAGATAGTACAAAAAGAGTGTTTCAAACCTGCTCTATGAAAGGGAATGTTCAACACTGGGACTTCAATTGAAACATCCCAAAGCAGTTTCTGAGAATGCTTCTGTCTAGAGTTTACATGAAGACATTCCCGTTTCCAACGAAATCCTCAAAGCTATGCAAATATCCTCTTGCAGATTTTACAAAAAGTGTGTTTCAGAACTGCTCTATCAAAACAAAGGTTCAACACTGTCAGTTGAGGGCACACATCACAAATAAGTTTCTGAGAATGCTTCTGTCTAGTTTTCATGGGAAGATATTTCCTTTTTCACCATAGGCCTGAAAGCGATCCAAATGTCCACATCCAGATACTACAAAAAGAGTGTTTCAAACCTGCTCTATGAAAGGGAATGTTCAACTCTGTGACTTGAATGCAAACATCACAAAGAAGTTTCTGAGAATGCTGCTGTCTGCTTTTTGTATGTAATCCCGTTTCCAACGAAATCCTCCCAGCTAGCCAAATATCCACTTGCAGATTCCGCAAAAAGAGTGTTTCAAAACTGCTCCTTCAAAACGATGGTTTAGTTCTGTTAGTTGAGTACATACATCACAAATCAGTTTCTGAGAATGCTTCTGTATAGTTTTTATGGGAGGATATTTCCTTTTTCAACACAAGCCTGAATGCGCTCCGAATGGACACTTCCAGATATGACAAAAGGCGTGTTTCAAACCTGCTCTCTCAAAGGGAATGTTCAACTCTGTGACTTCAATGCAAACATCACAAAGAAGTTTCTGAGAATGCTGCTGTCTGCTTTTTACATGTATTCCCGTTTCCAACGAAATCCTCAAAGCTGGCCTAATATCCACTTGCATATTCCACAAAAAGAGTGTTGCAAAACTGCTCTCTCAAAAGAAAGGTTCAACTCTGTTAGCTGAGTAGATCCATCACATAAAAGTTTCTGACATTGCTTCTATCTAGATTTTCTTGGAAGATATTTCCATTTTCACCGTCGTCCTGAAAGCGCTCCAAATGTCCACTTCCAGGGAATGCAGAAAGAGTGTTTCCAACCTGCTCTATAAAAGGGAATGTTCAACACTGGGACTTCAATCGAAACATCCCAACGAAGTTTCTGAGAATGCTTCTGTCTAGAGTTTATATGAAGCCATTCCCGTTTGCAACGAAATCCTCAAAGCTATCCAAATATCCTCTTGCAGATTTTACAAAAAGAGTGTTTCAAAACTGCTCTATCAAAAGAAAGGTTCAACTCTGTTAGTTGAGGGCACACATCACAAATAAATTTCTGAGAATGCTTCTGTCTAGTTTTTACGGGAAGATATTTCCTTTTTCACCATAGGCCTGAAAGCGCTCCAAATGTCCTCATCCAGATACTACAAAAAGAGTGTTTCCAACCTGCTCTATGAAAGGGAATGCTCAACTCTGTGACTTGAATGCAGACATCACAAAGAAGTTTCTGAGAATGCTGCTGTCTCCTTTTTATATGTAATCCCGTTTCCAACGAAATCCTCAAAGCTAGCCAAATATCCACTTGCAGATTCCACGAAAACAGTGTTTCAAAACTGCTCCTTTAAAACGATGGTTCAATTCTGTTAGTTGAGCAAACACATCACAAGTAAGTTTCTGAGAATGCTTCCGTCTAGTTTTTATGGGAAGATATTTCCTTTTTCAACATAGGCCTGAAAGCGCTCCAAATGTCCACTTCCAGATACTACAAAAAGAGTGTTTCAAATCTGCTCTATGAATGGGAATGTTCTACTCTGTGACTTGAATGCAACATCCCAAAGAAGTTTCTGAGAATGCTTCTGTCTAGAGTTTATCTGAAGACATACCCGTTTCCAACGAAATCCTCAAAGCTATCCAAATATCCTCTGGCAGATTCTACAAAAAGAATGTTTCAAAGCTGCTCTTTGCAAAGAAAGGTTCAAGTCTGTCAGTAGAGGGCACACATCACGAACAAGTTTCTGAGAATGCTTCTGTCTAGTTTTTATGGGAAGATATTTCCTTTTTCACGTTAGGCCTGAAAGCACGCCAAATGTTCAATTATAGACACTACAAAAAGAGTGTTTCAAACCTGCTCTGTGAAAGGGAATGTTCAACACTGTGACTTCAATTGAAACATCCCAAAGAAGTTTGCTGAGAATGCTTCTGTCTAGAGTTTATCTGAAGACATTCCCGTTTCCCAAGAAATCCTCAAAGCTATCCAAATATCCTCTTGCAGATTCTACAAAAAGAGTGTTTCAAAACTGCTCTTTGCAAAGAAAGGTTCAACTCTGTCAGTAGAGGGCACATATCACAAACAAGTTTCTGAGAATGCTTCTGTCTAGTTTTTATGGGAAGATATTTCCTTTTTCACCTTAGGCCTGAAAGCAATCCAAATGTTCACTTACAGACACTACAAAAAGAGTGTTTCAAACCTGCTCTGTGAAAGGGAGTGTTCAATTCTGTGACTTGAATGCAAACATCACAAAGTAGTTTCTGACAATGCTGCTGTCTGCTTTTTATACGTATTACCGTTTCCAACGAAATCCTCCAAGCTGGCCTAATACCCACTTGCATATTCCACAAAAATAGTGTTTCAAAACTGCTCCCTCAAAAGAAAGGTTCAACTCTGTTTGCTGAGTAGATACATCATGAAAAAAGTTCTGACATTGCTTCTTTATCTATCTAGTTTTTATTGGAAGATATCTCCTTTTTCACCGTAGACCTGAAAGCGCTCCAAATGTCCACTTCCAGATAGTACAAAAAGAGTGTTTCAAACCTGCTCTATGAAAGGGAATGTTCAACACTGGGACTTCAATTGAAACATCCCAAAGCAGTTTCTGAGAATGCTTCTGTCTAGAGTTTACATGAAGACATTCCCCGTTTCCAACGAAATCCTCAAAGCTATCCAAATATCCTCTTGCAGATTTTACAAAAAGTGTGTTTCAGAACTGCTCTATCAAAACAAAGGTTCAACACTGTCAGTTGAGGGCACACATCACAAATAAGTTTCTGAGAATGCTTCTGTCTAGTTTTCATGGGAAGATATTTCCTTTTTCACCATAGGCCTGAAAGCGATCCAAATGTCCACATCCAGATACTACAAAAAGAGTGTTTCAAACCTGCTCTATGAAAGGGAATGTTCAACTCTGTGACTTGAATGCAAACATCACAAAGAAGTTTCTGAGAATGCTGCTGTCTGCTTTTTGTATGTAATCCCGTTTCCAACGAAATCCTCCCAGCTAGCCAAATATCCACTTGCAGATTCCGCAAAAAGAGTGTTTCAAAACTGCTCCTTCAAAACGATGGTTTAGTTCTGTTAGTTGAGTACATACATCACAGATAAGTTTCTGAGAATGCTTCTGTCTAGTTTTTATGGGAGGATATTTCCTTTTTCAACACAAGCCTGAATGCGCTCCGAATGGACACTTCCAGATATGACAAAAGGCGTGTTTCAAACCTGCTCTCTCAAAGGGAATGTTCAACTCTGTGACTTCAATGCAAACATCACAAAGAAGTTTCTGAGAATGCTGCTGTCTGCTTTTTACATGTATTCCCGTTTCCAACGAAATCCTCAAAGCTGCCCTAATATCCACTTGCATATTCCACAAAAAGAGTGTTGCAAAACTGCTCTCTCAAAAGAAAGGTTCAACTCTGTTAGCTGAGTAGATCCATCACATAAAAGTTTCTGACATTGCTTCTATCTAGATTTTATTGGAAGATATTTCCATTTTCACCGTCGTCCTGAAAGCGCTCCAAATGTCCACTTCCAGGGAATGCAGAAAGAGTGTTTCCAACCTGCTCTATAAAAGGGAATGTTCAACACTGGGACTTCAATCGAAACATCCCAACGAAGTTTCTGAGAATGCTTCTGTCTAGAGTTTATATGAAGCCATTCCCGTTTGCAACGAAATCCTCAAAGCTATCCAAATATCCTCTTGCAGATTTTACAAAAAGAGTGTTTCAAAACTGCTCTATCAAAAGAAAGGTTCAACTCTGTTAGTTGAGGGCACACATCACAAATAAATTTCTGAGAATGCTTCTGTCTAGTTTTTACGGGAAGATATTTCCTTTTTCACCATACGCCTGAAAGCGCTCCAAATGTCCTCATCCAGATACTACAAAAAGAGTGTTTCCAACCTGCTCTATGAAAGGGAATGCTCAACTCTGTGACTTGAATGCAGACATCACAAAGAAGTTTCTGAGAATGCTGCTGTCTCCTTTTTATATGTAATCCCGTTTCCAACGAAATCCTCAAAGCTAGCCAAATATCCACTTGCAGATTCCACGAAAACAGTGTTTCAAAACTGCTCCTTCAAAACGATGGTTCAATTCTGTTAGTTGAGCAAACACATCACAAGTAAGTTTCTGAGAATGCTTCCGTCTAGTTTTTATGGGAAGATATTTCCTTTTTCAACATAGGCCTGAAAGCGCTCCAAATGTCCACTTCCAGATACTACAAAAAGAGTGTTTCAAATCTGCTCTATGAATGGGAATGTTCTACTCTGTGACTTGAATGCAACATCCCAAAGAAGTTTCTGAGAATGCTTCTGTCTAGAGTTTATCTGAAGACATACCCGTTTCCAACGAAATCCTCCAAGCTATCCAAATATCCTCTTGCAGATTCTACAAAAAGAGTGTTTCAAAGCTGCTCTTTGCAAAGAAAGGTTCAACTCTGTCAGTAGAAGGGACACATCAAGAACAAGTTTCTGAGAATGCTTCTGTCTAGTTTTTATGGGAAGATATTTCCTTTTTCACGTTAGGCCTGAAAGCACGCCAAATGTTCACTTATAGACACTACAAAAAGAGTGTTTCAAACCTGCTCTGTGAAAGGGAATGTTCAACACTGTGACTTCAATTGAAACATCCCAAAGAAGTTTCTGAGAATGCTTCTGTCTAGAGTTTATCTGAAGACATTCCCGTTTCCCAAGAAATCCTCAAAGCTATCCAAATATCCTCTTGCAGATTCTACAAAAAGAGTGTTTGAAAACTGCTCTTTGCAAAGAAAGGTTCAACTCTGTCAGTAGAGGGCACACATCACAAACAAGTTTCTGAGAATGCTTCTGTCTAGTTTTTATGGGAAGATATTTCCTTTTTCACCTTAGGCCTGAAAGCAATCCAAATGTTCACTTACAGACACTACAAAAAGAGTGTTTCAAACCTGCTCTGTGAAAGGGAGTGTTCAATTCTGTGACTTGAATGCAAACATCACAAAGTAGTTTCTGACAATGCTGCTGTCTGCTTTTTATACGTATTACCGTTTCCAACGAAATCCTCCAAGCTGGCCTAATACCCACTTGCATATTCCACAAAAATAGTGTTTCAAAACTGCTCCCTCAAAAGAAAGGTTCAACTCCGTTTGCTGAGTAGATACATCATGAAAAAAGTTCTGACATTGCTTCTATCTAGTTTTTATTGGAAGATATCTCCTTTTTCACCGTAGACCTGAAAGCGCTCCAAATGTCCACTTCCAGATAGTACAAAAAGAGTGTTTCAAACCTGCTCTATGAATGGGAATGTTCAACACTGGGACTTCAATTGAAACATCCCAAAGCAGTTTCTGAGAATGCTTCTGTCTAGAGTTTACATGAAGACATTCCCGTTTCCAACGAAATCCTCAAAGCTATCCAAATATCCTCTTGCAGATTTTACAAAAAGTGTGTTTCAGAACTGCTCTATCAAAACAAAGGTTCAACACTGTCAGTTGAGGGCACACATCACAAATAAGTTTCTGAGAATGCTTCTGTCTAGTTTTCATGGGAAGATATTTCCTTTTTCACCATAGGCCTGAAAGCGATCCAAATGTCCACATCCAGATACTACAAAAAGAGTGTTTCAAACCTGCTCTATGAAAGGGAATGTTCAACTCTGTGACTTGAATGCAAACATCACAAAGAAGTTTCTGAGAATGCTGCTGTCTGCTTTTTGTATGTAATCCCGTTTCCAACGAAATCCTCCCAGCTAGCCAAATATCCACTTGCAGATTCCGCAAAAAGAGTGTTTCAAAACTGCTCCTTCAAAACGATGGTTTAGTTCTGTTACTTGAGTACATACATCACAAATAAGTTTCTGAGAATGCTTCTGTCTAGTTTTTATGGGAGGATATTTCCTTTTTCAACACAAGCCTGAATGCGCTCCGAATGGACACTTCCAGATATGACAAAAGGCGTGTTTCAAACCTGCTCTCTCAAAGGGAATGTTCAACTCTGTGACTTCAATGCAAACATCACAAAGAAGTTTCTGAGAATGCTGCTGTCTGCTTTTTACATGTATTCCCGTTTCCAACGAAATCCTCAAAGCTGCCCTAATATCCACTTGCATATTCCACAAAAAGAGTGTTGCAAAACTGCTCTCTCAAAAGAAAGGTTCAACTCTGTTAGCTGAGTAGATCCATCACATAAAAGTTTCTGACGTTGCTTCTATCTAGATTTTATTGGAAGATATTTCCATTTTCACCGTCGTCCTGAAAGCGCTCCAAATGTCCACTTCCAGGGAATGCAGAAAGAGTGTTTCCAACCTGCTCTATAAAAGGGAATGTTCAACACTGGGACTTCAATCGAAACATCCCAACGAAGTTTCTGAGAATGCTTCTGTCTAGAGTTTATATGAAGCCATTCCCGTTTGCAATGAAATCCTCAAAGCTATCCAAATATCCTCTTGCAGATTTTACAAAAAGAGTGTTTCAAAACTGCTCTATCAAAAGAAAGGTTCAACTCTGTTAGTTGAGGGCACACATCACAAATAAATTTCTGAGAATGCTTCTGTCTAGTTTTCATGGGAAGATATTTCCTTTTTCACCATAGGCCTGAAAGCGATCCAAATGTCCACATCCAGATACTACAAAAAGAGTGTTTCCAACCTGCTCTATCAAAGGGAATGCTCAACTCTGTGAATTGAATGCAAACATCACAAAGAAGTTTCTGAGAATGCTGCTGTCTCCTTTTTATATGTAATCCCGTTTCCAACGAAATCCTCAAAGCTAGCCAAATATCCACTTGCAGATTCCACGAAAACAGTGTTTCAAAACTGCTCCTTCAAAACGATGGTTCAATCCTGTTAGTTGAGCAAACACATCACAAATAAGTTTCTGAGAATGCTTCCGTGTAGTTTTTATGGGAAGATATTTCCTTTTTCAACATAGGCCTGAAAGCGCTCCAAATGTCCACTTCCAGATACTACAAAAAGAGTGTTTCAAATCTGCTCTATGAATGGGAATGTTCTACTCTGTGACTTGAATGCAACATCCCAAAGAAGTTTCTGAGAATGCTTCTGTCTAGAGTTTATCTGAAGACATACCCGTTTCCAACGAAATCCTCCAAGCTATCCAAATATCCTCTTGCAGATTCTACAAAAAGAGTGTTTCAAAGCTGCTCTTTGCAAAGAAAGGTTCAACTCTGTCAGTAGAGGGGACACATCAAGAACAAGTTTCTGAGAATGCTTCTGTCTAGTTTTTATGGGAAGATATTTCCTTTTTCACGTTACGCCTGAAAGCACGCCAAATGTTCACTTATAGACACTACAAAAAGAGTGTTTCAAACCTGCTCTGTGAAAGGGAATGTTCAACACTGTGACTTCAATTGAAACATCCCAAAGAAGTTTACTGAGAATGCTTCTGTCTAGAGTTTATCTGAAGACATTCCCGTTTCCCAAGAAATCCTCAAAGCTATCCAAATATCCTCTTGCAGATTCTACAAAAAGAGTGTTTCAAAACTGCTCTTTGCAAAGAAAGGTTCAGCTCTGTCAGTAGAGGGCACACATCACAAACAAGTTTCTGAGAATGCTTCTGTCTAGTTTTTATGGGAAGATATTTCCTTTTTCACCTTAGGCCTGAAAGCAATCCAAATGTTCACTTACAGACACTACAAAAAGAGTGTTTCAAACCTGCTCTGTGAAAGGGAGTGTTCAATTCTGTGACTTGAATGCAAACATCACAAAGTAGTTTCTGACAATGCTGCTGTCTGCTTTTTATACGTATTCCCGTTTCCAACGAAATCCTCCAAGCTGACCTAATACCCAGTTGCATATTCCACAAAAAGAGTGTTTCAAAACTGCTCTCTCAAAAGAAAGGTTCAACTCTGTTTGCTGAGTAGATACATCATGGAAAAAGTTCTGACATTGCTTCTATCTAGTTTTTATTGGAAGATATCTCCTTTTTCACCGTAGACCTGAAAGCGCTCCAAATGTCCACTTCCAGATAGTACAAAAAGAGTGTTTCAAACCTGCTCTATGAATGGGAATGTTCAACACTGGGACTTCAATTGAAACATCCCAAAGCAGTTTCTGAGAATGCTTCTGTCTAGAGTTTACATGAAGACATTCCCGTTTCCAACGAAATCCTCAAAGCTATCCAAATATCCTCTTGCAGATTTTACAAAAAGTGTGTTTCAGAACTGCTCTATCAAAACAAAGGTTCAACACTGTCAGTTGAGGGCACACATCACAAATAAGTTTCTGAGAATGCTTCTGTCTAGTTTTCATGGGAAGATATTTCCTTTTTCACCATAGGCCTGAAAGCGATCCAAATGTCCACATCCAGATACTACAAAAAGAGTGTTTCAAACCTGCTTTATGAAAGGGAATGTTCAACTCTGTGACTTGAATGCAAACATCACAAAGAAGTTTCTGAGAATGCTGCTGTCTGCTTTTTGTATGTAATCCCGTTTCCAACGAAATCCTCCCAGCTAGCCAAATATCCACTTGCAGATTCCGCAAAAAGAGTGTTTCAAAACTGCTCCTTCAAAACGATGGTTTAGTTCTGTTAGTTGAGTACATACATCACAGATAAGTTTCTGAGAATGCTTTCTGTATACTTTTTATGGGAGGATATTTCCTTTTTCAACACAAGCCTGAATGCGCTCCGAATGGACACTTCCAGATATGACAAAAGGCGTGTTTCAAACCTGCTCTCTCAAAGGGAATGTTCAACTCTGTGACTTCAATGCAAACATCACAAAGAAGTTTCTGAGAATGCTGCTGTCTGCTTTTTACATGTATTCCCGTTTCCAACGAAATCCTCAAAGCTGCCCTAATATCCACTTGCATATTCCACAAAAAGAGTGTTGCAAAACTGCTCTCTCAAAAGAAAGGTTCAACTCTGTTAGCTGAGTAGATCCATCACATAAAAGTTTCTGACATTGCTTCTATCTAGATTTTCTTGGAAGATATTTCCATTTTCACCGTCGTCCTGAAAGCGCTCCAAATGTCCACTTCCAGGGAATGCAGAAAGAGTGTTTCCAACCTGCTCTATAAAAGGGAATGTTCAACACTGGGACTTCAATCGAAACATCCCAACGAAGTTTCTGAGAATGCTTCTGTCTAGAGTTTATATGAAGCCATTCCCGTTTGCAACGAAATCCTCAAAGCTATCCAAATATCCTCTTGCAGATTTTACAAAAAGAGTGTTTCAAAACTGCTCTATCAAAAGAAAGGTTCAACTCTGTTAGTTGAGGGCACACATCACAAATAAATTTCTGAGAATGCTTCTGTCTAGTTTTCATGGGAAGATATTTCCTTTTTCACCATAGGCCTGAAAGCGATCCAAATGTCCACATCCAGATACTACAAAAAGAGAGTTTCCAACCTGCTCTATGAAAGGGAATGCTCAACTCTGTGAATTGAATGCAGACATCACAAAGAAGTTTCTGAGAATGCTCTGTCTCCTTTTTATATGTAATCCCGTTTCCAACGAAATCCTCAAAGCTAGCCAAATATCCACTTGCAGATTCCACGAAAACAGTGTTTCAAAACTGCTCCTTCAAAACGATGGTTCAATCCTGTTAGTTGAGCAAACACATCACAAATAAGTTTCTGAGAATGCTTTCCGTCTAGTTTTGATGGGAAGATATTTCCTTTTTCAACATAGGCCTGAAAGCGCTCCAAATGTCCACTTCCAGATACTACAAAAAGAGTGTTTCAAATCTGCTCTATGAATGGGAATGTTCTACTCTGTGACTTGAATGCAACATCCCAAAGAAGTTTCTGAGAATGCTTCTGTCTAGAGTTTATCTGAAGACATACCCGTTTCCAACGAAATCCTCCAAGCTATCCAAATATCCTCTTGCAGATTCTACAAAAAGAGTGTTTCAAAGCTGCTCTTTGCAAAGAAAGGTTCAACTCTGTCAGTAGAGGGGACACATCAAGAACAAGTTTCTGAGAATGCTTCTGTCTAGTTTTTATGGGAAGATATTTCCTTTTTCACGTTACGCCTGAAAGCACGCCAAATGTTCACTCATAGACACTACAAAAAGAGTGTTTCAAACCTGCTCTGTGAAAGGGAATGTTCAACAATGACTTCAATTGAAACATCCCGAAGAAGTTTCTGAGAATGCTTCTGTCTAGAGTTTATCTGAAGACATACCCGTTTCCAACGAAATCCTCAAATCTATCCACATATCCTCTTGCAGATTCTACAAAAAGAGTGTTTCAAAGCTGCTCTTTGCAAAGAAAGGTTCAACTCTGTCAGTAGAGGGCACACATCACGAACAAGTTTCTGAGAATGCTTCTGTCTAGTTTTTATGGGAAGATATTTCCTTTTTCACGTTAGGCCTGAAAGCACGCCAAATGTTCAATTATAGACACTACAAAAAGAGTGTTTCAAACCTGCTCTGTGAAAGGGAATGTTCAACACTGTGACTTCAATTGAAACATCCCAAAGAAGTTTCTGAGAATGCTTCTGTCTAGAGTTTTTCTGAAGACATTCCCGTTTCCCAAGAAATCCTCAAAGCTATCCAAATATCCTCTTGCAGATTCTACAAAAAGAGTGTTTCAAAACTGCTCTTTGCAAAGAAAGGTTCAACTCTGTCAGTAGAGGGCACACATCACAAACAAGTTTCTGAGAATGCTTCTGTCTAGTTTTTATGGGAAGATATTTCCTTTTTCACCTTAGGCCTGAAAGCAATCCAAATGTTCACTTACAGACACTACAAAAAGAGTGTTTCAAACCTGCTCTGTGAAAGGGAGTGTTCAGTTCTGTGACTTGAATGCAAACATCACAAAGTAGTTTCTGACAATGCTGCTGTCTGCTTTTTATACGTATTACCCGTTTCCAACGAAATCCTCCAAGCTGGCCTAATACCCACTTGCATATTCCACAAAAGGAGTGTTTCAAAACTGCTCTCTCAAAAGAAAGGTTCAACTCTGTTTGCTGAGTAGATACATCATGAAAAAAGTTCTGACATTGCTTCTATCTAGTTTTTATTGGAAGATATCTCCTTTTTCACCGTAGACCTGAAAGCGCTCCAAATGTCCACTTCCAGATAGTACAAAAAGAGGGTTTCAAACCTGCTCTATGAAAGGGAATGTTCAACACTGGGACTTCAATTGAAACATCCCAAAGCAGTTTCTGAGAATGCTTCTGTCTAGAGTTTACATGAAGACATTCCCGTTTCCAACGAAATCCTCAAAGCTATCCAAATATCCTCTTGCAGATTTTACAAAAAGTGTGTTTCAGAACTGCTCTATCAAAACAAAGGTTCAACACTGTCAGTTGAGGGCACACATCACAAATAAGTTTCTGAGAATGCTGCTGTCTGCTTTTTGTATGTAATCCCGTTTCCAACGAAATCCTCCCAGCTAGCCAAATATCCACTTGCAGATTCCGCAAAAAGAGTGTTTCAAAACTGCTCCTTCAAAACGATGCTTTAGTTCTGTTAGTTGAGTACATACATCACAGATAAGTTTCTGAGAATGCTTCTGTCTAGTTTTTCTGGGAGGATATTTCCTTTTTCAACACAAGCCTGAATGCGCTCCGAATGGACACTTCCAGATATGACGAAAGGCGTGTTTCAAACCTGCTCTCTCAAAGGGAATGTTCAACTCTGTGACTTCAATGCAAACATCACAAAGAAGTTTCTGAGAATGCTGCTGTCTGCTTTTTACATGTATTCCCGTTTCCAACGAAATCCTCAAAGCTGCCTTAATATCCACTTGCATATTCCACAAAAAGAGTGTTGCAAAACTGCTCTCTCAAAAGAAAGGTTCAACTCTGTTAGCTGAGTAGATCCATCACAGAAAAGTTTCTGACGTTGCTTCTATCTAGATTTTCTTGGAAGATATTTCCATTTTCACCGTCGTCCTGAAAGCGCTCCAAATGTCCACTTCCAGGGAATGCAGAAAGAGTGTTTCCAACCTGCTCTATAAAAGGGAATGTTCAACACTGGGACTTCAATCGAAACATCCCAACGAAGTTTCTGAGAATGCTTCTGTCTAGAGTTTATATGAAGCCATTCCCGTTTGCAACGAAATCCTCAAAGCTATCCAAATATCCTCTTGCAGATTTTACAAAAAGAGTGTTTCAAAACTGCTCTATCAAAAGAAAGGTTCAACTCTGTTAGTTGAGGGCACACATCACAAATAAATTTCTGAGAATGCTTCTGTCTAGTTTTTACGGGAAGATATTTCCTTTTTCACCATACGCCTGAAAGCGCTCCAAATGTCCTCATCCAGATACTACAAAAAGAGTGTTTCCAACCTGCTCTATGAAAGGGAATGCTCAACTCTGTGACTTGAATGCAGACATCACAAAGAAGTTTCTGAGAATGCTGCTGTCTCCTTTTTATATGTAATCCCGTTTCCAACGAAATCCTCAAAGCTAGCCAAATATCCACTTGCAGATTCCACGAAAACAGTGTTTCAAAACTGCTCCTTCAAAACGATGGTTCAATTCTGTTAGTTGAGCAAACACATCACAAGTAAGTTTCTGAGAATGCTTCCGTCTAGTTTTTATGGGAAGATATTTCCTTTTTCAACATAGGCCTGAAAGCGCTCCAAATGTCCACTTCCAGATACTACAAAAAGAGTGTTTCAAATCTGCTCTATGAATGGGAATGTTCTACTCTGTGACTTGAATGCAACATCCCAAAGAAGTTTCTGAGAATGCTTCTGTCTAGAGTTTATCTGAAGACATACCCGTTTCCAACGAAATCCTCAAAGCTATCCAAATATCCTCTGGCAGATTCTACAAAAAGAGTGTTTCAAAGCTGCTCTTTGCAAAGAAAGGTTCAACTCTGTCAGTAGAGGGCACACATCACGAACAAGTTTCTGAGAATGCTTCTGTCTAGTTTTTATGGGAAGATATTTCCTTTTTCACGTTAGGCCTGAAAGCACGCCAAATGTTCACTTATAGACACTACAAAAAGAGTGTTTCAAACCTGCTCTGTGAAAGGGAATGTTCAACACTGTGACTTCAATTGAAACATCCCAAAGAAGTTTCTGAGAATGCTTCTGTCTAGAGTTTATCTGAAGACATTCCCGTTTCCCAAGAAATCCTCAAAGCTATCCAAATATCCTCTTGCAGATTCTACAAAAAGAGTGTTTCAAAACTGCTCTTTGCAAAGAAAGGTTCAACTCTGTCAGTAGAGGGCACACATCACAAACAAGTTTCTGAGAATGCTTCTGTCTAGTTTTTATGGGAAGATATTTCCTTTTTCACCTTAGGCCTGAAAGCAATCCATATGTTCACTTACAGACACTACAAAAAGAGTGTTTCAAACCTGCTCTGTGAAAGGGAGTGTTCAATTCTGTGACTTGAATGCAAACATCACAAAGTAGTTTCTGACAATGCTGCTGTCTGCTTTTTATACGTATTCCCGTTTCCAACGAAATCCTCCAAGCTGGCCTAATACCCACTTGCATATTCCACAAAAAGAGTGTTTCAAAACTGCTCTCTCAAAAGAAAGGTTCAACTCTGTTTGCTGAGTAGATACATCATGAAAAAAGTTCTGACATTGCTTCTATCTAGTTTTTATTGGAAGATATCTCCTTTTTCACCGTAGACCTGAAAGCGCTCCAAATGTCCACTTCCAGATAGTACAAAAAGAGTGTTTCAAACCTGCTCTATGAAAGGGAATGTTCAACACTGGGACTTCAATTGAAACATCCCAAAGCAGTTTCTGAGAATGCTTCTGTGTAGAGTTTACATGAAGACATTCCCGTTTCCAACGAAATCCTCAAAGCTATCCAAATATCCTCTTGCAGATTTTACAAAAAGTGTGTTTCAGAACTGCTCTATCAAAACAAAGGTTCAACACTGTCAGTTGAGGGCACACATCACAAATAAGTTTCTGAGAATGCTTCTGTCTAGTTTTCATGGGAAGATATTTCCTTTTTCACCATAGGCCTGAAAGCGATCCAAATGTCCACATCCAGATACTACAAAAAGAGTGTTTCAAACCTGCTCTATGAAAGGGAATGTTCAACTCTGTGACTTGAATGCAAACATCACAAAGAAGTTTCTGAGAATGCTGCTGTCTGCTTTTTGTATGTAATCCCGTTTCCAACGAAATCCTCCCAGCTAGCCAAATATCCACTTGCAGATTCCGCAAAAAGAGTGTTTCAAAACTGCTCCTTCAAAACGATGGTTTAGTTCTGTTAGTTGAGTACATACATCACAGATAAGTTTCTGAGAATGCTTCTGTCTAGTTTTTATGGGAGGATATTTCCTTTTTCAACACAAGCCTGAATGCGCTCCGAATGGACACTTCCAGATATGACAAAAGGCGTGTTTCAAACCTGCTCTCTCAAAGGGAATGTTCAACTCTGTGACTTCAATGCAAACATCACAAAGAAGTTTCTGAGAATGCTGCTGTCTGCTTTTTACATGTATTCCCGTTTCCAACGAAATCCTCAAAGCTGCCCTAATATCCACTTGCATATTCCACAAAAAGAGTGTTGCAAAACTGCTCTCTCAAAAGAAAGGTTCAACTCTGTTAGCTGAGTAGATCCATCACATAAAAGTTTCTGACGTTGCTTCTATCTAGATTTTATTGGAAGATATTTCCATTTTCACCGTCGTCCTGAAAGCGCTCCAAATGTCCACTTCCAGGGAATGGAGAAAGAGTGTTTCCAACCTGCTCTATAAAAGGGAATGTTCAACACTGGGACTTCAATCGAAACATCCCAACGAAGTTTCTGAGAATGCTTCTGTCTAGAGTTTATATGAAGCCATTCCCGTTTGCAATGAAATCCTCAAAGCTATCCAAATATCCTCTTGCAGATATTACAAAAAGAGTGTTTCAAAACTGCTCTATCAAAAGAAAGGTTCAACTCTGTTAGTTGAGGGCACACATCACAAATAAATTTCTGAGAATGCTTCTGTCTAGTTTTTACGGGAAGATATTTCCTTTTTCACCATACGCCTGAAAGCGCTCCAAATGTCCTCATCCAGATACTACAAAAAGAGTGTTTCCAACCTGCTCTATGAAAGGGAATGCTCAACTCTGTGAATTGAATGCAGACATCACAAAGAAGTTTCTGAGAATGCTGCTGTCTCCTTTGTATATGTAATCCCGTTTCCAACGAAATCCTCAAAGCTAGCCAAATATCCACTTGCAGATTCCACGAAAACAGTGTTTCAAAACTGCTCCTTCAAAACGATGGTTCAATCCTGTTAGTTGAGCAAACACATCACAAATAAGTTTCTGAGAATGCTTCCGTCTAGTTTTTATGGGAAGATATTTCCTTTTTCAACATAGGCCTGAAAGCGCTCCAAATGTCCACTTCCAGATACTACAAAAAGAGTGTTTCAAATCTGCTCTATGAATGGGAATGTTCTACTCTGTGACTTGAATGCAACATCCCAAAGAAGTTTCTGAGAATGCTTCTGTCTAGAGTTTATCTGAAGACATACCCGTTTCCAACGAAATCCTCCAAGCTATCCAAATATCCTCTTGCAGATTCTACAAAAAGAGTGTTTCAAAGCTGCTCTTTGCAAAGAAAGGTTCAACTCTGTCAGTAGAGGGGACACATCAAGAACAAGTTTCTGAGAATGCTTCTGTCTGGTTTTTATGGGAAGATATTTCCTTTTTCACGTTACGCCTGAAAGCACGCCAAATGTTCACTTATAGACACTACAAAAAGAGTGTTTCAAACCTGCTCTGTGAAAGGGAATGTTCAACACTGTGACTTCAATTGAAACATCCCAAAGAAGTTTCTGAGAATGCTTCTGTCTAGAGTTTATCTGAAGACATTCCCGTTTCCCAAGAAATCCTCAAAGCTATCCAAATATCCTCTTGCAGATTCTACAAAAAGAGTGTTTCAAAACTGCTCTTTGCAAAGAAAGGTTCAACTCTGTCAGTAGAGGGCACACATCAAGAACAAGTTTCTGAGAATGCTTCTGTCTAGTTTTTATGGGAAGATATTTCCTTTTTCACCTTAGGCCTGAAAGCAATCCAAATGTTCACTTACAGACACTACAAAAAGAGTGTTTCAAACCTGCTCTGTGAAAGGGAGTGTTCAATTCTGTGACTTGAATGCAAACATCACAAAGTAGTTTCTGACAATGCTGCTGTCTGCTTTTTATACGTATTCCCGTTTCCAACGAAATCCTCCAAGCTGGCCTAATACCCACTTGCATATTCCACAAAAATAGTGTTTCAAAACTGCTCCCTCAAAAGAAAGGTTCAACTCTGTTTGCTGAGTAGATACATCATGAAAAAAGTTCTGACATTGCTTCTATCTAGTTTTTATTGGAAGATATCTCCTTTTTCACCGTAGACCTGAAAGCGCTCCAAATGTCCACTTCCAGATAGTACAAAAAGAGTGTTTCAAACCTGCTCTATGAATGGGAATGTTCAACACTGGGACTTCAATTGAAACATCCCAAAGCAGTTTCTGAGAATGCTTCTGTCTAGAGTTTACATGAAGACATTCCCGTTTCCAACGAAATCCTCAAAGCTATCCAAATATCCTCTTGCAGATTTTACAAAAAGTGTGTTTCAGAACTGCTCTATCAAAACAAAGGTTCAACACTGTCAGTTGAGGGCACACATCACAAATAAGTTTCTGAGAATGCTTCTGTCTAGTTTTCATGGGAAGATATTTCCTTTTTCACCATAGGCCTGAAAGCGATCCAAATGTCCACATCCAGATACTACAAAAAGAGTGTTTCAAACCTGCTCTATGAAAGGGAATGTTCAACTCTGTGACTTGAATGCAAACATCACAAAGAAGTTTCTGAGAATGCTGCTGTCTGCTTTTTGTATGTAATCCCGTTTCCAACGAAATCCTCCCAGCTAGCCAAATATCCACTTGCAGATTCCGCAAAAAGAGTGTTTCAAAACTGCTCCTTCAAAACGATGGTTTAGTTCTGCTAGTTGAGTACATACATCACAGATAAGTTTCTGAGAATGCTTCTGTATAGTTTTTCTGGGAGGATATTTCCTTTTTCAACACAAGCCTGAATGCGCTCCGAATGGACACTTCCAGATATGACAAAAGGCGTGTTTCAAACCTGCTCTCTCAAAGGGAATGTTCAACTCTGTGACTTCAATGCAAACATCACAAAGAAGTTTCTGAGAATGCTGCTGTCTGCTTTTTACATGTATTCCCGTTTCCAACGAAATCCTCAAAGCTGCCCTAATATCCACTTGCATATTCCACAAAAAGAGTGTTGCAAAACTGCTCTCTCAAAAGAAAGGTTCAACTCTGTTAGCTGAGTAGATCCATCACAGAAAAGTTTCTGACGTTGCTTCTATCTAGATTTTCTTGGAAGATATTTCCATTTTCACCGTCGTCCTGAAAGCGCTCCAAATGTCCACTTCCAGGGAATGCAGAAAGAGTGTTTCCAACCTGCTCTATAAAAGGGAATGTTCAACACTGGGACTTCAATCGAAACATCCCAACGAAGTTTCTGAGAATGCTTCTGTCTAGAGTTTATATGAAGCCATTCCCGTTTGCAACGAAATCCTCAAAGCTATCCAAATATCCTCTTGCAGATTTTACAAAAAGAGTGTTTCAAAACTGCTCTATCAAAAGAAAGGTTCAACTCTGTTAGTTGAGGGCACACATCACAAATAAACTACTGAGAATGCTTCTGTCTAGTTTTTACGGGAAGATATTTCCTTTTTCACCATAGGCCTGAAAGCGCTCCAAATGTCCTCATCCAGATACTACAAAAAGAGTGTTTCCAACCTGCTCTATGAAAGGGAATGCTCAACTCTGTGAATTGAATGCAGACATCACAAAGAAGTTTCTGAGAATGCTGCTGTCTCCTTTGTATATGTAATCCCGTTTCCAACGAAATCCTCAAAGCTAGCCAAATATCCACTTGCAGATTCCACGAAAACAGTGTTTCAAAACTGCTCCTTCAAAACGATGGTTCAATCCTGTTAGTTGAGCAAACACATCACAATTAAGTTTCTGAGAATGCTTCCGTCTAGTTTTTATGGGAAGATATTTCCTTTTTCAACATAGGCCTGAAAGCGCTCCAAATGTCCACTTCCAGATACTACAAAAAGAGTGTTTCAAATCTGCTCTATGAATGGGAATGTTCTACTCTGTGACTTGAATGCAACATCCCAAAGAAGTTTCTGAGAATGCTTCTGTCTAGAGTTTATCTGAAGACATACCCGTTTCCAACGAAATCCTCCAAGCTATCCAAATATCCTCTTGCAGATTCTACAAAAAGTGTGTTTCAAAGCTGCTCTTTGCAAAGAAAGGTTCAACTCTGTCAGTAGAGGGCACACATCACGAACAAGTTTCTGAGAATGCTTCTGTCTAGTTTTTATGGGAAGATATTTCCTTTTTCACGTTAGGCCTGAAAGCACGCCAAATGTTCACTTATAGACACTACAAAAAGAGTGTTTCAAACCTGCTCTGTGAAAGGGAATGTTCAACACTGTGACTTCAATTGAAACATCCCAAAGAAGTTTCTGAGAATGCTTCTGTCTAGAGTTTATCTGAAGACATTCCCGTTTCCCAAGAAATCCTCAAAGCTATCCAAATATCCTCTTGCAGATTCTACAAAAAGAGTGTTTCAAAACTGCTCTTTGCAAAGAAAGGTTCAACTCTGTCAGTAGAGGGCACACATCACAAACAAGTTTCTGAGAATGCTTCTGTCTAGTTTTTATGGGAAGATATTTCCTTTTTCACCTTAGGCCTGAAAGCAATCCAAATGTTCACTTACAGACACTACAAAAAGAGTGTTTCAAACCTGCTCTGTGAAAGGGAGTGTTCAATTCTGTGACTTGAATGCAAACATCACAAAGTAGTTTCTGACAATGCTGCTGTCTGCTTTTTATACGTATTCCCGTTTCCAACGAAATCCTCCAAGCTGGCCTAATACCCACTTGCATATTCCACAAAAAGAGTGTTTCAAAACTGCTCTCTCAAAAGAAAGGTTCAACTCTGTTTGCTGAGTAGATACATCATGAAAAAAGTTCTGACATTGCTTCTATCTAGTTTTTATTGGAAGATATCTCCTTTTTCACCGTAGACCTGAAAGCGCTCCAAATGTCCACTTCCAGATAGTACAAAAAGAGTGTTTCAAACCTGCTCTATGAAAGGGAATGTTCAACACTGGGACTTCAATTGAAACATCCCAAAGCAGTTTCTGAGAATGCTTCTGTCTAGAGTTTACATGAAGACATTCCCGTTTCCAACGAAATCCTCAAAGCTATCCAAATATCCTCTTGCAGATTTTACAAAAAGTGTGTTTCAGAACTGCTCTATCAAAACAAAGGTTCAACACTGTCAGTTGAGGGCACACATCACAAATAAGTTTCTGAGAATGCTTCTGTCTAGTTTTCATGGGAAGATATTTCCTTTTTCACCATAGGCCTGAAAGCGATCCAAATGTCCACATCCAGATACTACAAAAAGAGTGTTTCAAACCTGCTCTATGAAAGGGAATGTTCAACTCTGTGACTTGAATGCAAACATCACAAAGAAGTTTCTGAGAATGCTGCTGTCTGCTTTTTGTATGTAATCCCGTTTCCAACGAAATCCTCCCAGCTAGCCAAATATCCACTTGCAGATTCCGCAAAAAGAGTGTTTCAAAACTGCTCCTTCAAAACGATGGTTTAGTTCTGTTAGTTGAGTACATACATCACAGATAAGTTTCTGAGAATGCTTCTGTCTAGTTTTTATGGGAGGATATTTCCTTTTTCAACACAAGCCTGAATGCGCTCCGAATGGACACTTCCAGATATGACAAAAGGCGTGTTTCAAACCTGCTCTCTCAAAGGGAATGTTCAACTCTGTGACTTCAATGCAAACATCACAAAGAAGTTTCTGAGAATGCTGCTGTCTGCTTTTTACATGTATTCCCGTTTCCAACGAAATCCTCAAAGCTGCCCTAATATCCACTTGCATATTCCACAAAAAGAGTGTTGCAAAACTGCTCTCTCAAAAGAAAGGTTCAACTCTGTTTGCTGAGTAGATCCATCACATAAAAGTTTCTGACGTTGCTTCTATCTAGATTTTCTTGGAAGATATTTCCATTTTCACCGTCGTCCTGAAAGCGCTCCAAATGTCCACTTCCAGGGAATGCAGAAAGAGTGTTTCCAACCTGCTCTATAAAAGGGAATGTTCAACACTGGGACTTCAATCGAAACATCCCAACGAAGTTTCTGAGAATGCTTCTGTCTAGAGTTTATATGAAGCCATTCCCGTTTGCAACGAAATCCTCAAAGCTATCCAAATATCCTCTTGCAGATTTTACAAAAAGAGTGTTTCAAAACTGCTCTATCAAAAGAAAGGTTCAACTCTGTTAGTTGAGGGCACACATCACAAATAAACTTCTGAGAATGCTTCTGTCTAGTTTTTACGGGAAGATATTTCCTTTTTCACCATACGCCTGAAAGCGCTCCAAATGTCCTCATCCAGATACTACAAAAAGAGTGTTTCCAACCTGCTCTAAGAAAGGGAATGCTCAACTCTGTGAATTGAATGCAGACATCACAAAGAAGTTTCTGAGAATGCTGCTGTCTCCTTTGTATATGTAATCCCGTTTGCCAACGAAATCCTCAAAGCTAGCCAAATAACCACTTGCAGATTCCACGAAAACAGTGTTTCAAAACTGCTCCTTCAAAACGATGGTTCAATCCTGTTAGTTGAGCAAACACATCACAAATAAGTTTCTGAGAATGCTTCCGTCTAGTTTTTATGGGAAGATATTTCCTTTTTCAACATAGGCCTGAAAGCGCTCCAAATGTCCACTTCCAGATACTACAAAAAGAGTGTTTCAAATCTGCTCTATGAATGGGAATGTTCTACTCTGTGACTTGAATGCAACATCCCAAAGAAGTTTCTGAGAATGCTTCTGTCTAGAGTTTATCTGAAGACATACCCGTTTCCAACGAAATCCTCCAAGCTATCCAAATATCCTCTTGCAGATTCTACAAAAAGAGTGTTTCAAAGCTGCTTTTTGCAAAGAAAGGTTCAACTCTGTCAGTAGAGGGCACACATCAAGAACAAGTTTCTGAGAATGCTTCTGTCTAGTTTTTATGGGAAGATATTTCCTTTTTCACGTTACGCCTGAAAGCACGCCAAATGTTCACTTATAGACACTACAAAAAGAGTGTTTCAAACCTGCTCTGTGAAAGGGAATGTTCAACACTGTGACTTCAATTGAAACATCCCAAAGAAGTTTCTGAGAATGCTTCTGTCTAGAGTTTATCTGAAGACATTCCCGTTTCCCAAGAAATCCTCAAAGCTATCCAAATATCCTCTTGCAGATTCTACAAAAAGAGTGTTTCAAAACTGCTCTTTGCAAAGAAAGGTTCAACTCTGTCAGTAGAGGGCACACATCACAAACAAGTTTCTGAGAATGCTTCTGTCTAGTTTTTATGGGAAGATATTTCCTTTTTCACCTTAGGCCTGAAAGCAATCCAAATGTTCACTTACAGACACTACAAAAAGAGTGTTTCAAACCTGCTCTGTGAAAGGGAGTGTTCAATTCTGTGACTTGAATGCAAACATCACAAAGTAGTTTCTGACAATGCTGCTGTCTGCTTTTTATACGTATTCCCGTTTCCAACGAAATCCTCCAAGCTGGCCTAATACCCACTTTCATATTCCACAAAAAGAGTGTTTCAAAACTGCTCTCTCAAAAGAAAGGTTCAACTCTGTTTGCTGAGTAGATACATCATGAAAAAAGTTCTGACATTGCTTCTATCTAGTTTTTATTGGAAGATATCTCCTTTTTCACCGTAGACCTGAAAGCGCTCCAAATGTCCACTTCCAGATAGTACAAAAAGAGTGTTTCAAACCTGCTCTATGAATGGGAATGTTCAACACTGGGACTTCAATTGAAACATCCCAAAGCAGTTTCTGA
Source organism: Homo sapiens (assembly GCF_000001405.40). NCBI lineage: Eukaryota > Metazoa > Chordata > Mammalia > Primates > Hominidae > Homo > Homo sapiens. Next base: position 27,232,816 of record NC_000020.11, on the reverse strand, counting down.
GAATGCTTCTGTGTAGAGTTTACATGAAGACATTCCCGTTTCCAACGAAATCCTCAAAGCTATCCAAATATCCTCTTGCAGATTTTACAAAAAGTGTGTTTCAGAACTGCTCTATCAAAACAAAGGTTCAACACTGTCAGTTGAGGGCACACATCACAAATAAGTTTCTGAGAATGCTTCTGTCTAGTTTTCATGGGAAGATATTTCCTTTTTCACCATAGGCCTGAAAGCGATCCAAATGTCCACATCCAGATACTACAAAAAGAGTGTTTCAAACCTGCTCTATGAAAGGGAATGTTCAACTCTGTGACTTGAATGCAAACATCACAAAGAAGTTTCTGAGAATGCTGCTGTCTGCTTTTTGTATGTAATCCCGTTTCCAACGAAATCCTCCCAGCTAGCCAAATATCCACTTGCAGATTCCGCAAAAAGAGTGTTTCAAAACTGCTCCTTCAAAACGATGGTTTAGTTCTGTTAGTTGAGTACATACATCACAGATAAGTTTCTGAGAATGCTTCTGTCTAGTTTTTCTGGGAGGATATTTCCTTTTTCAACACAAGCCTGAATGCGCTCCGAATGGACACTTCCAGATATGACAAAAGGCGTGTTTCAAACCTGCTCTCTCAAAGGGAATGTTCAACTCTGTGACTTCAATGCAAACATCACAAAGAAGTTTCTGAGAATGCTGCTGTCTGCTTTTTACATGTATTCCCGTTTCCAACGAAATCCTCAAAGCTGCCCTAATATCCACTTGCATATTCCACAAAAAGAGTGTTGCAAAACTGCTCTCTCAAAAGAAAGGTTCAACTCTGTTAGCTGAGTAGATCCATCACAGAAAAGTTTCTGACGGTTGCTTCTATCTAGATTTTCTTGGAAGATATTTCCATTTTCACCGTCGTCCTGAAAGCGCTCCAAATGTCCACTTCCAGGGAATGCAGAAAGAGTGTTTCCAACCTGCTCTATAAAAGGGAATGTTCAACACTGGGACTTCAATCGAAACATCCCAACGAAGTTTCTGAGAATGCTTCTGTCTAGAGTTTATATGAAGCCATTCCCGTTTGCAACGAAATCCTCAAAGCTATCCAAATATCCTCTTGCAGATTTTACAAAAAGAGTGTTTCAAAACTGCTCTATCAAAAGAAAGGTTCAACTCTGTTAGTTGAGGGCACACATCACAAATAAATTTCTGAGAATGCTTCTGTCTAGTTTTTACGGGAAGATATTTCCTTTTTCACCATACGCCTGAAAGCGCTCCAAATGTCCTCATCCAGATACTACAAAAAGAGTGTTTCCAACCTGCTCTATGAAAGGGAATGCTCAACTGCTGTGAATTGAATGCAGACATCACAAAGAAGTTTACTGAGAATGCTGGCTGTCTCCTTTTTATATGTAATCCCGTTTCCAACGAAATCCTCAAAGCTAGCCAAATATCCACATGCAGATTCCACGAAAACAGTGTTTCAAAACTGCTCCTTCAAAACGATGGTTCAATCCTGTTAGTTGAGCAAACACATCACAAATAAGTTTCTGAGAATGCTTCCGTCTAGTTTTTATGGGAAGATATTTCCTTTTTCAACATAGGCCTGAAAGCGCTCCAAATGTCCACTTCCAGATACTACAAAAAGAGTGTTTCAAATCTGCTCTATGAATGGGAATGTTCTACTCTGTGACTTGAATGCAACATCCCAAAGAAGTTTCTGAGAATGCTTCTGTCTAGAGTTTATCTGAAGACATACCCGTTTCCAACGAAATCCTCAAAGCTATCCAAATATCCTCTTGCAGATTCTACAAAAAGAGTGTTTCAAAGCTGCTCTTTGCAAAGAAAGGTTCAACTCTGTCAGTAGAGGGCACACATCACGAACAAGTTTCTGAGAATGCTTCTGTCTAGTTTTTATGGGAAGATATTTCCTTTTTCACGTTAGGCCTGAAAGCACGCCAAATGTTCACTTATAGACACTACAAAAAGAGTGTTTCAAACCTGCTCTGTGAAAGGGAATGTTCAACACTGTGACTTCAATTGAAACATCCCAAAGAAGTTTCTGAGAATGCTTCTGTCTAGAGTTTATCTGAAGACATTCCCGTTTCCCAAGAAATCCTCAAAGCTATCCAAATATCCTCTTGCAGATTCTACAAAAAGAGTGTTTCAAAACTGGTCTTTGCAAAGAAAGGTTCAACTCTGTCAGTAGAGGGCACACATCACAAACAAGTTTCTGAGAATGCTTCTGTCTAGTTTTTATGGGAAGATATTTCCTTTTTCACCTTAGGCCTGAAAGCAATCCAAATGTTCACTTACAGACACTACAAAAAGAGTGTTTCAAACCTGCTCTGTGAAAGGGAGTGTTCAATTCTGTGACTTGAATGCAAACATCACAAAGTAGTTTCTGACAATGCTGCTGTCTGCTTTTTATACGTATTCCCGTTTCCAACGAAATCCTCCAAGCTGGCCTAATACCCACTTGCATATTCCACAAAAATAGTGTTTCAAAACTGCTCCCTCAAAAGAAAGGTTCAACTCTGTTTGCTGAGTAGATACATCATGAAAAAAGTTCTGACATTGCTTCTATCTAGTTTTTATTGGAAGATATCTCCTTTTTCACCGTAGACCTGAAAGCGCTCCAAATGTCCACTTCCAGATAGTACAAAAAGAGTGTTTCAAACCTGCTCTATGAATGGGAATGTTCAACACTGGGACTTCAATTGAAACATCCCAAAGCAGTTTCTGAGAATGCTTCTGTCTAGAGTTTACATGAAGACATTCCCGTTTCCAACGAAATCCTCAAAGCTATCCAAATATCCTCTTGCAGATTTTACAAAAAGTGTGTTTCAGAACTGCTCTATCAAAACAAAGGTTCAACACTGTCAGTTGAGGGCACACATCACAAATAAGTTTCTGAGAATGCTTCTGTCTAGTTTTCATGGGAAGATATTTCCTTTTTCACCATAGGCCTGAAAGCGATCCAAATGTCCACATCCAGATACTACAAAAAGAGTGTTTCAAACCTGCTCTATGAAAGGGAATGTTCAACTCTGTGACTTGAATGCAAACATCACAAAGAAGTTTCTGAGAATGCTGCTGTCTGCTTTTTGTATGTAATCCCGTTTCCAACGAAATCCTCCCAGCTAGCCAAATATCCACTTGCAGATTCCGCAAAAAGAGTGTTTCAAAACTGCTCCTTCAAAACGATGGTTTAGTTCTGTTAGTTGAGTACATACATCACAGATAAGTTTCTGAGAATGCTTCTGTCTAGTTTTTATGGGAGGATATTTCCTTTTTCAACACAAGCCTGAATGCGCTCCGAATGGACACTTCCAGATATGACAAAAGGCGTGTTTCAAACCTGCTCTCTCAAAGGGAATGTTCAACTCTGTGACTTCAATGCAAACATCACAAAGAAGTTTCTGAGAATGCTGCTGTCTGCTTTTTACATGTATTCCCGTTTCCAACGAAATCCTCAAAGCTGCCCTAATATCCACTTGCATATTCCACAAAAAGAGTGTTGCAAAACTGCTCTCTCAAAAGAAAGGTTCAACTCTGTTAGCTGAGTAGATCCATCACATAAAAGTTTCTGACGTTGCTTCTATCTAGATTTTCTTGGAAGATATTTCCATTTTCACCGTCGTCCTGAAAGCGCTCCAAATGTCCACTTCCAGGGAATGCAGAAAGAGTGTTTCCAACCTGCTCTATAAAAGGGAATGTTCAACACTGGGACTTCAATCGAAACATCCCAACGAAGTTTCTGAGAATGCTTCTGTCTAGAGTTTATATGAAGCCATTCCCGTTTGCAACGAAATCCTCAAACCTATCCAAATATCCTCTTGCAGATTTTACAAAAAGAGTGTTTCAAAACTGCTCTATCAAAAGAAAGGTTCAACTCTGTTAGTTGAGGGCACACATCACAAATAAACTTCTGAGAATGCTTCTGTCTAGTTTTTACGGGCAAGATATTTCCTTTCTCACCATACGCCTGAAAGCGCTCCAAATGTCCTCATCCAGATACTACAAAAAGAGTGTTTCCAACCTGCTCTATGAAAGGGAATGCTCAACTCTGTGAATTGAATGCAGACATCACAAAGAAGTTTCTGAGAATGCTGCTGTCTCCTTTGTATATGTAATCCCGTTTCCAACGAAATCCTCAAAGCTAGCCAAATATCCACTTGCAGATTCCACGAAAACAGTGTTTCAAAACTGCTCCTTCAAAACGATGGTTCAATCCTGTTAGTTGAGCAAACACATCACAAATAAGTTTCAGAGAATGCTTCCGTCTAGTTTTTATGGGAAGATATATCCTTTTTCAACATAGGCCTGAAAGCGCTCCAAATGTCCACTTCCAGATACTACAAAAAGAGTGTTTCAAATCTGCTCTATGAATGGGAATGTTCTACTCTGTGACTTGAATGCAACATCCCAAAGAAGTTTCTGAGAATGCTTCTGTCTAGAGTTTATCTGAAGACATACCCGTTTCCAACGAAATCCTCCAAGCTATCCAAATATCCTCTTGCAGATTCTACAAAAAGAGTGTTTCAAAGCTGCTCTTTGCAAAGAAAGGTTCAACTCTGTCAGTAGAGGGCACACATCACGAACAAGTTTCTGAGAATGCTTCTGTCTAGTTTTTATGGGAAGATATTTCCTTTTTCACGTTAGGCCTGAAAGCACGCCAAATGTTCACTTATAGACACTACAAAAAGAGTGTTTCAAACCTGCTCTGTGAAAGGGAATGTTCAACACTGTGACTTCAATTGAAACATCCCAAAGAAGTTTCTGAGAATGCTTCTGTCTAGAGTTTATCTGAAGACATTCCCGTTTCCCAAGAAATCCTCAAAGCTATCCAAATATCCTCTTGCAGATTCTACAAAAAGAGTGTTTCAAAACTGCTCTTTGCAAAGAAAGGTTCAACTCTGTCAGTAGAGGGCACACATCACAAACAAGTTTCTGAGAATGCTTCTGTCTAGTTTTTATGGGAAGATATTTCCTTTTTCACCTTAGGCCTGAAAGCAATCCAAATGTTCACCTACAGACACTACAAAAAGAGTGTTTCAAACCTGCTCTGTGAAAGGGAGTGTTCAATTCTGTGACTTGAATGCAAACATCACAAAGTAGTTTCTGACAATGCTGCTGTCTGCTTTTTATACGTATTCCCGTTTCCAACGAAATCCTCCAAGCTGGCCTAATACCCACTTGCATATTCCACAGAAAGAGTGTTTCGAAACTGCTCTCTCAAAAGAAAGGTTCAACTCTGTTTGCTGAGTAGATACATCATGAAAAAAGTTCTGACATTGCTTCTATCTAGTTTTTATTGGAAGATATCTCCTTTTTCACCGTAGACCTGAAAGCGCTCCAAATGTCCACTTCCAGATAGTACAAAAAGAGTGTTTCAAACCTGCTCTATGAAAGGGAATGTTCAACACTGGGACTTCAATTGAAACATCCCAAAGCAGTTTCTGAGAATGCTTCTGTGTAGAGTTTACATGAAGACATTTCCGTTTCCAACGAAATCCTCAAAGCTATCCAAATATCCTCTTGCAGATTTTACAAAAAGTGTGTTTCAGAACTGCTCTATCAAAACAAAGGTTCAACACTGTCAGTTGAGGGCACACATCACAAATAAGTTTCTGAGAATGCTTCTGTCTAGTTTTCATGGGAAGATATTTCCTTTTTCACCATAGGCCTGAAAGCGATCCAAATGTCCACATCCAGATACTACAAAAAGAGTGTTTCAAACCTGCTCTATGAAAGGGAATGTTCAACTCTGTGACTTGAATGCAAACATCACAAAGAAGTTTCTGAGAATGCTGCTGTCTGCTTTTTGTATGTAATCCCGTTTCCAACGAAATCCTCCCAGCTAGCCAAATATCCACTTGCAGATTCCGCAAAAAGAGTGTTTCAAAACTGCTCCTTCAAAACGATGGTTTAGTTCTGTTAGTTGAGTACATACATCACAGATAAGTTTCTGAGAATGCTTCTGTCTAGTTTTTATGGGAGGATATTTCCTTTTTCAACACAAGCCTGAATGCGCTCCGAATGGACACTTCCAGATATGACAAAAGGCGTGTTTCAAACCTGCTCTCTCAAAGGGAATGTTCAACTCTGTGACTTCAATGCAAACATCACAAAGAAGTTTCTGAGAATGCTGCTGTCTGCTTTTTACATGTATTCCCGTTTCCAACGAAATCCTCAAAGCTGCCCTAATATCCACTTGCATATTCCACAAAAAGAGTGTTGCAAAACTGCTCTCTCAAAAGAAATCTTCAACTCTGTTAGCTGAGTAGATCCATCACATAGAAGTTTCTGACATTGCTTCTATCTAGATTTTCTTGGAAGATATTTCCATTTTCACCGTCGTCCTGAAAGCGCTCCAAATGTCCACTTCCAGGGAATGCAGAAAGAGTGTTTCCAACCTGCTCTATAAAAGGGAATGTTCAACACTGGGACTTCAATCGAAACATCCCAACGAAGTTTCTGAGAATGCTTCTGTCTAGAGTTTATATGAAGCCATTCCCGTTTGCAACGAAATCCTCAAAGCTATCCAAATATCCTCTTGCAGATTTTACAAAAAGAGTGTTTCAAAACTGCTCTATCAAAAGAAAGGTTCAACTCTGTTAGTTGAGGGCACACATCACAAATAAACTTCTGAGAATGCTTCTGTCTAGTTTTTACGGGAAGATATTTCCTTTTTCACCATACGCCTGAAAGCGCTCCAAATGTCCTCATCCAGATACTACAAAAAGAGTGTTTCCAACCTGCTCTATGAAAGGGAATGCTCAACTCTGTGAATTGAATGCAGACATCACAAAGAAGTTTCTGAGAATGCTGCTGTCTCCTTTTTATATGTAATCCCGTTTCCAACGAAATCCTCAAAGCTAGCCAAATATCCACTTGCAGATTCCACGAAAACAGTGTTTCAAAACTGCTCCTTCAAAACGATGGTTCAATCCTGTTAGTTGAGCAAACACATCACAAATAAGTTTCTGAGAATGCTTCCGTCTAGTTTTTATGGGAAGATATTTCCTTTTTCATCATAGGCCTGAAAGCGCTCCAAATGTCCACTTCCAGATACTACAAAAAGAGTGTTTCAAATCTGCTCTATGAATGGGAATGTTCTACTCTGTGACTTGAATGCAACATCCCAAAGAAGTTTCTGAGAATGCTTCTGTCTAGAGTTTATCTGAAGACATACCCGTTTCCAACGAAATCCTCAAAGCTATCCAAATATCCTCTTGCAGATTCTACAAAAAGTGTGTTTCAAAGCTGCTCTTTGCAAAGAAAGGTTCAACTCTGTCAGTAGAGGGCACACATCACGAACAAGTTTCTGAGAATACTTCTGTCTAGTTTTTATGGGAAGATATTTCCTTTTTCACGTTAGGCCTGAAAGCACGCCAAATGTTCACTTATAGACACTACAAAAAGAGTGTTTGAAACCTGCTCTGTGAAAGGGAATGTTCAACACTGTGACTTCAATTGAAACATCCCAAAGAAGTTTCTGAGAATGCTTCTGTCTAGAGTTTATCTGAAGACATTCCCGTTTCCCAAGAAATCCTCAAAGCTATCCAAATATCCTCTTGCAGATTCTACAAAAAGGGTGTTTCAAAACTGCTCTTTGCAAAGAAAGGTTCAACTCTGTCAGTAGAGGGCACACATCACAAACAAGTTTCTGAGAATGCTTCTGTCTAGTTTTTATGGGAAGATATTTCCTTTTTCACCTTAGGACTGAAAGCAATCCAAATATTCACTTACAGACACTACAAAAAGAGTGTTTCAAACCTGCTCTGTGAAAGGGAGTGTTCAATTCTGTGACTTGAATGCAAACATCACAAAGTAGTTTCTGACAATTCTGCTGTCTGCTTTTTATACGTATTCCCGTTTCCAACGAAATCCTCCAAGCTGGCCTAATACCCACTTGCATATTCCACAAAAAGAGTGTTTCAAAACTGCTCTCTCAAAAGAAAGGTTCAACTCTGTTTGCTGAGTAGATACATCATGAAAAAAGTTCTGACATTGCTTCTATCTAGTTTTTATTGGAAGATATCTCCTTTTTCACCGTAGACCTGAAAGCGCTCCAAATGTCCACTTCCAGATACTACAAAAAGAGTGTTTCAAACCTGCTCTATGAAAGGGAATGTTCAACACTGGGACTTCAATAGAAACATCCCAAAGCAGTTTCTGAGAATGCTTCTGTCTAGAGTTTACATGAAGACATTCCCGTTTCCAACGAAATCCTCAAAGCTATCCAAATATCCTCTTGCAGATTTTACAAAAAGTGTGTTTCAGAACTGCTCTATCAAAACAAAGGTTCAACACTGTCAGTTGAGGGCACACATCACAAATAAGTTTCTGAGAATGCTTCTGTCTAGTTTTCATGGGAAGATATTTCCTTTTTCACCATAGGCCTGAAAGCGATCCAAATGTCCACATCCGGATACTACAAAAAGAGTGTTTCAAACCTGCTCTATGAAAGGGAATGTTCACCTCTGCGACTTGAATGCAAACATCACAAAGAAGTTTCTGAGAATGCTGCTGTCTGCTTTTTGTATGTAATCCCGTTTCCAACGAAATCCTCCAAGCTAGCCAAATATCCAGTTGCAGATTCCGCAAAAAGGGTGTTTCAAAACTGCTCCTTCAAAACGATGGTTTAGTTCTGTTAGTTGAGTACATACATCACAAATAAGTTTCTGTGAATGCTTCTGTCTAGTTTTTATGGGAGGATATTTCCTTTTTCAACACAAACCTGAATGCGCTCCGAATGGACACTTCCAGATATGACAAAAGGCGTGTTTCAAACCTGCTCTCTCAAAGGGAATGTTCAACTCTGTGACTTCAATGCAAACATCACAAAGAAGTTTCTGAGAATGCTGCTGTCTGCTTTTTACATGTATTCCCGTTTCCAACGAAATCCTCAAAGCTGCCCTAATATCCACTTGCATATTCCACAAAAAGAGTGTTGCAAAACTGCTCTCTCAAAAGAAAGGTTCAACTCTGTTAGCTGAGTAGATCCATCACATAAAAGTTTCTCACATTGCTTCTATCTAGATTTTATTAGAAGATATTTCCATTTTCACCGTCGTCCTGAAAGCGCTCCAAATGTCCACTTCCAGGGAATGCAAAAAGAGTGTTTCCAACCTGCGCTATAAAATGGAATGTTCAACATTGGGACTTCAATCGAAACATCCCAACGAAGTTTACTGAGAATGCTCTGTCTAGAGTTTATATGAAGCCACTCCCGTTTGCAGCGAAATCCTCAAAGCTATCCAAATATCCTCTTGCAGATTTTACAAAAAGAGTGTTTCAAAACTGCTCTATCAAAAGAAAGGTTCAACTCTGTTAGTTGAGGGCACACATCACAAATAAATTTCTGAGAATGCTTCTGCCTAGTTTTTACGGGAAGATATTTCCTTTTTCACCATACGCCTGAAAGCGCTCCAAATGTCCTCATCCAGATACTACAAAAAGAGTGTTTCCAACCTGCTCTATGAAAGGGAATGCTCAACTCTGTGACTTGAATGCAGACATCACAAAGAAGTTTCTGAGAATGCTGCTGTCTCCTTTTTATATGTAATCCCGTTTCCAACGAAATCCTCAAAGCTAGCCAAATATCCACTTGCAGATTCCACGAAAACAGTGTTTCAAAACTGCTCCTTCAAAACGATGGTTCAATTCTGTTAGTTGAGCAAACACATCACAAGTAAGTTTCTGAGAATGCTTCCGTCTAGTTTTTATGGGAAGATATTTCCTTTTTCAACATAGGCCTGAAAGCGCTCCAAATGTCCACTTCCAGATACTACAAAAAGAGTGTTTCAAATCTGCTCTATGAATGGGAATGTTCTACTCTGTGACTTGAATGCAACATCCCAAAGAAGTTTCTGAGAATGCTTCTGTCTAGAGTTTATCTGAAGACATACCCGTTTCCAACGAAATCCTCAAAGCTATCCAAATATCCTCTTGCAGATTCTACAAAAAGTGTGTTTCAAAGCTGCTCTTTGCAAAGAAAGGTTCAACTCTGTCAGTAGAGGGCACACATCACGAACAAGTTTCTGAGAATGCTTATCTGTCTAGTTTTTATGGGAAGATATTTCCTTTTTCACGTTAGGCCTGAAGCACGCCAAATGTTCACTTATAGACACTACAAAAAGAGTGTTTCAAACCTGCTCTGTGAAAGGGAATGTTCAACACTGTGACTTCAATTGAAACATCCCAAAGAAGTTTCTGAGAATGCTTCTGTCTAGAGTTTATCTGAAGACATTCCCGTTTCCCAAGAAATCTTCAAAGCTATCCAAATATCCTCTTGCAGATTCTACAAAAAGAGTGTTTCAAAACTGCTCTTTGCAAAGAAAGGTTCAACTCTGTCAGTAGAGGGCACACATCACAAACAAGTTTCTGAGAATGCTTCTGTCTAGTTTTTATGGGAAGATATTTCCTTTTTCACCTTAGGCCTGAAAGCAATCCATATGTTCACTTACAGACACTACAAAAAGAGTGTTTCAAATCTGCTCTGTGAAAGGGAGTGTTCAATTCTGTGACTTGAATGCAAACATCACAAAGTAGTTTCTGACAATGCTGCTGTCTGCTTTTTATACGTATTCCCGTTTCCAACGAAATCCTCCAAGCTGGCCTAATACCCACTTGCATATTCCACAAAAAGAGTGTTTCAAAACTGCTCTCTCAAAAGAAAGGTTCAACTCTGTTAGCTGAGTAGATACATCATGAAAAAAGTTCTGACATTGCTTCTATCTAGTTTTTATTGGAAGATATCTCCTTTTTCACCGTAGACCTGAAAGCGCTCCAAATGTCCACTTCCAGATAGTACAAAAAGAGTGTTTCAAACCTGCTCTATGAATGGGAATGTTCAACACTGGGACTTCAATTGAAACATCCCAAAGCAGTTTCTGAGAATGCTTCTGTGTAGAGTTTACATGAAGACATTCCCGTTTCCAACGAAATCCTCAAAGCTATCCAAATATCCTCTTGCAGATTTTACAAAAAGTGTGTTTCAGAACTGCTCTATCAAAACAAATGTTCAACACTGTCAGTTGAGGGCACACATCACAAATAAGTTTCTGAGAATGCTTCTGTCTAGTTTTCATGGGAAGATATTTCCTTTTTCACCATAGGCCTGAAAGCGATCCAAATGTCCACATCCAGATACTACAAAAAGAGTGTTTCAAACCTGCTCTATGAAAGGGAATGTTCAACTCTGTGACTTGAATGCAAACATCACAAAGAAGTTTCTGAGAATGCTGCTGTCTGCTTTTTGTATGTAATCCCGTTTCCAACGAAATCCTCCCAGCTAGCCAAATATCCACTTGCAGATTCCGCAAAAAGAGTGTTTCAAAACTGCTCCTTCAAAACGATGGTTTAGTTCTGTTAGTTGAGTACATACATCACAGATAAGTTTCTGAGAATGCTTCTGTCTAGTTTTTATGGGAGGATATTTCCTTTTTCAACACAAGCCTGAATGCGCTCCGAATGGACACTTCCAGATATGACAAAAGGCGTGTTTCAAACCTGCTCTCTCAAAGGGAATGTTCAACTCTGTGACTTCAATGCAAACATCACAAAGAAGTTTCTGAGAATGCTGCTGTCTGCTTTTTACATGTATTCCCGTTTCCAACGAAATCCTCAAAGCTGCCCTAATATCCACTTGCATATTCCACAAAAAGAGTGTTGCAAAACTGCTCTCTCAAAAGAAAGGTTCAACTCTGTTAGCTGAGTAGATCCATCACAGAAAAGTTTCTGACGTTGCTTCTATCTAGATTTTCTTGGAAGATATTTCCATTTTCACCGTCGTCCTGAAAGCGCTCCAAATGTCCACTTCCAGGGAATGCAGAAAGAGTGTTTCCAACCTGCTCTATAAAAGGGAATGTTCAACACTGGGACTTCAATCGAAACATCCCAACGAAGTTTCTGAGAATGCTTCTGTCTAGAGTTTATATGAAGCCATTCCCGTTTGCAACGAAATCCTCAAAGCTATCCAAATATCCTCTTGCAGATTTTACAAAAAGAGTGTTTCAAAACTGCTCTATCAAAAGAAAGGTTCAACTCTGTTAGTTGAGGGCACACATCAGAAATAAACTTCTGAGAATGCTTCTGTCTAGTTTTTACGGGAAGATATTTCCTTTTTCACCATACGCCTGAAAGCGCTCCAAATGTCCTCATCCAGATACTACAAAAAGAGTGTTTCCAACCTGCTCTATGAAAGGGAATGCTCAACTCTGTGAATTGAATGCAGACATCACAAAGAAGTTTCTGAGAATGCTGCTGTCTCCTTTTTATATGTAATCCCGTTTCCAACGAAATCCTCAAAGCTAGCCAAATATCCACTTGCAGATTCCACGAAAACAGTGTTTCAAAACTGCTCCTTCAAAACGATGGTTCAATCCTGTTAGTTGAGCAAACACATCACAAATAAGTTTCTGAGAATGCTTCCGTCTAGTTTTTATGGGAAGATATTTCCTTTTTCAACATAGGCCTGAAAGCGCTCCAAATGTCCACTTCCAGATACTACAAAAAGAGTGTTTCAAATCTGCTCTATGAATGGGAATGTTCTACTCTGTGACTTGAATGCAACATCCCAAAGAAGTTTCTGAGAATGCTTCTGTCTAGAGTTTATCTGAAGACATACCCGTTTCCAACGAAATCCTCAAAGCTATCCAAATATCCTCTTGCAGATTCTACAAAAAGTGTGTTTCAAAGCTGCTCTTTGCAAAGAAAGGTTCAACTCTGTCAGTAGAGGGCACACATCACGAACAAGTTTCTGAGAATGCTTCTGTCTAGTTTTTATGGGAAGATATTTCCTTTTTCACGTTAGGCCTGAAAGCACGCCAAATGTTCACTTATAGACACTACAAAAAGAGTGTTTCAAACCTGCTCTGTGAAAGGGAATGTTCAACACGGTGACTTCAATTGAAACATCCCAAAGAAGTTTCTGAGAATGCTTCTGTCTAGAGTTTACATGAAGACATTTCCGTTTCCAACGAAATCCTCAAAGCTATCCAAATATCCTCTTGCAGATTCTACAAAAAGAGTGTTTCAAAACTGCTCTTTGCAAAGAAAGGTTCAACTCTGTCAGTAGAGGGCACACATCACAAACAAGTTTCTGAGAATGCTTCTGTCTAGTTTTTATGGGAAGATATTTCCTTTTTCACCATAGGCCTGAAAGCAATCCAAATGTTCACTTACAGACACTACAAAAAGAGTGTTTCAAACCTGCTCTGTGAAAGGGAGTGTTCAATTCTGTGACTTGAATGCAAACATCACAAAGTAGTTTCTGACAATGCTGCTGTCTGCTTTTTATACGTATTCCCGTTTCCAACGAAATCCTCCAAGCTGGCCTAATACCCACTTGCATATTCCACAAAGACTGTGTCAAAACTGCTCTCTCAAAAGAAAGGTTCAACTCTGTTTGCTGAGTAGATACATCATGAAAAAAGTTCTGACATTGCTTCTATCTAGTTTTTATTGGAAGATATCTCCTTTTTCACCGTAGACCTGAAAGCGCTCCAAATGTCCACTTCCAGATAGTACAAAAAGAGTGTTTCAAACCTGCTCTATGAATGGGAATGTTCAACGCTGGGACTTCAATTGAAACATCCCAAAGCAGTTTCTGAGAATGCTTCTGTCTAGAGTTTACATGAAGACATTCCCGTTTCCAACGAAATCCTCAAAGCTATCCAAATATCCTCTTGCAGATTTTACAAAAAGTGTGTTTCAGAACTGCTCTATCAAAACAAAGGTTCAACACTGTCAGTTGAGGGCACACATCACAAATAAGTTTCTGAGAATGCTTCTGTCTAGTTTTCATGGGAAGATATTTCCTTTTTCACCATAGGCCTGAAAGCGATCCAAATGTCCACATCCAGATACTACAAAAAGAGTGTTTCCAACCTGCTCTATGAAAGGGAATGCTCAACTCTGTGAATTGAATGCAGACATCACAAAGAAGTTTCTGAGAATGCTGCTGTCTCCTTTTTATATGTAATCCCGTTTCCAACGAAATCCTCAAAGCTAGCCAAATATCCACTTGCAGATTCCACGAAAACAGTGTTTCAAAACTGCTCCTTCAAAACGATGGTTCAATCCTGTTAGTTGAGCAAACACATCAAGAACAAGTTTCTGAGAATGCTTCCGTCTAGTTTTTATGGGAAGATATTTCCTTTTTCAACATAGGCCTGAAAGCGCTCCAAATGTCCACTTCCAGATACTACAAAAAGAGTGTTTCAAATCTGCTCTATGAATGGGAATGTTCTACTCTGTGACTTGAATGCAACATCCCAAAGAAGTTTCTGAGAATGCTTCTGTCTAGAGTTTATCTGAAGACATACCCGTTTCCAACGAAATCCTCCAAGCTATCCAAATATCCTCTTGCAGATTCTACAAAAAGAGTGTTTCAAAGCTGCTCTTTGCAAAGAAAGGTTCAATTCTGTCAGTAGAGGGGACACATCAAGAACAAGTTTCTGAGAATGCTTCTGTCTAGTTTTTATGGGAAGATATTTCCTTTTTCACGTTAGGCCTGAAAGCACGCCAAATGTTCACTTATAGACACTACAAAAAGAGTGTTTCAAACCTGCTCTGTGAAAGGGAATGTTCAACACTGTGACTTCAATTGAAACATCCCAAAGAAGTTTCTGAGAATGCTTCTGTCTAGAGTTTATCTGAAGACATTCCCGTTTCCCAAGTAAATCCTCAAAGCTATCCAAATATCCTCTTGCAGATTCTACAAAAAGAGTGTTTCAAAACTGGTCTTTGCAAAGAAAGGTTCAACTCTGTCAGTAGAGGGCACACATCACAAACAAGTTTCTGAGAATGCTTCTGTCTAGTTTTTATGGGAAGATATTTCCTTTTTCACCTTAGGCCTGAAAGCAATCCAAATGTTCACTTACAGACACTACAAAAAGAGTGTTTCAAACCTGCTCTGTGAAAGGGAGTGTTCAATTCTGTGACTTGAATGCAAACATCACAAAGTAGTTTCTGACAATGCTGCTGTCTGCTTTTTATACGTATTCCCGTTTCCAACGAAATCCTCCAAGCTGGCCTAATACCCACTTGCATATTCCACAAAAAGAGTGTTTCAAAACTGCTCTCTCAAAAGAAAGGTTCAACTCTGTTTGCTGAGTAGATACATCATGAAAAAAGTTCTGACATTGCTTCTATCTAGTTTTTATTGGAAGATATCTCCTTTTTCACCGTAGACCTGAAAGCGCTCCAAATGTCCACTTCCAGATACTACAAAAAGAGTGTTTCAAACCTGCTCTATGAAAGGGAATGTTCAACACTGGGACTTCAATAGAAACATCCCAAAGCAGTTTCTGAGAATGCTTCTGTCTAGAGTTTACATGAAGACATTCCCGTTTCCAACGAAATCCTCAAAGCTATCCAAATATCCTCTTGCAGATTTTACAAAAAGTGTGTTTCAGAACTGCTCTATCAAAACAAAGGTTCAACACTGTCAGTTGAGGGCACACATCACAAATAAGTTTCTGAGAATGCTTCTGTCTAGTTTTCATGGGAAGATATTTCCTTTTTCACCATAGGCCTGAAAGCGATCCAAATGTCCGCATCCAGATACTACAAAAAGAGTGTTTCAAACCTGCTCTATGAAAGGGAATGTTCAACTCTGTGACTTGAATGCAGACATCACAAAGAAGTTTCTGAGAATGCTGCTGTCTCCTTTGTATATGTAATCCCATTTCCAACGAAATCCTCAAAGCTAGCCAAATATCCACTTGCAGATTCCACGAAAACAGTGTTTCAAAACTGCTCCTTCAAAACGATGGTTCAATCCTGTTAGTTGAGCAAACACATCACAAATAAGTTTCTGAGAATGCTTCCGTCTAGTTTTTATGGGAAGATATTTCCTTTTTCATCATAGGCCTGAAAGCGCTCCAAATGTCCACTTTCAGATACTACAAAAAGAGTGTTTCAAATCTGCTCTATGAATGGGAATGTTCTACTCTGTGACTTGAATGCAACATCTCAAAGAAGTTTCTGAGAATGCTTCTGTCTAGAGTTTATCTGAAGACATACCCGTTTCCAACGAAATCCTCAAAGCTATCCAAATATCCTCTTGCAGATTCTACAAAAAGAGTGTTTCAAAGCTGCTCTTTGCAAAGAAAGGTTCAACTCTGTCAGTAGAGGGCACACATCACAAACAAGTTTCTGAGAATGCTTCTGTCTAGTTTTTATGGGAAGATATTTCCTTTTTCACGTTACTCCTGAAAGCACGCCAAATGTTCACTTATAGACACTACAAAAAGAGTTTTTCAAACCTGCTCTGTGAAAGGGAATGTTCAACACTGTGACTTCAATTGAATCATCCCAAAGAAGTTTTTGAGAATGCTTATCTGTCTAGAGTTTATCTGAAGACATTCCCGTTTCCCAAGAAATCCTCAAAGCTATCCAAATATCCTCTTGCAGATTCTACAAAAAGAGTGTTTCAAAACTGCTCTTTGCAAAGAAAGGTTCAACTCTGTCAGTAGAGGGCACACATCACAAACAAGTTTCTGAGAATGCTTCTGTCTAGTTTTTATGGGAAGATATTTCCTTTTTCACCTTAGGCCTGAAAGCAATCCAAATGTTCACTTACAGACACTACAAAAAGAGTGTTTCAAACCTGCTCTGTGAAAGGGAGTGTTCAATTCTGTGACTTGAATGCAAACATCACAAAGTAGTTTCTGACAATGCTGCTGTCTGCTTTTTATACGTATTCCCGTTTCCAACGAAATCCTCCAAGCTGGCCTAATACCCACTTGCATATTCCACAAAAAGAGTGTTTCAAAACTGCTCTCTCAAAAGAAAGGTTCAACTCTGTTTGCTGAGTAGATACATCATGAAAAAAGTTCTGACATTGCTTCTATCTAGTTTTTATTGGAAGATATCTCCTTTTTCACCGTAGACCTGAAAGCGCTCCAAATGTCCACTTCCAGATAGTACAAAAAGAGTGTTTCAAACCTGCTCTATGAAAGGGAATGTTCAACACTGGGACTTCAATTGAAACATCCCAAAGCAGTTTCTGAGAATGCTTCTGTCTAGAGTTTACATGAAGACATTCCCGTTTCCAACGAAATCCTCAAAGCTATCCAAATATCCTCTTGCAGATTTTACAAAAAGTGTGTTTCAGAACTGCTCTATCAAAACAAAAGTTCAACACTGTCAGTTGAGGGCACACATCACAAATAAGTTTCTGAGAATGCTTCTGTCTAGTTTTCATGGGAAGATATTTCCTTTTTCACCATAGGCCTGAAAGCGATCCAAATGTCCACATCCAGATACTACAAAAAGAGTGTTTCAAACCTGCTCTATGAAAGGGAATGTTCAACTCTGTGACTTGAATGCAAACATCACAAAGAAGTTTCTGAGAATGCTGCTGTCTGCTTTTTGTATGTAATCCCGTTTCCAACGAAATCCTCCCAGCTAGCCAAATATCCACTTGCAGATTCCGCAAAAAGAGTGTTTCAAAACTGCTCCTTCAAAACGATGGTTTAGTTCTGTTAGTTGAGTACATACATCACAGATAAGTTTCTGAGAATGCTTCTGTCTAGTTTTTATGGGAGGATATTTCCTTTTTCAACACAAGCCTGAATGCGCTCCGAATGGACACTTCCAGATATGACAAAAGGCGTGTTTCAAACCTGCTCTCTCAAAGGGAATGTTCAACTCTGTGACTTCAATGCAAACATCACAAAGAAGTTTCTGAGAATGCTGCTGTCTGCTTTTTACATGTATTCCCGTTTCCAACGAAATCCTCAAAGCTGCCCTAATATCCACTTGCATATTCCACAAAAAGAGTGTGGCAAAACTGCTCTCTCAAAAGAAAGCTTCAACTCTGTTAGCTGAGTAGATCCATCACATAAAAGTTTCTGACATTGCTTCTATCTAGATTTTCTTGGAAGATATTTCCATTTTCACCGTCGTCCTGAAAGCGCTCCAAATGTCCACTTCCAGGGAATGCAGAAAGAGTGTTTCCAACCTGCTCTATAAAAGGGAATGTTCAACACTGGGACTTCAATCGAAACATCCCAACGAAGTTTCTGAGAATGCTTCTGTCTAGAGTTTATATGAAGCCATTCCCGTTTGCAACGAAATCCTCAAAGCTATCCAAATATCCTCTTGCAGATTTTACAAAAAGAGTGTTTCAAAACTGCTCTATCAAAAGAAAGGTTCAACTCTGTTAGTTGAGGGCACACATCACAAATAAACTTCTGAGAATGCTTCTGTCTAGTTTTTACGGGAAGATATTTCCTTTTTCACCATACGCCTGAAAGCGCTCCAAATGTCCTCATCCAGATACTACAAAAAGAGTGTTTCCAACCTGCTCTATGAAAGGGAATGCTCAACTCTGTGAATTGAATGCAGACATCACAAAGAAGTTTCTGAGAATGCTGCTGTCTCCTTTTTATATGTAATCCCGTTTCCAACGAAATCCTCAAAGCTAGCCAAATATCCACTTGCAGATTCCACGAAAACAGTGTTTCAAAACTGCTCCTTCAAAACGATGGTTCAATCCTGTTAGTTGAGCAAACACATCACAAATAAGTTTCTGAGAATGCTTCCGTCTAGTTTTTATGGGAAGATATTTCCTTTTTCAACATAGGCCTGAAAGCGCTCCAAATGTCCACTTCCAGATACTACAAAAAGAGTGTTTCAAATCTGCTCTATGAATGGGAATGTTCTACTCTGTGACTTGAATGCAACATCCCAAAGAAGTTTCTGAGAATGCTTCTGTCTAGAGTTTATCTGAAGACATCCCCGTTTCCAACGAAATCCTCAAAGCTATCCAAATATCCTCTTGCAGATTCTACAAAAAGAGTGTTTCAAAGCTGCTCTTTGCAAAGAAAGGTTCAACTCTGTCAGTAGAGGGCACACATCACGAACAAGTTTCTGAGAATGCTTCTGTCTAGTTTTTATGGGAAGATATTTCCTTTTTCACGTTAGGCCTGAAAGCACGCCAAATGTTCACTTATAGACACTACAAAAAGAGTGTTTCAAACCTGCTCTGTGAAAGGGAATGTTCAACACTGTGACTTCAATTGAAACATCCCAAAGAAGTTTCTGAGAATGCTTCTGTCTAGAGTTTATCTGAAGACATTCCCGTTTCCCAAGAAATCCTCAAAGCTATCCAAATATCCTCTTGCAGATTCTACAAAAAGAGTGTTTCAAAACTGCTCTTTGCAAAGAAAGGTTCAACTCTGTCAGTAGAGGGCACACATCACAAACAAGTTTCTGAGAATGCTTCTGTCTACTTTTTATGGGAAGATATTTCCTTTTTCACCTTAGGCCTGAAAGCAATCCAAATGTTCAGTAACAGACACTACAAAAAGAGTGTTTCAAACCTGCTCTGTGAAAGCGAGTGTTCAATTCTGTGACTTGAATGCAAACATCACAAAGTAGTTTCTGACAATGCTGCTGTCTGCTTTTTATACGTATTCCCGTTTCCAACGAAATCCTCCAAGCTGGCCTAATACCCACTTGCATATTCCACAAAGACTGTGTCAAAACTGCTCTCTCAAAAGAAAGGTTCAACTCTGTTTGCTGAGTAGATACATCATGAAAAAAGTTCTGACATTGCTTCTATCTAGTTTTTATTGGAAGATATCCCCTTTTTCACCGTAGACCTGAAAGCGCTCCAAATGTCCACTTCCAGATAGTACAAAAAGAGTGTTTCAAACCTGCTCTATGAATGGGAATGTTCAACACTGGGACTTCAATTGAAACATCCCAAAGCAGTTTCTGAGAATGCTTCTGTCTAGAGTTTACATGAAGACATTCCCGTTTCCAACGAAATCCTCAAAGCTATCCAAATATCCTCTTGCAGATTTTACAAAAAGAGTGTTTCAAAACTGCTCTATCAAAAGAAAGGTTCAACTCTGTTAGTTGAGGGCACACATCACAAATAAGTTTCTGAGAATGCTTCTGTCTAGTTTTTACGGGAAGATATTTCCTTTTTCACCATACGCCTGAAAGCGCTCCAAATGTCCTCATCCAGATACTACAAAAAGAGTGTTTCCAACCTGCTCTATGAAAGGGAATGCTCAACTCTGTGAATTGAATGCAGACATCACAAAGAAGTTTCTGAGAATGCTGCTGTCTCCTTTGTATATGTAATCCCGTTTCCAACGAAATCCTCAAAGCTAGCCAAATATCCACTTGCAGATTCCACGAAAACAGTGTTTCAAAACTGCTCCTTCAAAACGATGGTTCAATCCTGTTAGTTGAGCAAACACATCACAAATAAGTTTCTGAGAATGCTTCCGTCTAGTTTTTATGGGAAGATATTTCCTTTTTCAACATAGGCCTGAAAGCGCTCCAAATGTCCACTTCCAGATACTACAAAAAGAGTGTTTCAAATCTGCTCTATGAATGGGAATGTTCTACTCTGTGACTTGAATGCAACATCCCAAAGAAGTTTCTGAGAATGCTTCTGTCTAGAGTTTATCTGAAGACATACCCGTTTCCAACGAAATCCTCAAAGCTATCCAAATATCCTCTTGCAGATTCTACAAAAAGTGTGTTTCAAAGCTGCTCTTTGCAAAGAAAGGTTCAACTCTGTCTGTAGAGGTCACACATCACGAACAAGTTTCTGAGAATGCTTCTGTCTAGTTTTTATGGGAAGATATTTCCTTTTTCACGTTAGGCCTGAAAGCACGCCAAATGTTCACTTATAGACACTACAAAAAGAGTGTTTCAAACCTGCTCTGTGAAAGGGAATGTTCAACACTGTGACTTCAATTGAAACATCCCAAAGAAGTTTCTGAGAATGCTTCTGTCTAGAGTTTATCTGAAGACATTCCCGTTTCCCAAGAAATCCTCAAAGCTATCCAAATATCCTCTTGCAGATTCTACAAAAAGAGTGTTTCAAAACTGCTCTTTGCAAAGAAAGGTTCAACTCTGTCAGTAGAGGGCACACATCACAAACAAGTTTCTGAGAATGCTTCTGTCTAGTTTTTATGGGAAGATATTTCCTTTTTCACCATAGGCCTGAAAGCAATCCAAATGTTCACTTACAGACACTACAAAAAGAGTGTTTCAAACCTGCTCTGTGAAAGGGAGTGTTCAATTCTGTGACTTGAATGCAAACATCACAAAGTAGTTTCTGACAATGCTGCTGTCTGCTTTTTATACGTATTCCCGTTTCCAACGAAATCCTCCAAGCTGGCCTAATACCCACTTGCATATTCCACAAAAAGAGTGTTTCAAAACTGCTCTCTCAAAAGAAAGGTTCAACTCTGTTTGCTGAGTAGATACATCATGAAAAAAGTTCTGACATTGCTTCTATCTAGTTTTTATTGGAAGATATCTCCTTTTTCACCGTAGACCTGAAAGCCCTCCAAATGTCCACTTCCAGATACTACAAAAAGAGTGTTTCAAACATGCTCTATGAATGGGAATGTTCAACACTGGGACTTCAATTGAAACATCCCAAAGCAGTTTCTGAGAATGCTTCTGTCTAGAGTTTACATGAAGACATTCCCGTTTCCAACGAAATCCTCAAAGCTATCCAAATATCCTCTTGCAGATTTTACAAAAAGTGTGTTTCAGAACTGCTCTATCAAAACAAAGGTTCAACACTGTCAGTTGAGGGCACACATCACAAATAAGTTTCTGAGAATGCTTCTGTCTAGTTTTCATGGGAAGATATTTCCTTTTTCACCATAGGCCTGAAAGCGATCCAAATGTCCACATCCAGATACTACAAAAAGAGTGTTTCAAACCTGCTCTATGAAAGGGAATGTTCAACTCTGTGACTTGAATGCAAACATCACAAAGAAGTTTCTGAGAATGCTGCTGTCTGCTTTTTGTATGTAATCCCGTTTCCAACGAAATCCTCCCAGCTAGCCAAATATCCACTTGCAGATTCCGCAAAAAGAGTGTTTCAAAACTGCTCCTTCAAAACGATGGTTTAGTTCTGTTAGTTGAGTACATACATCACAGATAAGTTTCTGAGAATGCTTCTGTCTAGTTTTTATGGGAGGATATTTCCTTTTTCAACACAAGCCTGAATGCGCTCCGAATGGACACTTCCAGATATGACAAAAGGCGTGTTTCAAACCTGCTCTCTCAAAGGGAATGTTCAACTCTGTGACTTCAATGCAAACATCACAAAGAAGTTTCTGAGAATGCTGCTGTCTGCTTTTTACATGTATTCCCGTTTCCAACGAAATCCTCAAAGCTGCCCTAATATCCACTTGCGTATTCCACAAAAAGAGTGTTGCAAAACTGCTCTCTCAAAAGAAAGGTTCAACTCTGTTAGCTGAGTAGATCCATCACATAAAAGTTTCTGATGTTGCTTCTATCTAGATTTTCTTGGAAGATATTTCCATTTTCACCGTCGTCCTGAAAGCGCTCCAAATGTCCACTTCCAGGGAATGCAGAAAGAGTGTTTCCAACCTGCTCTATAAAAGGGAATGTTCAACACTGGGACTTCAATCGAAACATCCCAACGAAGTTTCTGAGAATGCTTCTGTCTAGAGTTTATATGAAGCCATTCCCGTTTGCAACGAAATCCTCAAAGCTATCCAAATATCCTCTTGCAGATTTTACAAAAAGAGTGTTTCAAAACTGCTCTATCAAAAGAAAGGTTCAACTCTGTTAGTTGAGGGCACACATCACAAATAAACTTCTGAGAATGCTTCTGTCTAGTTTTTACGGGAAGATATTTCCTTTTTCACCATAGGCCTGAAAGCGCTCCAAATGTCCCCATCCAGATACTACAAAAAGAGTGTTTCCAACCTGCTCTATGAAAGGGAATGCTCAACTCTGTGAATTGAATGCAGACATCACAAAGAAGTTTCTGAGAATGCTGCTGTCTCCTTTTTATATGTAATCCCGTTTGCAACGAAATCCTCAAAGCTAGCCAAATATCCACTTGCAGATTCCACGAAATCAGTGTTTCAAAACTGCTCCTTCAAAACGATGGTTCAATTCTGTTAGTTGAGCAAACACATCACAAGTAAGTTTCTGAGAATGCTTCCGTCTAGTTTTTATGGGAAGATATTTCCTTTTTCAACATAGGCCTGAAAGCGCTCCAAATGTCCACTTCCAGATACTACAAAAAGAGTGTTTCAAATCTGCTCTATGCATGGGAATGTTCTACTCTGTGACTTGAATGCAACATCCCAAAGAAGTTTCTGAGAATGCTTCTGTCTAGAGTTTATCTGAAGACATACCCGTTTCCAACGAAATCCTCAAAGCTATCCAAATATCCTCTTGCAGATTCTACAAAAAGAGTGTTTCAAAGCTGCTCTTTGCAAAGAAAGGTTCAACTCTGTCAGTAGAGGGCACACATCACGAACAAGTTTCTGAGAATGCTTCTGTCTAGTTTTTATGGGAAGATATTTCCTTTTTCACGTTACGCCTGAAAGCACGCCAAATGTTCACTTATAGACACTACAAAAAGAGTGTTTCATACCTACTCTGTGAAAGGGAATGTTCAACACTGTGACTTCAATTGAAACATCCCAAAGAAGTTTCTGAGAATGCTTCTGTCTAGAGTTTATCTGAAGACATTCCCGTTTCCCAAGAAATC
Source organism: Homo sapiens (assembly GCF_000001405.40). Lineage (NCBI taxonomy): Eukaryota > Metazoa > Chordata > Mammalia > Primates > Hominidae > Homo > Homo sapiens. The sequence goes on along the minus strand of NC_000020.11, from coordinate 27,209,303 downwards.
CTCAAAGCTATCCAAATATCCTCTTGCAGATTCTACAAAAAGAGTGTTTCAAAACTGGTCTTTGCAAAGAAAGGTTCAACTCTGTCAGTAGAGGGCACACATCACAAACAAGTTTCTGAGAATGCTTCTGTCTAGTTTTTATGTGAAGATATTTCCTTTTTCACCTTAGGCCTGAAAGCAATCCAAATGTTCACTTACAGACACTACAAAAAGAGTGTTTCAAACCTGCTCTGTGAAAAGGAGTGTTCAATTCTGTGACTTGAATGCAAACATCACAAAGTAGTTTCTGACAATGCTGCTGTCTGCTTTTTATACGTATTCCCGTTTCCAACGAAATCCTCCAAGCTGGCCTAATACCCACTTGCATATTCCACAAAAAGAGTGTTTCAAAACTGCTCTCTCAAAAGAAAGGTTCAACTCTGTTTGCTGAGTAGATACATCATGAAAAAAGTTCTGACATTGCTTCTATCTAGTTTTTATTGGAAGATATCTCCTTTTTCACCGTAGACCTGAAAGCGCTCCAAATGTCCACTTCCAGATAGTACAAAAAGAGTGTTTCAAACCTGCTCTATGAATGGGAATGTTCAACACTGGGACTTCAATTGAAACATCCCAAAGCAGTTTCTGAGAATGCTTCTGTGTAGAATTTACATGAAGACATTCCCGTTTCCAACGAAATCCTCAAAGCTATCCAAATATCCTCTTGCAGATTTTACAAAAAGTGTGTTTCAGAACTGCTCTATCAAAACAAAGGTTCAACACTGTCAGTTGAGGGCACACATCACAAATAAGTTTCTGAGAATGCTTCTGTCTAGTTTTCATGGGAAGATATTTCCTTTTTCACCATAGGCCTGAAAGCGATCCAAATGTCCACATCCAGATACTACAAAAAGAGTGTTTCAAACCTGCTCTATGAAAGGGAATGTTCAACTCTGTGACTTGAATGCAAACATCACAAAGAAGTTTCTGAGAATGCTGCTGTCTGCTTTTTGTATGTAATCCCGTTTCCAACGAAATCCTCCCAGCTAGCCAAATATCCACTTGCAGATTCCGCAAAAAGAGTGTTTCAAAACTGCTCCTTCAAAACGATGGTTTAGTTCTGTTAGTTGAGTACATACATCACAGATAAGTTTCTGAGAATGCTCTGTCTAGTTTTTATGGGAGGATATTTCCTTTTTCAACACAAGCCTGAATGCGCTCCGAATGGACACTTCCAGATATGACAAAAGGCGTGTTTCAAACCTGCTCTCTCAAAGGGAATGTTCAACTCTGTGACTTCAATGCAAACATCACAAAGAAGTTTCTGAGAATGCTGGCTGTCTGCTTTTTACATGTATTCCCGTTTCCAACGATATCCTCAAAGCTGTCCTAATATCCACTTGCATATTCCACAAAAAGAGTGTTGCAAAACTGCTCTCTCAAAAGAAAGGTTCAACTCTGTTAGCTGAGTAGATCCATCACATAAAAGTTTCTGACGTTGCTTCTATCTAGATTTTCTTGGAAGATATTTCCATTTTCACCGTCGTCCTGAAAGCGCTCCAAATGTCCACTTCCAGGGAATGCAGAAAGAGTGTTTCCAACCTGCTCTATAAAAGGGAATGTTCAACACTGGGACTTCAATCGAAACATCCCAACGAAGTTTCTGAGAATGCTTCTGTCTAGAGTTTATATGAAGCCATTCCCGTTTGCAACGAAATCCTCAAAGCTATCCAAATATCCTCTTGCAGATTTTACAAAAAGAGTGTTTCAAAACTGCTCTATCAAAAGAAAGGTTCAACTCTGTTAGTTGAGGGCACACATCACAAATAAACTTCTGAGAATGCTTCTGTCTAGTTTTTACGGGAAGATATTTCCTTTTTCACCATACGCCTGAAAGCGCTCCAAATGTCCTCATCCAGATACTACAAAAAGAGTGTTTCCAACCTGCTCTATGAAAGGGAATGCTCAACTCTGTGAATTGAATGCAGACATCACAAAGAAGTTTCTGAGAATGCTGCTGTCTCCTTTGTATATGTAATCCCATTTCCAACGAAATCCTCAAAGCTAGCCAAATATCCACTTGCAGATTCCACGAAAACAGTGTTTCAAAACTGCTCCTTCAAAACGATGGTTCAATCCTGTTAGTTGAGCAAACACATCACAAATAAGTTTCTGAGAATGCTTCCGTCTAGTTTTTATGGGAAGATATTTCCTTTTTCAACATAGGCCTGAAAGCGCTCCAAATGTCCACTTCCAGATACTACAAAAAGAGTGTTTCAAATCTGCTCTATGAATGGGAATGTTCTACTCTGTGACTTGAATGCAACATCCCAAAGAAGTTTCTGAGAATGCTTCTGTCTAGAGTTTATCTGAAGACATACCCGTTTCCAACGAAATCCTCCAAGCTATCCAAATATCCTCTTGCAGATTCTACAAAAAGAGTGTTTCAAAGCTGCTCTTTGCAAAGAAAGGTTCAACTCTGTCAGTAGAGGGGACACATCAAGAACAAGTTTCTGAGAATGCTTCTGTCTAGTTTTTATGGGAAGATATTTCCTTTTTCACGTTACGCCTGAAAGCACGCCAAATGTTCACTTATAGACACTACAAAAAGAGTGTTTCAAACCTGCTCTGTGAAAGGGAATGTTCAACACTGTGACTTCAATTGAAACATCCCAAAGAAGTTTCTGAGAATGCTTCTGTCTAGAGTTTATCTGAAGACATTCCCGTTTCCCAAGAAATCCTCAAAGCTATCCAAATATCCTCTTGCTGATTCTACAAAAAGAGTGTTTCAAAACTGCTCTTTGCAAAGAAAGGTTCAACTCTGTCAGTAGAGGGCACACATCACAAACAAGTTTCTGAGAATGCTTCTGTCTAGTTTTTATGGGAAGATATTTCCTTTTTCACCTTAGGCCTGAAAGCACGCCAAATGTTCACTTATAGACACTACAAAAAGAGTGTTTCAAACCTGCTCTGTGAAAGGGAGTGTTCAATTCTGTGACTTGAATGCAAACATCACAAAGTAGTTTCTGACAATGCTGCTGTCTGCTTTTTATACGTATTCCCGTTTCCAACGAAATCCTCCAAGCTGGCCTAATACCCACTTGCATATTCCACAAAAAGAGTGTTTCAAAACTGCTCTCTCAAAAGAAAGGTTCAACTCTGTTTGCTGAGTAGATACATCATGAAAAAAGTTCTGACATTGCTTCTATCTAGTTTTTATTGGAAGATATCTCCTTTTTCACCGTAGACCTGAAAGCGCTCCAAATGTCCACTTCCAGATAGTACAAAAAGAGTGTTTCAAACCTGCTCTATGAATGGGAATGTTCAACACTGGGACTTCAATTGAAACATCCCAAAGCAGTTTCTGAGAATGCTTCTGTGTAGAGTTTACATGAAGACATTCCCGTTTCCAACGAAATCCTCAAAGCTATCCAAATATCCTCTTGCAGATTTTACAAAAAGTGTGTTTCAGAACTGCTCTATCAAAACAAAGGTTCAACACTGTCAGTTGAGGGCACACATCACAAATAAGTTTCTGAGAATGCTTCTGTCTAGTTTTCATGGGAAGATATTTCCTTTTTCACCATAGGCCTGAAAGCGATCCAAATGTCCACATCCAGATACTACAAAAAGAGTGTTTCAAACCTGCTCTATGAAAGGGAATGTTCAACTCTGTGACTTGAATGCAAACATCACAAAGAAGTTTCTGAGAATGCTGCTGTCTGCTTTTTGTATGTAATCCCGTTTCCAACGAAATCCTCCCAGCTAGCCAAATATCCACTTGCAGATTCCGCAAAAAGAGTGTTTCAAAACTGCTCCTTCAAAAGGATGGTTTAGTTCTGTTAGTTGAGTACATACATCACAGATAAGTTTCTGAGAATGCTTCTGTCTAGTTTTTATGGGAGGATATTTCCTTTTTCAACACAAGCCTGAATGCGCTCCGAATGGACACTTCCAGATATGACAAAAGGCGTGTTTCAAACCTGCTCTCTCAAAGGGAATGTTCAACTCTGTGACTTCAATGCAAACATCACAAAGAAGTTTCTGAGAATGCTGCTGTCTGCTTTTTACATGTATTCCCGTTTCCAACGAAATCCTCAAAGCTGCCCTAATATCCACTTGCATATTCCACAAAAAGAGTGTTGCAAAACTGCTCTCTCAAAAGAAAGGTTCAACTCTGTTAGCTGAGTAGATCCATCACATAAAAGTTTCTGACGTTGCTTCTATCTAGATTTTCTTGGAAGATATTTCCATTTTCACCGTCGTCCTGAAAGCGCTCCAAATGTCCACTTCCAGGGAATGCAGAAAGAGTGTTTCCAACCTGCTCTATAAAAGGGAATGTTCAACACTGGGACTTCAATCGAAACATCCCAACGAAGTTTCTGAGAATGCTTCTGTCTAGAGTTTATATGAAGCCATTCCCGTTTGCAACGAAATCCTCAAAGCTATCCAAATATCCTCTTGCAGATTTTACAAAAAGAGTGTTTCAAAACTGCTCTATCAAAAGAAAGTTTCAACTCTGTTAGTTGAGGGCACACATCAGAAATAAACTTCTGAGAATGCTTCTGTCTAGTTTTTACGGGAAGATATTTCCTTTTTCACCATACGCCTGAAAGCGCTCCAAATGTCCTCATCCAGATACTACAAAAAGAGTGTTTCCAACCTGCTCTATGAAAGGGAATGCTCAACTCTGTGAATTGAATGCAGACATCACAAAGAAGTTTCTGAGAATGCTGCTGTCTCCTTTTTATATGTAATCCCGTTTCCAACGAAATCCTCAAAGCTAGCCAAATATCCACTTGCAGATTCCACGAAAACAGTGTTTCAAAACTGCTCCTTCAAAACGATGGTTCAATTCTGTTAGTTGAGAAAACACATCACAAGTAAGTTTCTGAGAATGCTTCCGTCTAGTTTTTATGGGAAGATATTTCCTTTTTCAACATAGGCCTGAAAGCGCTCCAAATGTCCACTTCCAGATACTACAAAAAGAGTGTTTCAAATCTGCTCTATGAATGGGAATGTTCTACTCTGTGACTTGAATGCAACATCCCAAAGAAGTTTCTGAGAATGCTTCTGTCTAGAGTTTATCTGAAGACATACCCGTTTCCAACGAAATCCTCAAAGCTATCCAAATATCCTCTTGCAGATTCTACAAAAAGTGTGTTTCAAAGCTGCTCTTTGCAAAGAAAGGTTCAACTCTATCAGTAGAGGGCACACATCACGAACAAGTTTCTGAGAATGCTTCTGTCTAGTTTTTATGGGAAGATATTTCCTTTTTCACGTTAGGCCTGAAAGCACGCCAAATGTTCACTTATAGACACTACAAAAAGAGTGTTTCAAACCTGCTCTGTGAAAGGGAATGTTCAACACTGTGACTTCAATTGAAACATCCCAAAGAAGTTTCTGAGAATGCTTCTGTCTAGAGTTTATCTGAAGACATTCCCGTTTCCCAAGAAATCCTCAAAGCTATCCAAATATCCTCTTGCAGATTCTACAAAAAGAGTGTTTCAAAACTGCTCTTTGCAAAGAAAGGTTCAACTCTGTCAGTAGAGGGCACACATCACAAACAAGTTTCTGAGAATGCTTCTGTCTAGTTTTTATGGGAAGATATTTCCTTTTTCACCTTAGGCCTGAAAGCAATCCAAATGTTCACTTACAGACACTACAAAAAGAGTGTTTCAAACCTGTTCTGTGAAAGGGAGTGTTCAATTCTGTGACTTGAATGTAAACATCACAAAGTAGTTTCTGACAATGCTGCTGTCTGCTTTTTATACGTATTCCCGTTTCCAACGAAATCCTCCAAGCTGGCCTAATACCCACTTGCATATTCCACAAAAAGAGTGTTTCAAAACTGCTCTCTCAAAAGAAAGGTTCAACTCTGTTTGCTGAGTAGATACATCATGAAAAAAGTTCTGACATTGCTTCTATCTAGTTTTTATTGGAAGATATCTCCTTTTTCACCGTAGACCTGAAAGCGCTCCAAATGTCCACTTCCAGATAGTACAAAAAGAGTGTTTCAAACCTGCTCTATGAAAGGGAATGTTCAACACTGGGACTTCAATTGAAACATCCCAAAGCAGTTTCTGAGAATGCTTCTGTCTAGAGTTTACATGAAGACATTCCCGTTTCCAACGAAATCCTCAAAGCTATCCAAATATCCTCTTGCAGATTTTACAAAAGGTGTGTTTCAGAACTGCTCTATCAAAACAAAGGTTCAACACTGTCAGTTGAGGGCACACCTCACAAATAAGTTTCTGAGAATGCTTCTGTCTAGTTTTCATGGGAAGATATTTCCTTTTTCACCATAGGCCTGAAAGCGATCCAAATGTCCACATCCAGATACTACAAAAAGAGTGTTTCAAACCTGCTCTATGAAAGGGAATGTTCAACTCTGTGACTTGAATGCAAACATCACAAAGAAGTTTCTGAGAATGCTGCTGTCTGCTTTTTGTATGTAATCCCGTTTCCAACGAAATCCTCCCAGCTAGCCAAATATCCACTTGCAGATTCCGCAAAAAGAGTGTTTCAAAACTGCTCCTTCAAAACGATGGTTTAGTTCTGTTAGTTGAGTACATACATCACAGATAAGTTTCTGAGAATGCTTCTGTCTAGTTTTTATGGGAGGATATTTCCTTTTTCAACACAAGCCTGAATGCGCTCCGAATGGACACTTCCAGATATGACAAAAGGCGTGTTTCAAACCTGCTCTCTCAAAGGGAATGTTCAACTCTGTGACTTCAATGCAAACATCACAAAGAAGTTTCTGAGAATGCTGCTGTCTGCTTTTTACATGTATTCCCGTTTCCAACGAAATCCTCAAAGCTGCCCTAATATCCACTTGCATATTCCACAAAAAGAGTGTTGCAAAACTGCTCTCTCAAAAGAAAGGTTCAACTCTGTTAGCTGAGTAGATCCATCACATAAAAGTTTCTGACATTGCTTCTATCTAGATTTTCTTGGAAGATATTTCCATTTTCACCGTCGTCCTGAAAGCGCTCCAAATGTCCACTTCCAGGGAATGCAGAAAGAGTGTTTCCAACCTGCTCTATAAAAGGGAATGTTCAACACTGGGACTTCAATCGAAACATCCCAACGAAGTTTCTGAGAATGCTTCTGTCTAGAGTTTATATGAAGCCATTCCCGTTTGCAACGAAATCCTCAAAGCTATCCAAATATCCTCTTGCAGATTTTACAAAAAGAGTGTTTCAAAACTGCTCTATCAAAAGAAAGGTTCAACTCTGTTAGTTGAGGGCACACATCACAAATAAACTTCTGAGAATGCTTCTGTCTAGTTTTTACGGGAAGATATTTCCTTTTTCACCATACGCCTGAAAGCGCTCCAAATGTCCTCATCCAGATACTACAAAAAGAGTGTTTCCAACCTGCTCTATGAAAGGGAATGCCCAACTCTGTGAATTGAATGCAGACATCACAAAGAAGTTTCTGAGAATGCTGCTGTCTCCTTTTTATATGTAATCCCGTTTCCAACGAAATCCTCAAAGCTAGCCAAATATCCACTTGCAGATTCCACGAAAACAGTGTTTCAAAACTGCTCCTTCAAAACGATGGTTCAATCCTGTTAGTTGAGCAAACACATCACAAATAAGTTTCTGAGAATGCTTCCGTCTAGTTTTTATGGGAAGATATTTCCTTTTTCAACATAGGCCTGAAAGCGCTCCAAATGTCCACTTCCAGATACTACAAAAAGAGTGTTTCAAATCTGCTCTATGAATGGGAATGTTCTACTCTGTGACTTGAATGCAACATCCCAAAGAAGTTTCTGAGAATGCTTCTGTCTAGAGTTTATCTGAAGACATACCCGTTTCCAACGAAATCCTCCAAGCTATCCAAATATCCTCTTGCAGATTCTACAAAAAGAGTGTTTCAAAGCTGCTCTTTGCAAAGAAAGGTTCAACTCTGTCAGTAGAGGGCACACATCACGAACAAGTTTCTGAGAATGCTTCTGTCTAGTTTTTATGGGAAGATATTTCCTTTTTCACGTTAGGCCTGAAAACACGCCAAATGTTCACTTATAGACACTACAAAAAGAGTGTTTCAAACCTGCTCTGTGAAAGGGAATGTTCAACACTGTGACTTCAATTGAAACATCCCAAAGAAGTTTCTGAGAATGCTTCTGTCTAGAGTTTATCTGAAGACATTCCCGTTTCCCAAGAAATCCTCAAAGCTATCCAAATATCCTCTTGCAGATTCTACAAAAAGAGTGTTTCAAAACTGCTCTTTGCAAAGAAAGGTTCAACTCTGTCAGTAGAGGGCACACATCACAAACAAGTTTCTGAGAATGCTTCTGTCTAGTTTTTATGGGAAGATATTTCCTTTTTCACCTTAGGCCTGAAAGCAATCCAAATGTTCACTTACAGACACTACAAAAAGAGTGTTTCAAACCTGCTCTGTGAAAGGGAGTGTTCAATTCTGTGACTTGAATGCAAACATCACAAAGTAGTTTCTGACAATGCTGCTGTCTGCTTTTTATACGTATTCCCGTTTCCAACGAAATCCTCCAAGCTGGCCTAATACCCACTTGCATATTCCACAAAAAGAGTGTTTCAAAACTGCTCTCTCAAAAGAAAGGTTCAACTCTGTTTGCTGAGTAGATACATCATGAAAAAAGTTCTGACATTGCTTCTATCTAGTTTTTATTGGAAGATATCTCCTTTTTCACCGTAGACCTGAAAGCGCTCCAAATGTCCACTTCCAGATAGTACAAAAAGAGTGTTTCAAACCTGCTCTATGAAAGGGAATGTTCAACACTGGGACTTCAATTGAAACATCCCAAAGCAGTTTCTGAGAATGCTTCTGTCTAGAGTTTACATGAAGACATTCCCGTTTCCAACGAAATCCTCAAAGCTATCCAAATATCCTCTTGCAGATTTTACAAAAAGTGTGTTTCAGAACTGCTCTATCAAAACAAAGGTTCAACACTGTCAGTTGAGGGCACACATCACAAATAAGTTTCTGAGAATGCTTCTGTCTAGTTTTCATGGGAAGATATTTCCTTTTTCACCATAGGCCTGAAAGCGATCCAAATGTCCACATCCAGATACTACAAAAAGAGTGTTTCAAACCTGCTCTATGAAAGGGAATGTTCAACTCTGTGACTTGAATGCAAACATCACAAAGAAGTTTCTGAGAATGCTGCTGTCTGCTTTTTGTATGTAATCCCGTTTCCAACGAAATCCTCCCAGCTAGCCAAATATCCACTTGCAGATTCCGCAAAAAGAGTGTTTCAAAACTGCTCCTTCAAAACGATGGTTTAGTTCTGTTAGTTGAGTACATACATCACAGATAAGTTTCTGAGAATGCTTCTGTCTAGTTTTTATGGGAGGATATTTCCTTTTTCAACACAAGCCTGAATGCGCTCCGAATGGACACTTCCAGATATGACAAAAGGCGTGTTTCAAACCTGCTCTCTCAAAGGGAATGTTCAACTGCTGTGACTTCAATGCAAACATCACAAAGAAGTTTCTGAGAATGCTGCTGTCTGCTTTTTACATGTATTCCCGTTTCCAACGAAATCCTCAAAGCTGCCCTAATATCCACTTGCATATTCCACAAAAAGAGTGTTGCAAAACTGCTCTCTCAAAAGAAAGGTTCAACTCTGTTAGCTGAGTAGATCCATCACATAAAAGTTTCTGACGTTGCTTCTATCTAGATTTTCTTGGAAGATATTTCCATTTTCACCGTCGTCCTGAAAGCGCTCCAAATGTCCACTTCCAGGGAATGCAGAAAGAGTGTTTCCAACCTGCTCTATAAAAGGGAATGTTCAACACTGGGACTTCAATCGAAACATCCCAACGAAGTTTCTGAGAATGCTTCTGTCTAGAGTTTATATGAAGCCATTCCCGTTTGCAACGAAATCCTCAAAGCTATCCAAATATCCTCTTGCAGATTTTACAAAAAGAGTGTTTCAAAACTGCTCTATCAAAAGAAAGGTTCAACTCTGTTAGTTGAGGGCACACATCACAAATAAACTTCTGAGAATGCTTCTGTCTAGTTTTTACGGGAAGATATTTCCTTTTTCACCATACGCCTGAAAGCGCTCCAAATGTCCTCATCCAGATACTACAAAAAGAGTGTTTCCAACCTGCTCTATGAAAGGGAATGCTCAACTCTGTGAATTGAATGCAGACATCACAAAGAAGTTTCTGAGAATGCTGCTGTCTCCTTTGTATATGTAATCCCGTTTCCAACGAAATCCTCAAAGCTAGCCAAATATCCACTTGCAGATTCCACGAAAACAGTGTTTCAAAACTGCTCCTTCAAAACGATGGTTCAATCCTGTTAGTTGAGCAAACACATCACAAATAAGTTTCTGAGAATGCTTCCGTCTAGTTTTTATGGGAAGATATTTCCTTTTTCAACATAGGCCTGAAAGCGCTCCAAATGTCCACTTCCAGATACTACAAAAAGAGTGTTTCAAATCTGCTCTATGAATGGGAATGTTCTACTCTGTGACTTGAATGCAACATCCCAAAGAAGTTTCTGAGAATGCTTCTGTCTAGAGTTTATCTGAAGACATACCCGTTTCCAACGAAATCCTCAAAGCTATCCAAATATCCTCTTGCAGATTCTACCAAAAGAGTGTTTCAAAGCTGCTCTTTGCAAAGAAAGGTTCAACTCTGTCAGTAGAGGGCACACATCATGAACAAGTTTCTGAGAATGCTTCTGTCTAGTTTTTATGGGAAGATATTTCCTTTTTCACGTTAGGCCTGAAAGCACGCCAAATGTTCACTTATAGACACTACAAAAAGAGTGTTTCAAACCTGCTCTGTGAAAGGGAATGTTCAACACTGTGACTTCAATTGAAACATCCCAAAGAAGTTTCTGAGAATGCTTCTGTCTAGAGTTTATCTGAAGACATTCCCGTTTCCCAAGAAATCCTCAAAGCTATCCAAATATCCTCTTGCAGATTCTACAAAAAGAGTGTTTCAAAACTGCTCTTTGCAAAGAAAGGTTCAACTCTGTCAGTAGAGGGCACACATCACGAACAAGTTTCTGAGAATGCTTCTGTCTAGTTTTTATGGGAAGATATTTCCTTTTTCACGTTACGCCTGAAAGCACGCCAAATGTTCACTTATAGACACTACAAAAAGAGAGTTTCAAACCTGCTCTGTGAAAGGGAGTGTTCAATTCTGTGACTTGAATGCAAACATCACAAAGTAGTTTCTGACAATGCTGCTGTCTGCTTTTTATACGTATTCCCGTTTCCAACGAAATCCTCCAAGCTGGCCTAATACCCACTTGCATATTCCACAAAAATAGTGTTTCAAAACTGCTCCCTCAAAAGAAAGGTTCAACTCTGTTTGCTGAGTAGATACATCATGAAAAAAGTTCTGACATTGCTTCTATCTAGTTTTTATTGGAAGATATCTCCTTTTTCACCGTAGACCTGAAAGCGCTCCAAATGTCCACTTCCAGATAGTACAAAAAGAGTGTTTCAAACCTGCTCTATGAAAGGGAATGTTCAACACTGGGACTTCAATTGAAACATCCCAAAGCAGTTTCTGAGAATGCTTCTGTCTAGAGTTTACATGAAGACATTCCCGTTTCCAACGAAATCCTCAAAGCTATCCAAATATCCTCTTGCAGATTTTACAAAAAGTGTGTTTCAGAACTGCTCTATCAAAACAAAGGTTCAACACTGTCAGTTGAGGGCACACATCACAAATAAGTTTCTGAGAATGCTTCTGTCTAGTTTTCATGGGAAGATATTTCCTTTTTCACCATAGGCCTGAAAGCGATCCAAATGTCCACATCCAGATACTACAAAAAGAGTGTTTCAAACCTGCTCTATGAAAGGGAATGTTCAACTCTGTGACTTGAATGCAAACATCACAAAGAAGTTTCTGAGAATGCTGCTGTCTGCTTTTTGTATGTAATCCCGTTTCCAACGAAATCCTCCCAGCTAGCCAAATATCCACTTGCAGATTCCGCAAAAAGAGTGTTTCAAAACTGCTCCTTCAAAACGATGGTTTAGTTCTGTTAGTTGAGTACATACATCACAGATAAGTTTCTGAGAATGCTTCTGTCTAGTTTTTATGGGAGGATATTTCCTTTTTCAACACAAGCCTGAATGCGCTCCGAATGGACACTTCCAGATATGACAAAAGGCGTGTTTCAAACCTGCTCTCTCAAAGGGAATGTTCAACTGCTGTGACTTCAATGCAAACATCACAAAGAAGTTTCTGAGAATGCTGCTGTCTGCTTTTTACATGTATTCCCGTTTCCAACGAAATCCTCAAAGCTGCCCTAATATCCACTTGCATATTCCACAAAAAGAGTGTTGCAAAACTGCTCTCTCAAAAGAAAGGTTCAACTCTGTTAGCTGAGTAGATCCATCACATAAAAGTTTCTGACATTGCTTCTATCTAGATTTTCTTGGAAGATATTTCCATTTTCACCGTCGTCCTGAAAGCGCTCCAAATGTCCACTTCCAGGGAATGCAGAAAGAGTGTTTCCAACCTGCTCTATAAAAGGGAATGTTCAACACTGGGACTTCAATCGAAACATCCCAACGAAGTTTCTGAGAATGCTTCTGTCTAGAGTTTATATGAAGCCATTCCCGTTTGCAACGAAATCCTCAAAGCTATCCAAATATCCTCTTGCAGATTTTACAAAAAGAGTGTTTCAAAACTGCTCTATCAAAAGAAAGGTTCAACTCTGTTAGCTGAGGGCACACATCACAAATAAACTTCTGAGAATGCTTCTGTCTAGTTTTTACGGGAAGATATTTCCTTTTTCACCATACGCCTGAAAGCGCTCCAAATGTCCTCATCCAGATACTACAAAAAGAGTGTTTCCAACCTGCTCTATGAAAGGGAATGCTCAACTCTGTGAATTGAATGCAGACATCACAAAGAAGTTTCTGAGAATGCTGCTGTCTCCTTTTTATATGTAATCCCGTTTCCAACGAAATCCTCAAAGCTAGCCAAATATCCACTTGCAGATTCCACGAAAACAGTGTTTCAAAACTGCTCCTTCAAAACGATGGTTCAATCCTGTTAGTTGAGCAAACACATCACAAATAAGTTTCTGAGAATGCTTCCGTCTAGTTTTTATGGGAAGATATTTCCTTTTTCAACATAGGCCTGAAAGCGCTCCAAATGTCCACTTCCAGATACTACAAAAAGAGTGTTTCAAATCTGCTCTATGAATGGGAATGTTCTACTCTGTGACTTGAATGCAACATCCCAAAGAAGTTTCTGAGAATGCTTCTGTCTAGAGTTTATCTGAAGACATACCCGTTTCCAACGAAATCCTCAAAGCTATCCAAATATCCTCTTGCAGATTCTACAAAAAGAGTGTTTCAAAGCTGCTCTTTGCAAAGAAAGGTTCAACTCTGTCAGTAGAGGGCACACATCACGAACAAGTTTCTGAGAATGCTTCTGTCTAGTTTTTATGGGAAGATATTTCCTTTTTCACGTTAGGCCTGAAAGCACGCCAAATGTTCACTTATAGACACTACAAAAAGAGTGTTTCAAACCTGCTCTGTGAAAGGGAATGTTGAACACTGTGACTTCAATTGAAATATCCCAAGAAGTTTCTGAAAATGCTTCTGTCTAGAGTTTATCTGAAGACATTCCCGTTTCCCAAGAAATCCTCAAAGCTATCCAAATATCCTCTTGCAGATTCTACAAAAAGAGTGTTTCAAAACTGCTCTTTGCAAAGAAAGGTTCAACTCTGTCAGTAGAGGGCACACATCACAAACAAGTTTCTGAGAATGCTTCTGTCTAGTTTTTATGGGAAGATATTTCCTTTTTCACCTTAGGCCTGAAAGCAATCCAAATGTTCACTTACAGACACTACAAAAAGAGTGTTTCAAACCTGCTCTGTGAAAGGGAGTGTTCAATTCTGTGACTTGAATGCAAACATCACAAAGTAGTTTCTGACAATGCTGCTGTCTGCTTTTTATACGTATTCCCGTTTCCAACGAAATCCTCCAAGCTGGCCTAATACCCACTTGCATATTCCACAAAAGGAGTGTTTCAAAACTGCTCTCTCAAAAGAAAGGTTCAACTCTGTTTGCTGAGTAGATACATCATGAAAAAAGTTCTGACATTGCTTCTATCTAGTTTTTATTGGAAGATATCTCCTTTTTCACCGTAGACCTGAAAGCGCTCCAAATGTCCACTTCCAGATAGTACAAAAAGAGTGTTTCAAACCTGCTCTATGAAAGGGAATGTTCAACACTGGGACTTCAATTGAAACATCCCAAAGCAGTTTCTGAGAATGCTTCTGTCCAGAGTTTACATGAAGACATTCCCGTTTCCCAAGAAATCCTCAAAGCTATCCAAATATCCTCTTGCAGATTCTACAAAAAGAGTGTTTCAGAACTGCTCTTTGCAAAGAAAGGTTCAACTCTGTCAGTAGAGGGCACACATCACAAACAAGTTTCTGAGAATGCTTCTGTCTAGTTTTCATGGGAAGATATTTCCTTTTTCACCATAGGCCTGAAAGCGATCCAAATGTCCACATCCAGATACTACAAAAAGAGTGTTTCAAACCTGCTCTATGAAAGGGAATGTTCAACTCTGTGACTTGAATGCAAACATCACAAAGAAGTTTCTGAGAATGCTGCTCTCTGCTTTTTGTATGTCATCCCGTTTCCAACGAAATCCTCCAAGCTAGCCAAATATCCACTTGCATATTCCGCAAAAAGAGTGTTTCAAAACTGCTCCTTCAAAACGATGGTTTAGTTCTGTTAGTTGAGTACATACATCACAGATAAGTTTCTGAGAATGCTTCTGTCTAGTTTTTATGGGAGGATATTTCCTTTTTCAACACAAGCCTGAATGCGCTCCGAATGGACACTTCCAGATATGACAAAAGGCGTGTTTCAAACCTGCTCTCTCAAAGGGAATGTTCAACTCTGTGACTTCAATGCAAACATCACAAAGAAGTTTCTGAGAATGCTGCTGTCTGCTTTTTACATGTATTCCCGTTTCCAACGAAATCCTCAAAGCTGCCCTAATATCCACTTGCATATTCCACAAAAAGAGTGTTGCAAAACTGCTCTCTCAAAAGAAAGGTTCAACTCTGTTAGCTGAGTAGATCCATCACATAAAAGTTTCTGACATTGCTTCTATCTAGATTTTCTTGGAAGATATTTCCATTTTCACCGTCGTCCTGAAAGCGCTCCAAATGTCCACTTCCAGGGAATGCAGAAAGAGTGTTTCCAACCTGCTCTATAAAAGGGAATGTTCAACACTGGGACTTCAATCGAAACATCCCAACGAAGTTTCTGAGAATGCTTCTGTCTAGAGTTTATATGAAGCCATTCCCGTTTGCAACGAAATCCTCAAAGCTATCCAAATATCCTCTTGCAGATTTTACAAAAAGAGTGTTTCAAAACTGCTCTATCAAAAGAAAGGTTCAACTCTGTTAGTTGAGGGCACACATCACAAATAAATTTCTGAGAATGCTTCTGTCTAGTTTTTACGGGAAGATATTTCTTTTTTCACCATAGGCCTGAAAGCGCTCCAAATGTCCTCATCCAGATACTACAAAAAGAGTGTTTCCAACCTGCTCTATGAAAGGGAATGCTCAACTCTGTGACTTGAATGCAGACATCACAAAGAAGTTTCTGAGAATGCTGCTGTCTCCTTTTTATATGTAATCCCGTTTCCAACGAAATCCTCAAAGCTAGCCAAATATCCACTTGCAGATTCCACGAAAACAGTGTTTCAAAACTGCTCCTTCAAAACGATGGTTCAATCCTGTTAGTTGAGCAAACACATCACAAATAAGTTTCTGAGAATGCTTCCGTCTAGTTTTTATGGGAAGATATTTCCTTTTTCAACATAGGCCTGAAAGCGCTCCAAATGTCCACTTCCAGATACTACAAAAAGAGTGTTTCAAATCTGCTCTATGAATGGGAATGTTCTACTCTGTGACTTGAATGCAACATCCCAAAGAAGTTTCTGAGAATGCTTCTGTCTAGAGTTTATCTGAAGACATACCCGTTTCCAACGAAATCCTCCAAGCTATCCAAATATCCTCTTGCAGATTCTACAAAAAGAGTGTTTCAAAGCTGCTCTTTGCAAAGAAAGGTTCAACTCTGTCAGTAGAGGGCACACATCACAAACAAGTTTCTGAGAATGCTTCTGTCTAGTTTTTATGGGAAGATATTTCCTTTTTCACGTTAGGCCTGAAAGCACGCCAAATGTTCACTTATAGACACTACAAAAAGAGTGTTTCAAACCTGCTCTGTGAAAGGGAATGTTCAACACTGTGACTTCAATTGAAACATCCCAAAGAAGTTTCTGAGAATGCTTCTGTCTAGAGTTTATCTGAAGACATTCCCGTTTCCCAAGAAATCCTCAAAGCTATCCAAATATCCTCTTGCAGATTCTACAAAAAGAGTGTTTCAAAACTGCTCTTTGCAAAGAAAGGTTCAACTCTGTCAGTAGAGGGCACACATCACAAACTACTTTCTGAGAATGCTTCTGTCTAGTTTTTATGGGAAGATATTTCCTTTTTCACCTTAGGCCTGAAAGCAATCCAAATGTTCACTTACAGACACTACAAAAAGAGTGTTTCAAACCTGCTCTGTGAAAGGGAGTGTTCAATTCTGTGACTTGAATGCAAACATCACAAAGTAGTTTCTGACAATGCTGCTGTCTGCTTTTTATACGTATTCCCGTTTCCAACGAAATCCTCCAAGCTGGCCTAATACCCACTTGCATATTCCACAAAAAGAGTGTTTCAAAACTGCTCTCTCAAAAGAAAGCTTCAACTCTGTTTGCTGAGTAGATACATCATGAAAAAAGTTCTGACATTGCTTCTATCTAGTTTTTATTGGAAGATATCTCCCTTTTCACCGTAGACCTGAAAGCGCTCCAAATGTCCACTTCCAGATACTACAAAAAGAGTGTTTCAAACCTGCTCTATGAAAGGGAATGTTCAACACTGGGACTTCAATTGAAACATCCCAAAGCAGTTTCTGAGAATGCTTCTGTCTAGAGTTTACATGAAGACATTCCCGTTTCCAACGAAATCCTCAAAGCTATCCAAATATCCTCTTGCAGATTTTACAAAAAGTGTGTTTCAGAACTGCTCTATCAAAACAAAGGTTCAACACTGTCAGTTGAGGGCACACATCACAAATAAGTTTCTGAGAATGCTTCTGTCTAGTTTTCATGGGAAGATATTTCCTTTTTCACCATAGGCCTGAAAGCGATCCAAATGTCCACATCCAGATACTACAAAAAGAGTGTTTCAAACCTGCTCTATGAAAGGGAATGTTCAACTCTGCGACTTGAATGCAAACATCACAAAGAAGTTTCTGAGAATGCTGCTGTCTGCTTTTTGTATGTAATCCCGTTTCCAACGGAAATCCTCCCAGCTAGCCAAATATCCACTTGCAGATTCCGCAAAAAGAGTGTTTCAAAACTGCTCCTTCAAAACGATGGTTTAGTTCTGTTAGTTGAGTACATACATCACAGATAAGTTTCTGAGAATGCTTCTGTCTAGTTTTTATGGGAGGATATTTCCTTTTTCAACACAAGCCTGAATGCGCTCCGAATGGACACTTCCAGATATGACAAAAGGCGTGTTTCAAACCTGCTCTCTCAAAGGGAATGTTCAACTCTGTGACTTCAATGCAAACATCACAAAGAAGTTTCTGAGAATGCTGCTGTCTGCTTTTTACATGTATTCCCGTTTCCAACGAAATCCTCAAAGCTGCCCTAATATCCACTTGCATATTCCACAAAAAGAGTGTTGCAAAACTGCTCTCTCAAAAGAAAGGTTCAACTCTGTTAGCTGAGTAGATCCATCACATAAAAGTTTCTGACGTTGCTTCTATCTAGATTTTCTTGGAAGATATTTCCATTTTCACCGTCGTCCTGAAAGCGCTCCAAATGTCCACTTCCAGGGAATGCAGAAAGAGTGTTTCCAACCTGCTCTATAAAAGGGAATGTTCAACACTGGGACTTCAATCGAAACATCCCAACGAAGTTTCTGAGAATGCTTCTGTCTAGAGTTTATATGAAGCCATTCCCGTTTGCAATGAAATCCTCAAAGCTATCCAAATATCCTCTTGCAGATTTTACAAAAAGAGTGTTTCAAAACTGCTCTATCAAAAGAAAGGTTCAACTCTGTTAGTTGAGGGCACACATCACAAATAAATTTCTGAGAATGCTTCTGTCTAGTTTTTACGGGAAGATATTTCCTTTTTCACCATACGCCTGAAAGCGCTCCAAATGTCCTCATCCAGATACTACAAAAAGAGTGTTTCCAACCTGCTCTATGAAAGGGAATGCTCAACTCTGTGACTTGAATGCAGACATCACAAAGAAGTTTCTGAGAATGCTGCTGTCTCCTTTTTATATGTAATCCCGTTTCCAACGAAATCCTCAAAGCTAGCCAAATATCCACTTGCAGATTCCACGAAAACAGTGTTTCAAAACTGCTCCTTCAAAACGATGGTTCAATTCTGTTAGTTGAGCAAACACATCACAAGTAAGTTTCTGAGAATGCTTCCGTCTAGTTTTTATGGGAAGATATTTCCTTTTTCAACATAGGCCTGAAAGCGCTCCAAATGTCCACTTCCAGATACTACAAAAAGAGTGTTTCAAATCTGCTCTATGAATGGGAATGTTCTACTCTGTGACTTGAATGCAACATCCCAAAGAAGTTTCTGAGAATGCTTCTGTCTAGAGTTTATCTGAAGACATACCCGTTTCCAACGAAATCCTCAAAGCTATCCAAATATCCTCTTGCAGATTCTACAAAAAGAGTGTTTCAAAGCTGCTCTTTGCAAAGAAAGGTTCAACTCTGTCAGTAGAGGGCACACATCACGAACAAGTTTCTGAGAATGCTTCTGTCTAGTTTTTATGGGAAGATATTTCCTTTTTCACGTTAGGCCTGAAAGCACGCCAAATGTTCAATTATAGACACTACAAAAAGAGTGTTTCAAACCTGCTCTGTGAAAGGGAATGTTCAACACTGTGACTTCAATTGAAACATCCCAAAGAAGTTTCTGAGAATGCTTCTGTCTAGAGTTTATCTGAAGACATTCCCGTTTCCCAAGAAATCCTCAAAGCTATCCAAATATCCTCTTGCAGATTCTACAAAAAGAGTGTTTCAAAACTGCTCTTTGCAAAGAAAGGTTCAACTCTGTCAGTAGAGGGCACACATCACAAACAAGTTTCTGAGAATGCTTCTGTCTAGTTTTTATGGGAAGATATTTCCTTTTTCACCTTAGGCCTGAAAGCAATCCAAATGTTCACTTACAGACACTACAAAAAGAGTGTTTCAAACCTGCTCTGTGAAAGGGAGTGTTCAGTTCTGTGACTTGAATGCAAACATCACAAAGTAGTTTCTGACAATGCTGCTGTCTGCTTTTTATACGTATTCCCGTTTCCAACGAAATCCTCCAAGCTGGCCTAATACCCACTTTCATATTCCACAAAAAGAGTGTTTCAAAACTGCTCTCTCAAAAGAAAGGTTCAACTCTGTTTGCTGAGTAGATACATCATGAAAAAAGTTCTGACATTGCTTCTATCTAGTTTTTATTGGAAGATATCTCCTTTTTCACCGTAGACCTGAAAGCGCTCCAAATGTCCACTTCCAGATAGTACAAAAAGAGTGTTTCAAACCTGCTCTATGAATGGGAATGTTCAACACTGGGACTTCAATTGAAACATCCCAAAGCAGTTTCTGAGAATGCTTCTGTCTAGAGTTTACATGAAGACATTCCCGTTTCCAACGAAATCCTCAAACCTATCCAAATATCCTCTTGCAGATTTTACAAAAATTGTGTTTCAGAACTGCTCTATCAAAACAAAGGTTCAACACTGTCAGTTGAGTGCACACATCACAAATAAGTTTCTGAGAATGCTTCTGTCTAGTTTTCATGGGAAGATATTTCCTTTTTCACCATAGGCCTGAAAGCGATCCAAATGTCCACATCCAGATACTACAAAAAGAGTGTTTCCAACCTGCTCTATGAAAGGGAATGCTCAACTCTGTGAATTGAATGCAGACATCACAAAGAAGTTTCTGAGAATGCTGCTGTCTCCTTTTTATATGTAATCCCGTTTCCAACGAAATCCTCAAAGCTAGCCAAATATCCACTTGCAGATTCCACGAAAACAGTGTTTCAAAACTGCTCCTTCAAAACGATGGTTCAATCCTGTTAGTTGAGCAAACACATCACAAATAAGTTTCTGAGAATGCTTCCGTCTAGTTTTTATGGGAAGATATTTCCTTTTTCAACATAGGCCTGAAAGCGCTCCAAATGTCCACTTCCAGATACTACAAAAAGAGTGTTTCAAATCTGCTCTATGAATGGGAATGTTCTACTCTGTGACTTGAATGCAACATCCCAAAGAAGTTTCTGAGAATGCTTCTGTCTAGAGTTTATCTGAAGACATACCCGTTTCCAACGAAATCCTCAAAGCTATTAAAATATCCTCTTGCAGATTCTACAAAAAGTGTGTTTCAAAGCTGCTCTTTGCAAAGAAAGGTTCAACTCTGTCAGTAGAGGGCACACATCACGAACAAGTTTCTGAGAATGCTTCTGTCTAGTTTTTATGGGAAGATATTTCCTTTTTCACGTTAGGCCTGAAAGCACGCCAAATGTTCACTTATAGACACTACAAAAAGAGTGTTTCAAACCTGCTCTGTGAAAGGGAATGTTCAACACTGTGACTTCAATTGAAACATCCCAAAGAAGTTTCTGAGAATGCTTCTGTCTAGAGTTTATCTGAAGACATTCCCGTTTCCCAAGAAATCCTCAAAGCTATCCAAATATCCTCTTGCAGATTCTACAAAAAGAGTGTTTCAAAACTGGTCTTTGCAAAGAAAGGTTCAACTCTGTCAGTAGAGGGCACACATCACAAACAAGTTTCTGAGAATGCTTCTGTCTAGTTTTTATGGGAAGATATTTCCTTTTTCACCTTAGGCCTGAAAGCAATCCATATGTTCACTTACAGACACTACAAAAAGAGTGTTTCAAACCTGCTCTGTGAAAGGGAGTGTTCAATTCTGTGACTTGAATGCAAACATCACAAAGTAGTTTCTGACAATGCTGCTGTCTGCTTTTTATACGTATTCCCGTTTCCAACGAAATCCTCCAAGCTGGCCTAATACCCACTTGCATATTCCACACAAAGAGTGTTTCAAAACTGCTCTCTCAAAAGAAAGGTTCAACTCTGTTAGCTGAGTAGATACATCATGAAAAAAGTTCTGACATTGCTTCTATCTAGTTTTTATTGGAAGATATCTCCTTTTTCACCGTAGACCTGAAAGCGCTCCAAATGTCCACTTCCAGATAGTACAAAAAGAGTGTTTCAAACCTGCTCTATGAATGGGAATGTTCAACACTGGGACTTCAATTGAAACATCCCAAAGCAGTTTCTGAGAATGCTTCTGTGTAGAGTTTACATGAAGACATTCCCGTTTCCAACGAAATCCTCAAAGCTATCCAAATATCCTCTTGCAGATTTTACAAAAAGTGTGTTTCAGAACTGCTCTATCAAAACAAAGGTTCAACACTGTCAGTTGAGGGCACACATCACAAATAAGTTTCTGAGAATGCTTCTGTCTAGTTTTCATGGGAAGATATTTCCTTTTTCACCATAGGCCTGAAAGCGATCCAAATGTCCACATCCAGATACTACAAAAAGAGTGTTTCAAACCTGCTCTATGAAAGGGAATGTTCAACTCTGTGACTTGAATGCAAACATCACAAAGAAGTTTCTGAGAATGCTGCTGTCTGCTTTTTGTATGTAATCCCGTTTCCAACGAAATCCTCCCAGCTAGCCAAATATCCACTTGCAGATTCCGCAAAAAGAGTGTTTCAAAACTGCTCCTTCAAAACGATGGTTTAGTTCTGTTAGTTGAGTACATACATCACAGATAAGTTTCTGAGAATGCTTCTGTCTAGTTTTTATGGGAGGATATTTCCTTTTTCAACACAAGCCTGAATGCGCTCCGAATGGACACTTCCAGATATGACAAAAGGCGTGTTTCAAACCTGCTCTCTCAAAGGGAATGTTCAACTCTGTGACTTCAATGCAAACATCACAAAGAAGTTTCTGAGAATGCTGCTGTCTGCTTTTTACATGTATTCCCGTTTCCAACGAAATCCTCAAAGCTGCCCTAATATCCACTTGCATATTCCACAAAAAGAGTGTTGCAAAACTGCTCTCTCAAAAGAAAGGTTCAACTCTGTTAGCTGAGTAGATCCATCACATAAAAGTTTCTGACATTGCTTCTATCTAGATTTTGCTTGGAAGATATTTCCATTTTCACCGTCGTCCTGAAAGCGCTCCAAATGTCCACTTCCAGGGAATGCAGAAAGAGTGTTTCCAACCTGCTCTATAAAAGGGAATGTTCAACACTGGGACTTCAATCGAAACATCCCAACGAAGTTTCTGAGAATGCTTCTGTCTAGAGTTTATATGAAGCCATTCCCGTTTGCAACGAAATCCTCAAAGCTATCCAAATATCCTCTTGCAGATTTTACAAAAAGAGTGTTTCAAAACTGCTCTATCAAAAGAAAGGTTCAACTCTGTTAGTTGAGGGCACACATCACAAATAAATTTCTGAGAATGCTTCTGTCTAGTTTTTACGGGAAGATATTTCCTTTTTCACCATACGCCTGAAAGCGCTCCAAATGTCCTCATCCAGATACTACAAAAAGAGTGTTTCCAACCGGCTCTATGAAAGGGAATGCTCAACTCTGTGAATTGAATGCAGACATCACAAAGAAGTTTCTGAGAATGCTGCTGTCTCCTTTTTATATGTAATCCCGTTTCCAACGAAATCCTCAAAGCTAGCCAAATATCCACTTGCAGATTCCACGAAAACAGTGTTTCAAAACTGCTCCTTCAAAACGATGGTTCAATTCTGTTAGTTGAGCAAACACATCACAAGTAAGTTTCTGAGAATGCTTCCGTCTAGTTTTTATGGGAAGATATTTCCTTTTTCAACATACGCCTGAAAGCGCTCCAAATGTCCACTTCCAGATACTACAAAAAGAGTGTTTCAAATCTGCTCTATGAATGGGAATGTTCTACTCTGTGACTTGAATGCAACATCCCAAAGAAGTTTCTGAGAATGCTTCTGTCTAGAGTTTATCTGAAGACATACCCGTTTCCAACGAAATCCTCAAAGCTATCCAAATATCCTCTTGCAGATTCTACAAAAAGAGTGTTTCAAAGCTGCTCTTTGCAAAGAAAGGTTCAACTCTGTCAGTAGAGGGCACACATCACGAACAAGTTTCTGAGAATGCTTCTGTCTAGTTTTTATGGGAAGATATTTCCTTTTTCACGTTAGGCCTGAAAGCACGCCAAATGTTCACTTATAGACACTACAAAAAGAGTGTTTCAAACCTGCTCTGTGAAAGGGAATGTTCAACACTGTGACTTCAATTGAAATATCCCAAAGAAGTTTCTGAGAATGCTTCTGTCTAGAGTTTATCTGAAGACATTCCCGTTTCCCAAGAAATCCTCAAAGCTATCCAAATATCCTCTTGCAGATTCTACAAAAAGAGTGTTTCAAAACTGCTCTTTGCAAAGAAAGGTTCAACTCTGTCAGTAGAGGGCACACATCACAAACAAGTTTCTGAGAATGCTTCTGTCTAGTTTTTATGGGCAAGATATTTCCTTTTTCACCTTAGGCCTGAAAGCAATCCATATGTTCACTTACAGACACTACAAAAAGAGTGTTTCAAACCTGCTCTGTGAAAGGGAGTGTTCAATTCTGTGACTTGAATGCAAACATCACAAAGTAGTTTCTGACAATGCTGCTGTCTGCTTTTTATACGTATTCCCGTTTCCAACGAAATCCTCCAAGCTGGCCTAATACCCACTTGCATATTCCACAAAAAGAGTGTTTCAAAACTGCTCTCTCAAAAGAAAGGTTCAACTCTGTTAGCTGAGTAGATACATCATGAAAAAAGTTCTGACATTGCTTCTATCTAGTTTTTATTGGAAGATATCTCCTTTTTCACCGTAGACCTGAAAGCGCTCCAAATGTCCACTTCCAGATAGTACAAAAAGAGTGTTTCAAACCTGCTCTATGAATGGGAATGTTCAACACTGGGACTTCAATTGAAACATCCCAAAGCAGTTTCTGAGAATGCTTCTGTCTAGAGTTTACATGAAGACACTCCCGTTTCCAACGAAATCCTCAGAGCTATCCAAATATCCTCTTGCAGATTTTACAAAAAGTGTGTTTCAGAACTGCTCTATCAAAACAAAGGTTCAACACTGTCAGTTGAGGGCACACATCACAAATAAGTTTCTGAAGAATGCTGCTGTCTGCTTTTTGTATGTAATCCCGTTTCCAACGAAATCCTCCCAGCTAGCCAAATATCCACTTGCAGATTCCGCAAAAAGAGTGTTTCAAAATTGCTCCTTCAAAACGATGGTTTAGTTCTGTTAGTTGAGTACATACATCACAGATAAGTTTCTGAGAATGCTTCTGTCTAGTTTTTATGGGAGGATATTTCCTTTTTCAACACAAGCCTGAATGCGCTCCGAATGGACACTTCCAGATATGACAAAAGGCGTGTTTCAAACCTGCTCTCTCAAAGGGAATGTTCAACTCTGTGACTTCAATGCAAACATCACAAAGAAGTTTCTGAGAATGCTGCTGTCTGCTTTTTACATGTATTCCCGTTTCCAACGAAATCCTCAAAGCTGCCCTAATATCCACTTGCATATTCCACAAAAAGAGTGTTGCAAAACTGCTCTCTCAAAAGAAAGGTTCAACTCTGTTAGCTGAGTAGATCCATCACATAAAAGTTTCTGACATTGCTTCTATCTAGATTTTCTTGGAAGATATTTCCATTTTCACCGTCGTCCTGAAAGCGCTCCAAATGTCCACTTCCAGGGAATGCAGAAAGAGTGTTTCCAACCTGCTCTATAAAAGGGAATGTTCAACACTGGGACTTCAATCGAAACATCCCAACGAAGTTTCTGAGAATGCTTCTGTCTAGAGTTTATATGAAGCCATTCCCGTTTGCAACGAAATCCTCAAAGCTATCCAAATATCCTCTTGCAGATTTTACAAAAAGAGTGTTTCAAAACTGCTCTATCAAAAGAAAGGTTCAACTCTGTTAGTTGAGGGCACACATCACAAATAAACTTCTGAGAATGCTTCTGTCTAGTTTTTACGGGAAGATATTTCCCTTTTCACCATACGCCTGAAAGCGCTCCAAATGTCCTCATCCAGATACTACAAAAAGAGTGTTTCCAACCTGCTCTATGAAAGGGAATGCTCAACTCTGTGAATTGAATGCAGACATCACAAAGAAGTTTCTGAGAATGCTGCTGTCTCCTTTTTATATGTAATCCCGTTTCCAACGAAATCCTGAAAGCTAGCCAAATATCCACTTGCAGATTCCACGAAAACAGTGTTTCAAAACTGCTCCTTCAAAACGATGGTTCAATCCTGTTAGTTGAGCAAACACATCACAATTAAGTTTCTGAGAATGCTTCCGTCTAGTTTTTATGGGAAGATATTTCCTTTTTCAACATAGGCCTGAAAGCGCTCCAAATGTCCACTTCCAGATACTACAAAAAGAGTGTTTCAAATCTGCTCTATGAATGGGAATGTTCTACTCTGTGACTTGCATGCAACATCCCAAAGAAGTTTCTGAGAATGCTTCTGTCTAGAGTTTATCTGAAGACATACCCGTTTCCAACGAAATCCTCCAAGCTATCCAAATATCCTCTTGCAGATTCTACAAAAAGTGTGTTTCAAAGCTGCTCTTTGCAAAGAAAGGTTCAACTCTGTCAGTAGAGGGCACACATCACGAACAAGTTTCTGAGAATGCTTCTGTCTAGTTTTTATGGGAAGATATTTCCTTTTTCACGTTACGCCTGAAAGCACGCCAAATGTTCACTTATAGACACTACAAAAAGAGTGTTTCAAACCTGCTCTGTGAAAGGGAATGTTCAACACTGTGACTTCAATTGAAACATCCCAAAGAAGTTTCTGAGAATGCTTCTGTCTAGAGTTTATCTGAAGACATTCCCGTTTCCCAAGAAATCCTCAAAGCTATCCAAATATCCTCTTGCAGATTCTACAAAAAGAGTGTTTCAAAACTGCTCTTTGCAAAGAAAGGTTCAACTCTGTCAGTAGAGGGCACACATCACAAACAAGTTTCTGAGAATGCTTCTGTCTAGTTTTTATGGGAAGATATTTCCTTTTTCACCTTAGGCCTGAAAGCAATCCAAATGTTCACTTACAGACACTACAAAAAGATTGTTTCAAACCTGCTCTCTGAAAGGGAGTGTTCAATACTGTGACTTGAATGCAAACATCACAAAGTAGTTTCTGACAATGCTGCTGTCTGCTTTTTATACGTATTCCCGTTTCCAACGAAATCCTCCAAGCTGGCCTAATACCCACTTGCATATTCCACAAAAAGAGTGTTTCAAAACTGCTCTCTCAAAAGAAAGGTTCAACTCTGTTTGCTGAGTAGATACATAATGAAAAAAGTTCTGACATTGCTTCTATCTAGTTTTTATTGGAAGATATCTCCTTTTTCACCGTAGACCTGAAAGCGCTCCAAATGTCCACTTCCAGATAGTACAAAAAGAGTGTTTCAAACCTGCTCTATGAAAGGGAATGTTCAACACTGGGACTTCAATTGAAACATCCCAAAGCAGTTTCTGAGAATGCTTCTGTCTAGAGTTTACATGAAGACATTCCCGTTTCCAACGAAATCCTCAAAGCTATCCAAATATCCTCTTGCAGATTTTACAAAAAGTGTGTTTCAGAACTGCTCTATCAAAACAAAGGTTCAACACTGTCAGTTGAGGGCACACATCACAAATAAGTTTCTGAGAATGCTTCTGTCTAGTTTTCATGGGAAGATATTTCCTTTTTCACCATAGGCCTGAAAGCGATCCAAATGTCCACATCCAGATACTACAAAAAGAGTGTTTCAAACCTGCTCTATGAAAGGGAATGTTCAACTCTGTGACTTGAATGCAAACATCACAAAGAAGTTTCTGAGAATGCTGCTCTCTGCTTTTTGTATGTAATCCCGTTTCCAACGAAATCCTCCCAGCTAGCCAAATATCCACTTGCAGATTCCGCAAAAAGAGTGTTTCAAAACTGCTCCTTCAAAACGATGGTTTAGTTCTGTTAGTTGAGTACATACATCACAGATAAGTTTCTGAGAATGCTTCTGTCTAGTTTTTATGGGAGGATATTTCCTTTTTCAACACAAGCCTGAATGCGCTCCGAATGGACACTTCCAGATATGACAAAAGGCGTGTTTCAAACCTGCTCTCTCAAAGGGAATGTTCAACTCTGTGACTTCAATGCAAACATCACAAAGAAGTTTCTGAGAATGCTGCTGTCTGCTTTTTACATGTATTCCCGTTTCCAACGAAATCCTCAAAGCTGCCCTAATATCCACTTGCATATTCCACAAAAAGAGTGTTGCAAAACTGCTCTCTCAAAAGAAAGGTTCAACTCTGTTAGCTGAGTAGATCCATCACATAAAAGTTTCTGACATTGCTTCTATCTAGATTTTCTTGGAAGATATTTCCATTTTCACCGTCGTCCTGAAAGCGCTCCAAATGTCCACTTCCAGGGAATGCAGAAAGAGTGTTTCCAACCTGCTCTATAAAAGGGAATGTTCAACACTGGGACTTCAATCGAAACATCCCAACGAAGTTTCTGAGAATGCTTCTGTCTAGAGTTTATATGAAGCCATTCCCGTTTGCAACGAAATCCTCAAAGCTATCCAAATATCCTCTTGCAGATTTTACAAAAAGAGTGTTTCAAAACTGCTCTATCAAAAGAAAGGTTCAACTCTGTTAGTTGAGGGCACACATCACAAATAAACTTCTGAGAATGCTTCTGTCTAGTTTTTACGGGAAGATATTTCCTTTTTCACCATACGCCTGAAAGCGCTCCAAATGTCCTCATCCAGATACTACAAAAAGAGTGTTTCCAACCTGCTCTATGAAAGGGAATGCTCAACTCTGTGAATTGAATGCAGACATCACAAAGAAGTTTCTGAGAATGCTGCTGTCTCCTTTTTATATGTAATCCCGTTTCCAACGAAATCCTCAAAGCTAGCCAAATATCCACTTGCAGATTCCACGAAAACAGTGTTTCAAAACTGCTCCTTCAAAACGATGGTTCAATCCTGTTAGTTGAGCAAACACATCACAAATAAGTTTCTGAGAATGCTTCCGTCTAGTTTTTATGGGAAGATATTTCCTTTTTCAACATAGGCCTGAAAGCGCTCCAAATGTCCACTTCCAGATACTACAAAAAGAGTGTTTCAAATCTGCTCTATGAATGGGAATGTTCTACTCTGTGACTTGAATGCAACATCCCAAAGAAGTTTCTGAGAATGCTTCTGTCTAGAGTTTATCTGAAGACATACCCGTTTCCAACGAAATCCTCAAAGCTATCCAAATATCCTCTTGCAGATTCTACAAAAAGAGTGTTTCAAAGCTGCTCTTTGCAAAGAAAGGTTCAACTCTGTCAGTAGAGGGGACACATCAAGAACAAGTTTCTGAGAATGCTTCTGTCTAGTTTTTATGGGAAGATATTTCCTTTTTCACGTTACGCCTGAAAGCACGCCAAATGTTCACTTATAGACACTACAAAAAGAGTGTTTCAAACCTGCTCTGTGAAAGGGAATGTTCAACACTGTGACTTGAATTGAAACATCCCAAAGAAGTTTCTGAGAATGCTTCTGTCTAGAGTTTATCTGAAGACATTCCCGTTTCCCAAGAAATCCTCAAAGCTATCCAAATATCCTCTTGCAGATTCTACAAAAAGAGTGTTTCAAAACTGCTCTTTGCAAAGAAAGGTTCAACTCTGTCAGTAGAGGGCACACATCAAGAACAAGTTTCTGAGAATGCTTCTGTCTAGTTTTTATGGGAAGATATTTCCTTTTTCACGTTACGCCTGAAAGCACGCCAAATGTTCACTTATAGACACTACAAAAAGAGAGTTTCAAACCTGCTCTGTGAAAGGGAGTGTTCAATTCTGTGACTTGAATGCAAACATCACAAAGTAGTTTCTGACAATGCTGCTGTCTGCTTTTTATACGTATTCCCGTTTCCAACGAAATCCTCCAAGCTGGCCTAATACCCACTTGCATATTCCACAAAAGGAGTGTTTCAAAACTGCTCTCTCAAAAGAAAGGTTCAACTCTGTTTGCTGAGTAGATACATCATGAAAAAAGTTCTGACATTGCTTCTATCTAGTTTTTATTGGAAGATATCTCCTTTTTCACCGTAGACCTGAAAGGGCTCCAAAAGTCCACTTCCAGATAGTACAAAAAGAGGGTTTCAAACCTGCTCTATGAAAGGGAATGTTCAACACTGGGACTTCAATTGAAACATCCCAAAGCAGTTTCTGAGAATGCTTCTGTGTAGAGTTTACATGAAGACATTCCCGTTTCCAACGAAATCCTCAAAGCTATCCAAATATCCTCTTGCAGATTTTACAAAAAGTGTGTTTCAGAACTGCTCTATCAAAACAAAGGTTCAACACTGTCAGTTGAGGGCACACATCACAAATAAGTTTCTGAGAATGCTTCTGTCTAGTTTTCATGGGAAGATATTTCCTTTTTCACCATAGGCCTGAAAGCGATCCAAATGTCCACATCCAGATACTACAAAAAGAGTGTTTCAAACCTGCTCTATGAAAGGGAATGTTCAACTCTGTGACTTGAATGCAAACATCACAAAGAAGTTTCTGAGAATGCTGCTGTCTGCTTTTTGTATGTAATCCCGTTTCCAACGAAATCCTCCCAGCTAGCCAAATATCCACTTGCAGATTCCGCAAAAAGAGTGTTTCAAAACTGCTCCTTCAAAACGACGGTTTAGTTCGGTTAGTTGAGTACATACATCACAGATAAGTTTCTGAGAATGCTTCTGTCTAGTTTTTATGGGAGGATATTTTCTTTTTCAACACAAGCCTGAATGCGCTCCGAATGGACACTTCCAGATATGACAAAAGGCGTGTTTCAAACCTGCTCTCTCAAAGGGAATGTTCAACTCTGTGACTTCAATGCAAACATCACAAAGAAGTTTCTGAGAATGCTGCTGTCTGCTTTTTACATGTATTCCCGTTTCCAACGAAATCCTCAAAGCTGCCCTAATATCCACTTGCATATTCCACAAAAAGAGTGTTGCAAAACTGCTCTCTCAAAAGAAAGGTTCAACTCTGTTAGCTGAGTAGATCCATCACAGAAAAGTTTCTGACGTTGCTTCTATCTAGATTTTCTTGGAAGATATTTCCATTTTCACCGTCGTCCTGAAAGCGCTCCAAATGTCCACTTCCAGGGAATGCAGAAAGAGTGTTTCCAACCTGCTCTATAAAAGGGAATGTTCAACACTGGGACTTCAATCGAAACATCCCAACGAAGTTTCTGAGAATGCTTCTGTCTAGAGTTTATATGAAGCCATTCCCGTTTGCAACGAAATCCTCAAAGCTATCCAAATATCCTCTTGCAGATTTTACAAAAAGAGTGTTTCAAAACTGCTCTATCAAAAGAAAGGTTCAACTCTGTTAGTTGAGGGCACACATCACAAATAAATTTCTGAGAATGCTTCTGTCTAGTTTTTACGGGAAGATATTTCCTTTTTCACCATATGCCTGAAAGCGCTCCAAATGTCCTCATCCAGATACTACAAAAAGAGTGTTTCCAACCTGCTCTATGAAAGGGAATGCTCAACTCTGTGAATTGAATGCAGACATCACAAAGAAGTTTCTGAGAATGCTGCTGTCTCCTTTTTATATGTAATCCCGTTTCCAACGAAATCCTCAAAGCTAGCCAAATATCCACTTGCAGATTCCACGAAAACAGTGTTTCAAAACTGCTCCTTCAAAACGATGGTTCAATCCTGTTAGTTGAGCAAACACATCACAAATAAGTTTCTGAGAATGCTTCCGTCTAGTTTTTATGGGAAGATATTTCCTTTTTCAACATAGGCCTGAAAGCGCTCCAAATGTCCACTTCCAGATACTACAAAAAGAGTGTTTCAAATCTGATTTATGAATGGGAATGTTCTACTCTGTGACTTGCATGCAACATCCCAAAGAAGTTTCTGAGAATGCTTCTGTCTAGAGTTTATCTGAAGACATACCCGTTTCCAAGGAAATCCTCAAAGCTATCCAAATATCCTCATGCAGATTCTACAAAAAGTGTGTTTCAAAGCTGCTCTTTGCAAAGAAAGGTTCAACTCTGTCAGTAGAGGGCACACATCACGAACAAGTTTCTGAGAATGCTTCTGTCTGGTTTTTATGGGAAGATATTTCCTTTTTCACGTTACGCCTGAAAGCACGCCAAATGTTCACTTATAGACACTACAAAAAGAGTGTTTCAAACCTGCTCTGTGAAAGGGAATGTTCAACACTGTGACTTCAATTGAAACATCCCAAAGAAGTTTCTGAGAATGCTTCTGTCTAGAGTTTATCTGAAGACATTCCCGTTTCCCAAGAAATCCTCAAAGCTATCCAAATATCCTCTTGCAGATTCTACAAAAAGAGTGTTTCAAACCTGCTCTTTGCAAAGAAAGGTTCAACTCTGTCAGTAGAGGGCACACATCACAAACAAGTTTCTGAGAATGCTTCTGTCTAGTTTTTATGGGAAGATATTTCCTTTTTCACCTTAGGCCTGAAAGCAATCCAAATGTTCACTTACAGACACTACAAAAAGAGTGTTTCAAACCTGCTCTGTGAAAGGGAGTGTTCAATTCTGTGACTTGAATGCAAACATCACAAAGTAGTTTCTGACAATGCTGCTGTCTGCTTTTTGTACGTATTCCCGTTTCCAACGAAATCCTCCAAGCTGGCCTAATACCCACTTGCATATTCCACAAAAAGAGTGTTTCAAAACTGCTCTCTCAAAAGAAAGGTTCAACTCTGTTTGCTGAGTAGATACATCATGAAAAAAGTTCTGACATTGCTTCTATCTAGTTTTTATTGGAAGATATCTCCTTTTTCACCGTAGACCTGAAAGCGCTCCAAATGTCCACTTCCAGATACTACAAAAAGAGTGTTTCAAACCTGCTCTATGAAAGGGAATGTTCAACACTGGGACTTCAATTGAAACATCCCAAAGCAGTTTCTGAGAATGCTTCTGTCTAGAGTTTACATGAAGACATTCCCGTTTCCAACGAAATCCTCAAAGCTATCCAAATATCCTCTTGCAGATTTTACAAAAAGTGTGTTTCAGAACTGCTCTATCAAAACAAAGGTTCAACACTGTCAGTTGAGGGCACACATCACAAATAAGTTTCTGAGAATGCTTCTGTCTAGTTTTCATGGGAAGATATTTCCTTTTTCACCATAGGCCTGAAAGCGATCCAAATGTCCACATCCAGATACTACAAAATGAGTGTTTCAAACCTGCTCTATGAAAGGGAATGTTCAACTCTGCGACTTGAATGCAAACATCACAAAGAAGTTTCTGAGAATGCTGCTGTCTGCTTTTTGTATGTAATCCCGTTTCCAACGAAATCCTCCAAGCTAGCCAAATATCCAGTTGCAGATTCCGCAAAAAGAGTGTTTCAAAACTGCTCCTTCAAAACGATGGTTTAGTTCTGTTAGTTGAGTACATACATCACAAATAAGTTTCTGAGAATGCTTCTGTCTAGTTTTTATGGGAGGATATTTCCTTTTTCAACACAAGCCTGAATGCGCTCCGAATGGACACTTCCAGATATGACAAAAGGCGTGTTTCAAACCTGCTCTCTCAAAGGGAATGTTCAACTCTGTGACTTCAATGCAAACATCACAAAGAAGTTTCTGAGAATGCTGCTGTCTGCTTTTTACATGTATTCCCGTTTCCAACGAAATCCTCAAAGCTGCCCTAATATCCACTTGCATATTCCACAAAAAGAGTGTTGCAAAACTGCTCTCTCAAAAGAAAGGTTCAACTCTGTTAGCTGAGTAGATCCATCACATAAAAGTTTCTGACATTGCTTCTATCTAGATTTTCTTGGAAGATATTTCCATTTTCACCGTCGTCCTGAAAGCGCTCCAAATGTCCACTTCCAGGGAAAGCAGAAAGAGTGTTTCCAACCTGCTCTATAAAAGGGAATGTTCAACACTGGGACTTCAATCGAAACATCCCAACGAAGTTTCTGAGAATGCTTCTGTCTAGAGTTTATGTGAAGCCATTCTCGTTTGCAACGAAATCCTCAAAGCTATCCAAATATCCTCTTGCAGATTTTACAAAAAGAGTGTTTCAAAACTGCTCTATCAAAAGAAAGGTTCAACTCTGTTAGTTGAGGGCACACATCACAAATAAACTTCTGAGAATGCTTCTGTCTAGTTTTTACGGGAAGATATTTCCTTTTTCACCATAGGCCTGAAAGCGCTCCAAATGTCCTCATCCAGATACTACAAAAAGAGTGTTTCCAACCTGCTCTATGAAAGGGAATGCTCAACTCTGTGAATTGAATGCAGACATCACAAAGAAGTTTCTGAGAATGCTGCTGTCTCCTTTTTATATGTAATCCCGTTTCCAACGAAATCCTCAAAGCTAGCCAAATATCCACTTGCAGATTCCACGAAAACAGTGTTTCAAAACTGCTCCATCAAAACGATGGTTCAATTCTGTTAGTTGAGCAAACACATCACAAGTAAGTTTCTGAGAATGCTTCCGTCTAGTTTTTATGGGAAGATATTTCCTTTTTCAACATAGGCCTGAAAGCGCTCCAAATGTCCACTTCCAGATACTACAAAAAGAGTGTTTCAAATCTGCTCTATGAATGGGAATGTTCTACTCTGTGACTTGAATGCAACATCCCAAAGAAGTTTCTGAGAATGCTTCTGTCTAGAGTTTATCTGAAGACATCCCCGTTTCCAACGAAATCCTCAAAGCTATCCAAATATCCTCTTGCAGATTCTAGAAAAAGAGTGTTTCAAAGCTGCTCTTTGCAAAGAAAGGTTCAACTCTGTCAGTTAGAGGGCACACATCACGAACAAGTTTCTGAGAATGCTTCTGTCTAGTTTTTATGGGAAGATATTTCCTTTTTCACGTTAGGCCTGAAAGCACGCCAAATGTTCACTTATAGACACTACAAAAAGAGTGTTTCAAACCTGCTCTGTGAAAGGGAATGTTCAACACTGTGACTTCAATTGAAACATCCCAAAGAAGTTTCTGAGAATGCTTCTGTCTAGAGTTTATCTGAAGACATTCCCGTTTCCCAAGAAATCCTCAAAGCTATCCAAATATCCTCTTGCAGATTCTACAAAAAGAGTGTTTCAAAACTGCTCTTTGCAAAGAAAGGTTCAACTCTGTCAGTAGAGGGCACACATCACAAACAAGTTTCTGAGAATGCTTCTGTCTAGTTTTTATGGGAAGATATTTCCTTTTTCACCTTAGGCCTGAAAGCAATCCAAATGTTCACTTACAGACACTACAAAAAGAGTGTTTCAAACCTGCTCTGTGAAAGGCAGTGTTCCATTCTGTGACTTGCATGCAAACATCACAAAGTAGTTTCTGACAATGCTGCTGTCTGCTTTTTATACGTATTCCCGTTTCCAACGAAATCCTCCAAGCTGGCCTAATACCCACTTGCATATTCCACAAAAAGAGTGTTTCAAAACTGCTCTCTCAAAAGAAAGGTTCAACTCTGTTTGCTGAGTAGATACATCATGAAAAAAGTTCTGACATTGCTTCTATCTAGTTTTTATTGGAAGATATCTCCTTTTTCACCGTAGACCTGAAAGCGCTCCAAATGTCCACTTCCAGATAGTACAAAAAGAGTGTTTCAAACCTGCTCTATGAATGGGAATGTTCAACACTGGGATTTCAATTGAAACATCCCAAAGCAGTTTCTGAGAATGCTTCTGTCTAGAGTTTACATGAAGACATTCCCGTTTCCAACGAAATCCTCAAAGCTATCCAAATATCCTCTTGCAGATTTTACAAAAAGTGTGTTTCAGAACTGCTCTATCAAAACAAAGGTTCAACACTGTCAGTTGAGGGCACACATCACAAATAAGTTTCTGAGAATGCTTCTGTCTAGTTTTCATGGGAAGATATTTCCTTTTTCACCATAGGCCTGAAAGCGATCCAAATGTCCACATCCAGATACTACAAAAAGAGTGTTTCCAACCTGCTCTATGAAAGGGAATGCTCAACTCTGTGAATTGAATGCAGACATCACAAAGAAGTTTCTCAGAATGCTGCTGTCTCCTTTTTATATGTAATCCCGTTTCCAACAAAATCCTCAAAGCTAGCCAAATATCCACTTGCAGATTCCACGAAAACAGTGTTTCAAAACTGCTCCTTCAAAACGATGGTTCAATCCTGTTAGTTGAGCAAACACATCACAAATAAGTTTCTGAGAATGCTTCCGTCTAGTTTTTATGGGAAGATATTTCCTTTTTCAACATAGGCCTGAAAGCGCTCCAAATGTCCACTTCCAGATACTACAAAAAGAGTGTTTCAAATCTGATTTATGAATGGGAATGTTCTACTCTGTGACTTGCATGCAACATCCCAAAGAAGTTTCTGAGAATGCTTCTGTCTAGAGTTTATCTGAAGACATACCCGTTTCCAAGGAAATCCTCAAAGCTATCCAAATATCCTCATGCAGATTCTACAAAAAGTGTGTTTCAAAGCTGCTCTTTGCAAAGAAAGGTTCAACTCTGTCAGTAGAGGGCACACATCACGAACAAGTTTCTGAGAATGCTTCTGTCTGGTTTTTATGGGAAGATATTTCCTTTTTCACGTTACGCCTGAAAGCACGCCAAATGTTCACTTATAGACACTACAAAAAGAGTGTTTCAAACCTGCTCTGTGAAAGGGAATGTTCAACACTGTGACTTCAATTGAAACATCCCAAAGAAGTTTC
Organism: Homo sapiens; assembly: GCF_000001405.40. Lineage (NCBI taxonomy): Eukaryota > Metazoa > Chordata > Mammalia > Primates > Hominidae > Homo > Homo sapiens. Next base: position 27,173,493 of record NC_000020.11, on the reverse strand, counting down.
TGAGAATGCTTCTGTCTAGAGTTTATCTGAAGACATACCCGTTTCCAACGAAATCCTCAAAGCTATCCACATATCCTCTTGCAGATTCTACAAAAAGAGTGTTTCAAAACTGCTCTTTGCAAAGAAAGGTTCAACTCTGTCAGTAGAGGGCACACATCACAAACAAGTTTCTGAGAATGCTTCTGTCTAGTTTTTATGGGAAGATATTTCCTTTTTCACCTTAGGCCTGAAAGCAATCCAAATGTTCACTTACAGACACTACAAAAAGAGTGTTTCAAACCTGCTCTGTGAAAGGGAGTGTTCAGTTCTGTGACTTGAATGCAAACATCACAAAGTAGTTTCTGACAATGCTGCTGTCTGCTTTTTATACGTATTCCCGTTTCCAACGAAATCCTCCAAGCTGGCCTAATACCCACTTTCATATTCCACAAAAAGAGTGTTTCAAAACTGCTCTCTCAAAAGAAAGGTTCAACTCTGTTTGCTGAGTAGATACATCATGAAAAAAGTTCTGACATTGCTTCTATCTAGTTTTTATTGGAAGATATCTCCTTTTTCACCGTAGACGTGAAAGCGCTCCAAATGTCCACTTCCAGATAGTACAAAAAGAGTGTTTCAAACCTGCTCTATGAAAGGGAATGTTCAACACTGGGACTTCAATTGAAACATCCCAAAGCAGTTTCTGAGAATGCTTCTGTGTAGAGTTTACATGAAGACATTCCCGTTTCCAACGAAATCCTCAAAGCTATCCAAATATCCTCTTGCAGATTTTACAAAAAGTGTGTTTCAGAACTGCTCTATCAAAACAAAGGTTCAACACTGTCAGTTGAGGGCACACATCACAAATAAGTTTCTGAGAATGCTTCTGTCTAGTTTTCATGGGAAGATATTTCCTTTTTCACCATAGGCCTGAAAGCGATCCAAATGTCCACATCCAGATACTACAAAAAGAGTGTTTCAAACCTGCTCTATGAAAGGGAATGTTCAACTCTGTGACTTGAATGCAAACATCACAAAGAAGTTTCTGAGAATGCTGCTGTCTGCTTTTTGTATGTAATCCCGTTTCCAACGAAATCCTCCCAGCTAGCCAAATATCCACTTGCAGATTCCGCAAAAAGAGTGTTTCAAAACTGCTCCTTCAAAACGATGGTTTAGTTCTGTTAGTTGAGTACATACATCACAGATAAGTTTCTGAGAATGCTTCTGTCTAGTTTTTATGGGAGGATATTTCCTTTTTCAACACAAGCCTGAATGCGCTCCGAATGGACACTTCCAGATATGACAAAAGGCGTGTTTCAAACCTGCTCTCTCAAAGGGAATGTTCAACTCTGTGACTTCAATGCAAACATCACAAAGAAGTTTCTGAGAATGCTGCTGTCTGCTTTTTACATGTATTCCCGTTTCCAACGAAATCCTCAAAGCTGCCCTAATATCCACTTGCATATTCCACAAAAAGAGTGTTGCAAAACTGCTCTCTCAAAAGAAAGGTTCAACTCTGTTAGCTGAGTAGATCCATCACATAAAAGTTTCTGACATTGCTTCTATCTAGATTTTCTTGGAAGATATTTCCATTTTCACCGTCGTCCTGAAAGCGCTCCAAATGTCCACTTCCAGGGAAAGCAGAAAGAGTGTTTCCAACCTGCTCTATAAAAGGGAATGTTCAACACTGGGACTTCAATCGAAACATCCCAACGAAGTTTCTGAGAATGCTTCTGCCTAGAGTTTATGTGAAGCCATTCTCGTTTGCAACGAAATCCTCAAAGCTATCCAAATATCCTCTTGCAGATTTTACAAAAAGAGTGTTTCAAAACTGCTCTATCAAAAGAAAGGTTCAACTCTGTTAGTTGAGGGCACACATCACAAATAAACTTCTGAGAATGCTTCTGTCTAGTTTTTACGGGAAGATATTTCCTTTTTCACCATAGGCCTGAAAGCGCTCCAAATGTCCTCATCCAGATACTACAAAAAGAGTGTTTCCAATCTGCTCTATGAAAGGGAATGCTCAACTCTGTGAATTGAATGCAGACATCACAAAGAAGTTTCTGAGAATGCTGCTGTCTCCTTTTTATATGTAATCCCGTTTCCAACGAAATCCTCCCAGCTAGCCAAATATCCACTTGCAGATTCCACGAAAACAGTGTTTCAAAACTGCTCCTTCAAAACGATGGTTCAATCCTGTTAGTTGAGCAAACACATCACAAATAAGTTTCTGAGAATGCTTCCGTCTAGTTTTTATGGGAAGATATTTCCTTTTTCAACATAGGCCTGAAAGCGCTCCAAATGTCCACTTCCAGATACTACAAAAAGAGTGTTTCAAATCTGCTCTATGAATGGGAATGTTCTACTCTGTGACTTGCATGCAACATCCCAAAGAAGTTTCTGAGAATGCTTCTGTCTAGAGTTTATCTGAAGACATACCCGTTTCCAACGAAATCCTCAAAGCTATCCAAATATCCTCTTGCAGATTCTACAAAAAGAGTGTTTCAAAGCTGCTCTTTGCAAAGAAAGGTTCAACTCTGTCAGTAGAGGGCACACATCACGAACAAGTTTCTGAGAATGCTTCTGTCTAGTTTTTATGGGAAGATATTTCCTTTTTCACGTTAGGCCTGAAAGCACGCCAAATGTTCAATTATAGACACTACAAAAAGAGTGTTTCAAACCTGCTCTGTGAAAGGGAATGTTCAACACTGTGACTTCAATTGAAACATCCCAAAGAAGTTTCTGAGAATGCTTCTGTCTAGAGTTTATCTGAAGACATTCCCGTTTCCCAAGAAATCCTCAAAGCTATCCAAATATACTCTTGCAGATTCTACAAAAAGAGTGTTTCAAAACTGCTCTTTGCAAAGAAAGGTTCAACTCTGTCAGTAGAGGGCACACATCACAAACAAGTTTCTGAGAATGCTTCTGTCTAGTTTTTATGGGAAGATATTTCCTTTTTCACCTTAGGCCTGAAAGCAATCCAAATGTTCACTTACAGACACTACAAAAAGAGTGTTTCAAACCTGCTCTGTGAAAGGGAGTGTTCAGTTCTGTGACTTGAATGCAAACATCACAAAGTAGTTTCTGACAATGCTGCTGTCTGCTTTTTATACGTATTCCCGTTTCCAACGAAATCCTCCAAGCTGGCCTAATACCCACTTGCATATTCCACAAAAAGAGTGTTTCAAAACTGCTCTCTCAAAAGAAAGGTTCAACTCTGTTTGCTGAGTAGATACATCATGAAAAAAGTTCTGACATTGCTTCTATCTAGTTTTTATTGGAAGATATCTCCTTTTTCACCGTAGACCTGAAAGCGCTCCAAATGTCCACTTCCAGATAGTACAAAAAGAGTGTTTCAAACCTGCTCCTATGAAAGGGAATGTTCAACACTGGGACTTCAATTGAAACATCCCAAAGCAGTTTCTGAGAATGCTTCTGTCTAGAGTTTACATGAAGACATTCCCGTTTCCAACGAAATCCTCAAAGCTATCCAAATATCCTCTTGCAGATTTTACAAAAAGTGTGTTTCAGAACTGCTCTATCAAAACAAAGGTTCAACACTGTCAGTTGAGGGCACACATCACAAATAAGTTTCTGAGAATGCTTCTGTCTAGTTTTCATGGGAAGATATTTCCTTTTTCACCATAGGCCTGAAAGCGATCCAAATGTCCACATCCAGATACTACAAAAAGAGTGTTTCAAACCTGCTCTATGAAAGGGAATGTTCAACTCTGTGACTTGAATGCAAACATCACAAAGAAGTTTCTGAGAATGCTGCTGTCTGCTTTTTGTATGTAATCCCGTTTCCAACGAAATCCTCCCAGCTAGCCAAATATCCACTTGCAGATTCCGCAAAAAGAGTGTTTCAAAACTGCTCCTTCAAAACGATGGTTTAGTTCGGTTAGTTGAGTACATACATCACAGATAAGTTTCTGAGAATGCTTCTGTCTAGTTTTTATGGGAGGATATTTCCTTTTTCAACACAAGCCTGAATGCGCTCCGAATGGACACTTCCAGATATGACAAAAGGCGTGTTTCAAACCTGCTCTCTCAGAGGGAATGTTCAACTCTGTGACTTCAATGCAAACATCACAAAGAAGTTTCTGAGAATGCTGCTGTCTGCTTTTTACATGTATTCCCCGTTTCCAACGAAATCCTCAAAGGTGCCCTAATATCCACTTGCATATTCCACAAAAAGAGTGTTGCAAAACTGCTCTCTCAAAAGAAAGGTTCAACTCTGTTAGCTGAGTAGATCCATCACATAAAAGTTTCTGACGTTGCTTCTATCTAGATTTTATTGGAAGATATTTCCATTTTCACCGTCGTCCTGAAAGCGCTCCAAATGTCCACTTCCAGGGAATGCAGAAAGAGTGTTTCCAACCTGCTCTATAAAAGGGAATGTTCAACACTGGGACTTCAATCGAAACATCCCAACGAAGTTTCTGAGAATGCTTCTGTCTAGAGTTTATATGAAGCCATTCCCGTTTGCAACGAAATCCTCAAAGCTATCCAAATATCCTCTTGCAGATTTTACAAAAAGAGTGTTTCAAAACTGCTCTATCAAAAGAAAGGTTCAACTCTGTTAGTTGAGGGCACACATCACAAATAAATTTCTGAGAATGCTTCTGTCTAGTTTTTACGGGAAGATATTTCCTTTTTCACCATATGCCTGAAAGCGCTCCAAATGTCCTCATCCAGATACTACAAAAAGAGTGTTTCCAACCTGCTCTATGAAAGGGAATGCTCAACTCTGTGACTTGAATGCAGACATCACAAAGAAGTTTCTGAGAATGCTGCTGTCTCCTTTTTATATGTAATCCCGTTTCCAACGAAATCCTCAAAGCTAGCCAAATATCCACTTGCAGATTCCACGAAAACAGTGTTTCAAAACTGCTCCTTCAAAACGATGGTTCAATTCTGTTAGTTGAGCAAACACATCACAAGTAAGTTTCTGAGAATGCTTCCGTCTAGTTTTTATGGGAAGATATTTCCTTTTTCAACATAGGCCTGAAAGCGCTCCAAATGTCCACTTCCAGATACTACAAAAAGAGTGTTTCAAATCTGCTCTATGAATGGGAATGTTCTACTCTGTGACTTGAATGCAACATCCCAAAGAAGTTTCTGAGAATGCTTCTGTCTAGAGTTTATCTGAAGACATACCCGTTTCCAACGAAATCCTCAAAGCTATCCAAATATCCTCTTGCAGATTCTACAAAAAGAGTGTTTCAAAGCTGCTCTTTGCAAAGAAAGGTTCAACTCTGTCAGTAGAGGGCACACATCACGAACAAGTTTCTGAGAATGCTTCTGTCTAGTTTTTATGGGAAGATATTTCCTTTTTCACCTTAGGCCTGAAAGCACGCCAAATGTTCACTTATAGACACTACAAAAAGAGTGTTTCAAACCTGCTCTGTGAAAGGGAGTGTTCAATTCTGTGACTTGAATGCAAACATCACAAAGTAGTTTCTGACAATGCTGCTGTCTGCTTTTTATACGTATTCCCGTTTCCAACGAAATCCTCCAAGCTGGCCTAATACCCACTTGCATATTCCACAAAGACTGTGTCAAAACTGCTCTCTCAAAAGAAAGGTTCAACTCTGTTTGCTGAGTAGATACATCATGAAAAAAGTTCTGACATTGCTTCTATCTAGTTTTTATTGGAAGATATCTCCTTTTTCACCGTAGACCTGAAAGCGCTCCAAATGTCCACTTCCAGATAGTACAAAAAGAGTGTTTCAAACCTGCTCTATGAATGGGAATGTTCAACGCTGGGACTTCAATTTAAACATCCCAAAGCAGTTTCTGAGAATGCTTCTGTCTAGAGTTTACATGAAGACATTCCCGTTTCCAACGAAATCCTCAAAGCTATCCAAATATCCTCTTGCAGATTTTACAAAAAGTGTGTTTCAGAACTGCTCTATCAAAACAAAGGTTCAACACTGTCAGTTGAGTGCACACATCACAAATAAGTTTCTGAGAATGCTTCTGTCTAGTTTTCATGGGAAGATATTTCCTTTTTCACCATAGGCCTGAAAGCGATCCAAATGTCCACATCCAGATACTACAAAAAGAGTGTTTCCAACCTGCTCTATGAAAGGGAATGCTCAACTCTGTGAATTGAATGCAGACATCACAAAGAAGTTTCTGAGAATGCTGCTGTCTCCTTTTTATATGTAATCCCGTTTCCAACGAAATCCTCAAAGCTAGCCAAATATCCACTTGCAGATTCCACGAAAACTGTGTTTCAAAACTGCTCCTTCAAAACGATGGTTCAATCCTGTTAGTTGAGCAAACACATCACAATTAAGTTTCTGAGAATGCTTCCGTCTAGTTTTTATGGGAAGATATTTCCTTTTTCAACATAGGCCTGAAAGCGCTCCAAATGTCCACTTCCAGATACTACAAAAAGAGTGTTTCAAATCTGCTCTATGAATGGGAATGTTCTACTCTGTGACTTGAATGCAACATCCCAAAGAAGTTTCTGAGAATGCTTCTGTCTAGAGTTTATCTGAAGACATACCCGTTTCCAACGAAATCCTCCAAGCTATCCAAATATCCTCTTGCAGATTCTACAAAAAGAGTGTTTCAAAGCTGCTCTTTGCAAAGAAAGGTTCAACTCTGTCAGTAGAGGGGACACATCAAGAACAAGTTTCTGAGAATGCTTCTGTCTGGTTTTTATGGGAAGATATTTCCTTTTTCACGTTACGCCTGAAAGCACGCCAAATGTTCACTTATAGACACTACAAAAAGAGTGTTTCAAACCTGCTCTGTGAAAGGGAATGTTCAACACTGTGACTTCAATTGAAACATCCCAAAGAAGTTTCTGAGAATGCTTCTGTCTAGAGTTTATCTGAAGACATTCTCGTTTCCCAAGAAATCCTCAAAGCTATCCAAATATCCTCCTGCAGATTCTACAAAAAGAGTGTTTCAAAACTGCTCTTTGCAAAGAAAGGTTCAACTCTGTCAGTAGAGGGCGCACATCACAAACAAGTTTCTGAGAATGCTTCTGTCTAGTTTTTATGGGAAGATATTTCCTTTTTCACCTTAGGCCTGAAAGCAATCCAAATGTTCACTTACAGACACTACAAAAAGAGTGTTTCAAACCTGCTCTGTGAAAGGGAGTGTTCAACTCTGTGACTTGAATGCAAACATCACAAAGTAGTTTCTGACAATGCTGCTGTCTGCTTTTTATACGTATTCCCGTTTCCAACGAAATCCTCCAAGCTGGCCTAATACCCACTTGCATATTCCACAAAAAGAGTGTTTCAAAACTGCTCTCTCAAAAGAAAGGTTCAACTCTGTTTGCTTAGTAGATACATCATGAAAAAAGTTCTGACATTGCTTCTATCTAGTTTTTATTGGAAGATATCTCCTTTTTCACCGTAGACCTGAAAGCGCTCCAAATGTCCACTTCCAGATAGTACAAAAAGAGTGTTTCAAACCTGCTCTATGAAAGGGAATGTTCAACACTGGGACTTCAGTTGAAACATCCCAAAGCAGTTTCTGAGAATGCTTCTGTCTAGAGTTTACATGAAGACATTCCCGTTTCCAACGAAATCCTCAAAGCTATCCAAATATCCTCTTGCAGATTTTACAAAAAGTGTGTTTCAGAACTGCTCTATCAAAACAAAGGTTCAACACTGTCAGTTGAGGGCACACATCACAAATAAGTTTCTGAGAATGCTTCTGTCTAGTTTTCATGGGAAGATATTTCCTTTTTCACCATAGGCCTGAAAGCGATCCAAATGTCCACATCCAGATACTACAAAAAGAGTGTTTCAAACCTGCTCTATGAAAGGGAATGTTCAACTCTGTGACTTGAATGCAAACATCACAAAGAAGTTTCTGAGAATGCTGCTGTCTGCTTTTTGTATGTAATCCCGTTTCCAACGAAATCCTCCCAGCTAGCCAAATATCCACTTGCAGATTCCGCAAAAAGAGTGTTTCAAAACTGCTCCTTCAAAACGATGGTTTAGTTCTGTTAGTTGAGTACATACATCACAGATAAGTTTCTGAGAATGCTTCTGTCTAGTTTTTATGGGAGGATATTTCCTTTTTCAACACAAGCCTGAATGCGCTCCGAATGGACACTTCCAGATATGACAAAAGGCGTGTTTCAAACCTGCTCTCTCAAAGGGAATGTTCAACTCTGTGACTTCAATGCAAACATCACAAAGAAGTTTCTGAGAATGCTGCTGTCTGCTTTTTACATGTATTCCCGTTTCCAACGAAATCCTCAAAGCTGCCCTAATATCCACTTGCATATTCCACAAAAAGAGTGTTGCAAAACTGCTCTCTCAAAAGAAAGGTTCAACTCTGTTAGCTGAGTAGATCCATCACATAAAAGTTTCTGACATTGCTTCTATCTAGATTTTCTTGGAAGATATTTCCATTTTCACCGTCGTCCTGAAAGCGCTCCAAATGTCCACTTCCAGGGAATGCAGAAAGAGTGTTTCCAACCTGCTCTATAAAAGGGAATGTTCAACACTGGGACTTCAATCGAAACATCCCAACGAAGTTTCTGAGAATGCTTTCTGTCTAGAGTTTATATGAAGCCATTCCCGTTTGCAACGAAATCCTCAAAGCTATCCAAATATCCTCTTGCAGATTTTACAAAAAGAGTGTTTCAAAACTGCTCTATCAAAAGAAAGGTTCAACTCTGTTAGTTGAGGGCACACATCACAAATAAACTTCTGAGAATGCTTCTGTCTAGTTTTTACGGGAAGATATTTCCTTTTTCACCATACGCCTGAAAGCGCTCCAAATGTCCTCATCCAGATACTACAAAAAGAGTGTTTCCAACCTGCTCTATGAAAGGGAATGCTCAACTCTGTGAATTGAATGCAGACATCACAAAGAAGTTTCTGAGAATGCTGCTGTCTCCTTTTTATATGTAATCCCGTTTCCAACGAAATCCTCAAAGCTAGCCAAATATCCACTTGCAGATTCCACGAAAACAGTGTTTCAAAACTGCTCCTTCAAAACGATGGTTCAATCCTGTTAGTTGAGCAAACACATCACAAATAAGTTTCTGAGAATGCTTCCGTCTAGTTTTTATGGGAAGATATTTCCTTTTTCAACATAGGCCTGAAAGCGCTCCAAATGTCCACTTCCAGATACTACAAAAAGAGTGTTTCAAATCTGCTCTATGAATGGGAATGTTCTACTCTGTGACTTGAATGCAACATCCCAAAGAAGTTTCTGAGAATGCTTCTGTCTAGAGTTTATCTGAAGACATACCCGTTTCCAACGAAATCCTCAAAGCTATCCAAACATCCTCTTGCAGATTCTACAAAAAGAGTGTTTCAAAGCTGCTCTTTGCAAAGAAAGGTTCAACTCTGTCAGTAGAGGGGACACATCAAGAACAAGTTTCTGAGAATGCTTCTGTCTAGTTTTTATGGGAAGATATTTCCTTTTTCACGTTAGGCCTGAAAGCACGCCAAATGTTCACTTATAGACACTACAAAAAGAGTGTTTCAAACCTGCTCTGGGAAAGGGAATGTTCAACACTGTGACTTCAATTGAAACATCCCAAAGAAGTTTCTGAGAATGCTTCTGTCTAGAGTTTATCTGAAGACATTCCCGTTTCCCAAGAAATCCTCAAAGCTATCCAAATATCCTCTTGCAGATTCTACAAAAAGAGTGTTTCAAAACTGCTCTTTGCAAAGAAAGGTTCAACTCTGTCAGTAGAGGGCACACATCACAAACAAGTTTCTGAGAATGCTTCTGTCTAGTTTTTATGGGAAGATATTTCCTTTTTCACCTTAGGCCTGAAAGCAATCCAAATGTTCACTTACAGACACTACAAAAAGAGTGTTTCAAACCTGCTCTGTGAAAGGGAGTGTTCAATTCTGTGACTTGAATGCAAACATCACAAAGTAGTTTCTGACAATGCTGCTGTCTACTTTTTATACGTATTCCCGTTTCCAACGAAATCCTCCAAGCTGGCCTAATACCCACTTGCATATTCCACAAAAAGAGTGTTTCAAAACTGCTCTCTCAAAAGAAAGGTTCAACCCTGTTAGCTGAGTAGATACATCATGAAAAAAGTTCTGACATTGCTTCTATCTAGTTTTTATTGGAAGATATCTCCTTTTTCACCGTAGACCTGAAAGCGCTCCAAATGTCCACTTCCAGATAGTACAAAAAGAGTGTTTCAAACCTGCTCTATGAATGGGAATGTTCAACACTGGGACTTCAATTGAAACATCCCAAAGCAGTTTCTGAGAATGCTTCTGTGTAGAGTTTACATGAAGACATTCCCGTTTCCAACGAAATCCTCAAAGCTATCCAAATATCCTCTTGCAGATTTTACAAAAAGTGTGTTTCAGAACTGCTCTATCAAAACAAAGGTTCAACACTGTCAGTTGAGGGCACATATCACAAATAAGTTTCTGAGAATGCTTCTGTCTAGTTTTCATGGGAAGATATTTCCTTTTTCACCATAGGCCTGAAAGCGATCCAAATGTCCACATCCAGATACTACAAAAAGAGTGTTTCAAACCTGCTCTATGAAAGGGAATGTTCAACTCTGTGACTTGAATGCAAACATCACAAAGAAGTTTCTGAGAATGCTGCTGTCTGCTTTTTGTATGTAATCCCGTTTCCAACGAAATCCTCCCAGCTAGCCAAATATCCACTTGCAGATTCCGCAAAAAGAGTGTTTCAAAACTGCTCCTTCAAAACGATGGTTTAGTTCTGTTAGTTGAGTACATACATCACAGATAAGTTTCTGAGAATGCTTCTGTCTAGTTTTTATGGGAGGATATTTCCTTTTTCAACACAAGCCTGAATGCGCTCCGAATGGACACTTCCAGATATGACAAAAGGCGTGTTTCAAACCTGCTCTCTCAAAGGGAATGTTCAACTCTGTGACTTCAATGCAAACATCACAAAGAAGATTCTGAGAATGCTGCTGTCTGCTTTTTACATGTATTCCCGTTTCCAACGAAATCCTCAAGCTGCCCTAATATCCACTTGCATATTCCACAAAAAGAGTGTTGCAAAACTGCTCTCTCAAAAGAAAGGTTCAACTCTGTTAGCTGAGTAGATCCATCACAGAAAAGTTTCTGACATTGCTTCTATCTAGATTTTCTTGGAAGATATTTCCATTTTCACCGTCGTCCTGAAAGCGCTCCAAATGTCCACTTCCAGGGAATGCAGAAAGAGTGTTTCCAACCTGCTCTATAAAAGGGAATGTTCAACACTGGGACTTCAATCGAAACATCCCAACGAAGTTTCTGAGAATGCTTCTGTCTAGAGTTTATATGAAGCCATTCCCGTTTGCAACGAAATCCTCAAAGCTATCCAAATATCCTCTTGCAGATTTTACAAAAAGAGTGTTTCAAAACTGCTCTATCAAAAGAAAGGTTCAACTCTGTTAGTTGAGGGCACACATCACAAATAAATTTCTGAGAATGCTTCTGTCTAGTTTTTACGGGAAGATATTTCCTTTTTCACCATACGCCTGAAAGCGCTCCAAATGTCCTCATCCAGATACTACAAAAAGAGTGTTTCCAACCTGCTCTATGAAAGGGAATGCTCAACTCTGTGAATTGAATGCAGACATCACAAAGAAGTTTCTGAGAATGCTGCTGTCTCCTTTTTATATGTAATCCCGTTTCCAACGAAATCCTCAAAGCTAGCCAAATATCCACTTGCAGATTCCACGAAAACAGTGTTTCAAAACTGCTCCTTCAAAACGACGGTTCAATCCTGTTAGTTGAGCAAACACATCACAATTAAGTTTCTGAGAATGCTTCCGTCTAGTTTTTATGGGAAGATATTTCCTTTTTCAACATAGGCCTGAAAGCGCTCCAAATGTCCACTTCCAGATACTACAAAAAGAGTGTTTCAAATCTGCTCTATGAATGGGAATGTTCTACTCTGTGACTTGCATGCAACATCCCAAAGAAGTTTCTGAGAATGCTTCTGTCTAGAGTTCATCTGAAGACATACCCGTTTCCAACGAAATCCTCAAAGCTATCCAAATATCCTCTTGCAGATTCTACAAAAAGTGTGTTTCAAAGCTGCTCTTTGCAAAGAAAGGTTCAACTCTGTCAGTAGAGGGCACACATCACGAACAAGTTTCTGAGAATGCTTCTGTCTAGTTTTCATGGGAAGATATTTCCTTTTTCACCATAGGCCTGAAAGCGATCCAAATGTCCACATCCAGATACTACAAAAAGAGTGTTTCAAACCTGCTCTATGAAAGGGAATGTTCAACTCTGTGACTTGAATGCAAACATCACAAAGAAGTTTCTGAGAATGCTGCTGTCTGCTTTTTGTATGTAATCCCGTTTCCAACGAAATCCTCCCAGCTAGCCAAATATCCACTTGCAGATTCCGCAAAAAGAGTGTTTCAAAACTGCTCCTTCAAAACGATGGTTTAGTTCTGTTAGTTGAGTACATACATCACAGATAAGTTTCTGAGAATGCTTCTGTCTAGTTTTTATGGGAGGATATTTCCTTTTTCAACACAAGCCTGAATGCGCTCCGAATGGACACTTCCAGATATGACAAAAGGCGTGTTTCAAACCTGCTCTCTCAAAGGGAATGTTCAACTCTGTGACTTCAATGCAAACATCACAAAGAAGTTTCTGAGAATGCTGCTGTCTGCTTTTTACATGTATTCCCGTTTCCAACGAAATCCTCAAAGCTGCCCTAATATCCACTTGCATATTCCACAAAAAGAGTGTTGCAAAACTGCTCTCTCAAAAGAAAGGTTCAACTCTGTTAGCTGAGTAGATCCATCACATAAAAGTTTCTGACATTGCTTCTATCTAGATTTTCTTGGAAGATATTTCCATTTTCACCGTCGTCCTGAAAGCGCTCCAAATGTCCACTTCCAGGGAATGCAGAAAGAGTGTTTCCAACCTGCTCTATAAAAGGGAATGTTCAACACTGGGACTTCAATCGAAACATCCCAACGAAGTTTCTGAGAATGCTTCTGTCTAGAGTTTATATGAAGCCATTCCCGTTTGCAACGAAATCCTCAAAGCTATCCAAATATCCTCTTGCAGATTTTACAAAAAGAGTGTTTCAAAACTGCTCTATCAAAAGAAAGGTTCAACTCTGTTAGTTGAGGGCACACATCAGAAATAAACTTCTGAGAATGCTTCTGTCTAGTTTTTACGGGAAGATATTTCCTTTTTCACCATAGGCCTGAAAGCGCTCCAAATGTCCTCATCCAGATACTACAAAAAGAGTGTTTCCAACGTGCTCTATGAAAGGGAATGCTCAACTCTGTGAATTGAATGCAGACATCACAAAGAAGTTTCTGAGAATGCTGCTGTCTCCTTTTTATATGTAATCCCGTTTCCAACGAAATCCTCAAAGCTAGCCAAATATCCACTTGCAGATTCCACGAAAACAGTGTTTCAAAACTGCTCCTTCAAAACGATGGTTCAATCCTGTTAGTTGAGCAAACACATCACAAATAAGTTTCTGAGAATGCTTCCGTCTAGTTTTTATGGGAAGATATTTCCTTTTTCAACATAGGCCTGAAAGCGCTCCAAATGTCCACTTCCAGATACTACAAAAAGAGTGTTTCAAGTCTGCTCTATGAATGGGAATGTTCTACTCTGTGACTTGAATGCAACATCCCAAGAAGTTTCTGAGAATGCTTCTGTCTAGAGTTTATCTGAAGACATACCCGTTTCCAACGAAATCCTCAAAGCTATCCAAATATCCTCCTGCAGATTCTACAAAAAGTGTGTTTCAAAGCTGCTCTTTGCAAAGAAAGGTTCAACTCTGTCAGTAGAGGGCACACATCACGAACAAGTTTCTGAGAATGCTTCTGTCTAGTTTTTATGGGAAGATATTTCCTTTTTCACGTTAGGCCTGAAAGCACGCCAAATGTTCACTTATAGACACTACAAAAAGAGTGTTTCAAACCTGCTCTGTGAAAGGGAATGTTCAACACTGTGACTTCAATTGAAACATCCCAAAGAAGTTTCTGAGAATGCTTCTGTCTAGAGTTTATCTGAAGACATTCCCGTTTCCCAAGAAATCCTCAAAGCTATCCAAATATCCTCTTGCAGATTCTACAAAAAGAGTGTTTCAAAACTGCTCTTTGCAAAGAAAGGTTCAACTCTGTCAGTAGAGGGCACACATCACAAACAAGTTTCTGAGAATGCTTCTGTCTAGTTTTTATGGGAAGATATTTCCTTTTTCACCTTAGGCCTGAAAGCAATCCAAATGTTCACTTACAGACACTACAAAAAGAGTGTTTCAAACCTGCTCTGTGAAAGGGAGTGTTCAATTCTGTGACTTGAATGCAAACATCACAAAGTAGTTTCTGACAATGCTGCTGTCTGCTTTTTTATACGTATTCCCGTTTCCAACGAAATCCTCCAAGCTGGCCTAATACCCACTTGCATATTCCACAAAAGGAGTGTTTCAAAACTGCTCTCTCAAAAGAAAGGTTCAACTCTGTTTGCTGAGTAGATACATCATGAAAAAAGTTCTGACATTGCTTCTATCTAGTTTTTATTGGAAGATATCTCCTTTTTCACCGTAGACCTGAAAGCGCTCCAAATGTCCACTTCCAGATAGTACAAAAAGAGGGTTTCAAACCTGCTCTATGAAAGGGAATGTTCAACACTGGGACTTCAATTGAAACATCCCAAAGCAGTTTCTGAGAATGCTTCTGTGTAGAGTTTACATGAAGACATTCCCGTTTCCAACGAAATCCTCAAAGCTATCCAAATATCCTCTTGCAGATTTTACAAAAAGTGTGTTTCAGAACTGCTCTATCAAAACAAAGGTTCAACACTGTCAGTTGAGGGCACACATCACAAATAAGTTTCTGAGAATGCTTCTGTCTAGTTTTCATGGGAAGATATTTCATTTTTCACCATAGGCCTGAAAGCGATCCAAATGTCCACATCCAGATACTACAAAAAGAGTGTTTCAAACCTGCTCTATGAAAGGGAATGTTCAACTCTGTGACTTGAATGCAAACATCACAAAGAAGTTTCTGAGAATGCTGCTGTCTGCTTTTTGTATGTAATCCCGTTTCCAACGAAATCCTCCCAGCTAGCCAAATATCCACTTGCAGATTCCGCAAAAAGAGTGTTTCAAAACTGCTCCTTCAAAACGATGGTTTAGTTCTGTTAGTTGAGTACATACATCACAGATAAGTTTCTGAGAATGCTTCTGTCTAGTTTTTATGGGAGGATATTTCCTTTTTCAACACAAGCCTGAATGCGCTCCGAATGGACACTTCCAGATATGACAAAAGGCGTGTTTCAAACCTGCTCTCTCAAAGGGAATGTTCAACTCTGTGACTTCAATGCAAACATCACAAAGAAGTTTCTGAGAATGCTGCTGTCTGCTTTTTACATGTATTCCCGTTTCCAACGAAATCCTCAAGGCTGCCCTAATATCCACTTGCATATTCCACAAAAAGAGTGTTGCAAAACTGCTCTCTCAAAAGAAAGGTTCAACTCTGTTAGCTGAGTAGATCCATCACAGAAAAGTTTCTGACGTTGCTTCTATCTAGATTTTCTTGGAAGATATTTCCATTTTCACCGTCGTCCTGAAAGCGCTCCAAATGTCCACTTCCAGGGAATGCAGAAAGAGTGTTTCCAACCTGCTCTATAAAAGGGAATGTTCAACACTGGGACTTCAATCGAAACATCCCAACGAAGTTTCTGAGAATGCTTCTGTCTAGAGTTTATATGAAGCCATTCCCGTTTGCAACGAAATCCTCAAAGCTATCCAAATATCCTCTTGCAGATTTTACAAAAAGAGTGTTTCAAAACTGCTCTATCAAAAGAAAGGTTAAACTCTGTTAGTTGAGGGCACACATCACAAATAAACTTCTGAGAATGCTTCTGTCTAGTTTTTACGGGAAGATATTTCCTTTTTCACCATACGCCTGAAAGCGCTCCAAATGTCCTCATCCAGATACTACAAAAAGAGTGTTTCCAACCTGCTCTATGAAAGGGAATGCTCAACTCTGTGAATTGAATGCAGACATCACAAAGAAGTTTCTGAGAATGCTGCTGTCTCCTTTTTATATGTAATCCCGTTTCCAACGAAATCCTCAAAGCAAGCCAAATATCCACTTGCAGATTCCACGAAAACAGTGTTTCAAAACTGCTCCTTCAAAACGATGGTTCAATCCTGTTAGTTGAGCAAACACATCACAAATAAGTTTCTGAGAATGCTTCCGTCTAGTTTTTATGGGAAGATATTTCCTTTTTCAACATAGGCCTGAAAGCGCTCCAAATGTCCACTTCCAGATACTACAAAAAGAGTGTTTCAAATCTGCTCTATGAATGGGAATGTTCTACTCTGTGACTTGAATGCAACATCCCAAAGAAGTTTCTGAGAATGCTTCTGTCTAGAGTTTATCTGAAGACATACCCGTTTCCAACGAAATCCTCCAAGCTATCCAAATATCCTCTTGCAGATTTTACAAAAAGAGTGTTTCAAAACTGCTCTTTGCAAAGAAAGGTTCAACTCTGTCAGTAGAGGGCACACATCACGAACAAGTTTCTGAGAATGCTTCTGTCTAGTTTTTATGGGAAGATATTTCCTTTTTCACGTTAGGCCTGAAAGCACGCCAAATGTTCAATTATAGACACTACAAAAAGAGTGTTTCAAACCTGCTCTGTGAAAGGGAATGTTCAACACTGTGACTTTAATTGAAACGTCCCAAAGAAGTTTCTGAGTATGCTTCTGTCTAGAGTTTATCTGAAGACATTCCCGTTTCCCAAGAAATCCTCAAAGCTATCCAAATATCCTCTTGCAGATTCTACAAAAAGAGTGTTTCAAAACTGCTCTTTGCAAAGAAAGGTTCAACTCTGTCAGTAGAGGGCACACATCACAAACAAGTTTCTGAGAATGCTTCTGTCTAGTTTTTATGGGAAGATATTTCCTTTTTCACCTTAGGCCTGAAAGCAATCCAAATGTTCACTTACAGACACTACAAAAAGAGTGTTTCAAACCTGCTCTGTGAAAGGGAGTGTTCAATTCTGTGACTTGAATGCAAACATCACAAAGTAGTTTCTGACAATGCTGCTGTCTGCTTTTTATACGTATTCCCGTTTCCAACGAAATCCTCCAAGCTGGCCTAATACCCACTTGCATATTCCACAAAAAGAGTGTTTCAAAACTGCTCTCTCAAAAGAAAGGTTCAACTCTGTTTGCTGAGTAGATACATCATGAAAAAAGTTCTGACATTGCTTCTATCTAGTTTTTATTGGAAGATATCTCCTTTTTCACCGTAGACCTGAAAGCGCTCCAAATGTCCACTTCCAGATAGTACAAAAAGAGTGTTTCAAACCTGCTCTATGAAAGGGAATGTTCAACAGTGGGACTTCAATTGAAACATCCCAAAGCAGTTTCTGAGAATGCTTCTGTCTAGAGTTTACATGAAGACATTCCCGTTTCCAACGAAATCCTCAAAGCTATCCAAATATCCTCTTGCAGATTTTACAAAAAGTGTGTTTCAGAACTGCTCTATCAAAACAAAGGTTCAACACTGTCAGTTGAGGGCACACATCACAAATAAGTTTCTGAGAATGCTTCTGTCTAGTTTTCATGGGAAGATATTTCCTTTTTCACCATAGGCCTGAAAGCGATCCAAATGTCCACATCCAGATACTACAAAAAGAGTGTTTCAAACCTGCTCTATGAAAGGGAATGTTCAACTCTGTGACTTGAATGCAAACATCACAAAGAAGTTTCTGAGAATGCTGCTGTCTGCTTTTTGTATGTAATCCCGTTTCCAACGAAATCCTCCCAGCTAGCCAAATATCCACTTGCAGATTCCGCAAAAAGAGTGTTTCAAAACTGCTCCTTCAAAACGATGGTTTAGTTCTGTTACTTGAGTACATACATCACAAATAAGTTTCTGAGAATGCTTCTGTCTAGTTTTTATGGGAGGATATTTCCTTTTTCAACACAAGCCTGAATGCGCTCCGAATGGACACTTCCAGATATGACAAAAGGCGTGTTTCAAACCTGCTCTCTCAAAGGGAATGTTCAACTCTGTGACTTCAATGCAAACATCACAAAGAAGTTTCTGAGAATGCTGCTGTCTGCTTTTTACATGTATTCCCGTTTCCAACGAAATCCTCAAAGCTGCCCTAATATCCACTTGCATATTCCACAAAAAGAGTGTTGCAAAACTGCTCTCTCAAAAGAAAGGTTCAACTCTGTTAGCTGAGTAGATCCATCACATAAAAGTTTCTGACATTGCTTCTATCTAGATTTTCTTGGAAGATATTTCCATTTTCACCGTCGTCCTGAAAGCGCTCCAAATGTCCACTTCCAGGGAATGCAGAAAGAGTGTTTCCAACCTGCTCTATAAAAGGGAATGTTCAACACTGGGACTTCAATCGAAACATCCCAACGAAGTTTCTGAGAATGCTTCTGTCTAGAGTTTATATGAAGCCATTCCCGTTTGCAACGAAATCCTCAAAGCTATCCAAATATCCTCTTGCAGATTTTACAAAAAGAGTGTTTCAAAACTGCTCTATCAAAAGAAAGGTTCAACTCTGTTAGTTGAGGGCACACATCACAAATAAACTTCTGAGAATGCTTCTGTCTAGTTTTTACGGGAAGATATTTCCTTTTTCACCATAGGCCTGAAAGCTCTCCAAATGTCCTCATCCAGATACTACAAAAAGAGTGTTTCCAACCTGCTCTATGAAAGGGAATGCTCAACTCTGTGAATTGAATGCAGACATCACAAAGAAGTTTCTGAGAATGCTGCTGTCTCCTTTTTATATGTAATCCCGTTTCCAACGAAATCCTCAAAGCTAGCCAAATATCCACTTGCAGATTCCATGAAAACAGTGTTTCAAAACTGCTCCTTCAAAACGATGGTTCAATCCTGTTAGTTGAGCAAACACATCACAAATAAGTTTCTGAGAATGCTTCCGTCTAGTTTTTATGGGAAGATATTTCCTTTTTCAACATAGGCCTGAAAGCGCTCCAAATGTCCACTTCCAGATACTACAAAAAGAGTGTTTCAAATCTGCTCTATGAATGGGAATGTTCTACTCTGTGACTTGAATGCAACATCCCAAAGAAGTTTCTGAGAATGCTTCTGTCTAGAGTTTATCTGAAGACATACCCGTTTCCAACGAAATCCTCAAAGCTATCCAAATATCCTCTTGCAGATTCTACAAAAAGTGTGTTTCAAAGCTGCTCTTTGCAAAGAAAGGTTCAACTCTGTCAGTAGAGGGCACACATCACGAACAAGTTTCTGAGAATGCTTCTGTCTAGTTTTTATGGGAAGATATTTCCTTTTTCACGTTACGCCTGAAAGCACGCCAAATGTTCACTTATAGACACTACAAAAAGAGTGTTTCAAACCTGCTCTGTGAAAGGGAATGTTCAACACTGTGACTTCAATTGAAACATCCCAAAGAAGTTTCTGAGAATGCTTCTGTCTAGAGTTTATCTGAAGACATTCCCGTTTCCCAAGAAATCCTCAAAGCTATCCAAATATCCTCTTGCAGATTCTACAAAAAGAGTGTTTCAAAACTGCTCTTTGCAAAGAAAGGTTCAACTCTGTCAGTAGAGGGCACACATCACAAACAAGTTTCTGAGAATGCTTCTGTCTAGTTTTTATGGGAAGATATTTCCTTTTTCACCTTAGGCCTGAAAGCAATCCAAATGTTCACTTACAGACACTACAAAAAGAGTGTTTCAAACCTGCTCTGTGAAAGGGAGTGTTCAATTCTGTGACTTGAATGCAAACATCACAAAGTAGTTTCTGACAATGCTGCTGTCTGCTTTTTATACGTATTCCCGTTTCCAACGAAATCCTCCAAGCTGACCTAATACCCACTTGCATATTCCACAAAAAGAGTGTTTCAAAACTGCTCTCTCAAAAGAAAGGTTCAACTCTGTTTGCTGAGTAGATACATCATGAAAAAAGTTCTAACATTGCTTCTATCTAGTTTTTATTGGAAGATATCTCCTTTTTCACCGTAGACCTGAAAGCGCTCCAAATGTCCACTTCCAGATAGTACAAAAAGAGTGTTTCAAACCTGCTCTATGAATGGGAATGTTCAACACTGGGACTTCAATTGAAACATCCCAAAGCAGTTTCTGAGAATGCTTCTGTCTAGAGTTTACATGAAGACATTCCCGTTTCCAACGAAATCCTCAAAGCTATCCAAATATCCTCTTGCAGATTTTACAAAAAGTGTGTTTCAGAACTGCTCTATCAAAACAAAGGTTCAACACTGTCAGTTGAGGGCACACATCACAAATAAGTTTCTGAGAATGCTTCTGTCTAGTTTTCATGGGAAGATATTTCCTTTTTCACCATAGGCCTGAAAGCGATCCAAATGTCCACATCCAGATACTACAAAAAGAGTGTTTCAAACCTGCTCTATGAAAGGGAATGTTCAACTCTGTGACTTGAATGCAAACATCACAAAGAAGTTTCTGAGAATGCTGCTGTCTGCTTTTTGTATGTAATCCCGTTTCCAACGAAATCCTCCCAGCTAGCCAAATATCCACTTGCAGATTCCGCAAAAAGAGTGTTTCAAAACTGCTCCTTCAAAACGATGGTTTAGTTCTGTTAGTTGAGTACATACATCACAGATAAGTTTCTGAGAATGCTTCTGTCTAGTTTTTATGGGAGGATATTTCCTTTTTCAACACAAGCCTGAATGCGCTCCGAATGGACACTTCCAGATATGACAAAAGGCGTGTTTCAAACCTGCTCTCTCAAAGGGAATGTTCAACTCTGTGACTTCAATGCAAACATCACAAAGAAGTTTCTGAGAATGCTGCTGTCTGCTTTTTACATGTATTCCCGTTTCCAACGAAATCCTCAAAGCTGCCCTAATATCCACTTGCATATTCCACAAAAAGAGTGTTGCAAAACTGCTCTCTCAAAAGAAAGGTTCAACTCTGTTAGCTGAGTAGATCCATCACAGAAAAGTTTCTGACGTTGCTTCTATCTAGATTTTCTTGGAAGATATTTCCATTTTCACCGTCGTCCTGAAAGCGCTCCAAATGTCCACTTCCAGGGAATGCAGAAAGAGTGTTTCCAACCTGCTCTATAAAAGGGAATGTTCAACACTGGGACTTCAATCGAAACATCCCAACGAAGTTTCTGAGAATGCTTCTGTCTAGAGTTTATATGAAGCCATTCCCGTTTGCAACGAAATCCTCAAAGCTATCCAAATATCCTCTTGCAGATTTTACAAAAAGAGTGTTTCAAAACTGCTCTATCAAAAGAAAGGTTCAACTCTGTTAGTTGAGGGCACACATCACAAATAAATTTCTGAGAATGCTTCTGTCTAGTTTTTACGGGAAGATATTTCCTTTTTCACCATACGCCTGAAAGCGCTCCAAATGTCCTCATCCAGATACTACAAAAAGAGTGTTTCCAACCTTCTCTATGAAAGGGAATGCTCAACTCTGTGACTTGAATGCAGACATCACAAAGAAGTTTCTGAGAATGCTGCTGTCTCCTTTTTATATGTAATCCCGTTTCCAACGAAATCCTCAAAGCTAGCCAAATATCCACTTGCAGATTCCACGAAAACAGTGTTTCAAAACTGCTCCTTCAAAACGATGGTTCAATTCTGTTAGTTGAGCAAACACATCACAAGTAAGTTTCTGAGAATGCTTCCGTCTAGTTTTTATGGGAAGATATTTCCTTTTTCAACATAGGCCTGAAAGCGCTCCAAATGTCCACTTCCAGATACTACAAAAAGAGTGTTTCAAATCTGCTCTATGAATGGGAATGTTCTACTCTGTGACTTGAATGCAACATCCCAAAGAAGTTTCTGAGAATGCTTCTGTCTAGAGTTTATCTGAAGACATACCCGTTTCCAACGAAATCCTCCAAGCTATCCAAATATCCTCTTGCAGATTCTACAAAAAGAGTGTTTCAAAGCTGCTCTTTGCAAAGAAAGGTTCAACTCTGTCAGTAGAGGGCACACATCACAAACAAGTTTCTGAGAATGCTTCTGTCTAGTTTTTATGGGAAGATATTTCCTTTTTCACCTTAGGCCTGAAAGCAATCCATATGTTCACTTACAGACACTACAAAAAGAGTGTTTCAAACCTGCTCTGTGAAAGGGAGTGTTCAATTCTGTGACTTGAATGCAAACATCACAAAGTAGTTTCTGACAATGCTGCTGTCTGCTTTTTATACGTATTCCCGTTTCCAACGAAATCCTCCAAGCTGGCCTAATACCCACTTGCATATTCCACAGAAAGAGTGTTTCGAAACTGCTCTCTCAAAAGAAAGGTTCAACTCTGTTTGCTGAGTAGATACATCATGAAAAAAGTTCTGACATTGCTTCTATCTAGTTTTTATTGGAAGATATCTCCTTTTTCACCGTAGACCTGAAAGCGCTCCAAATGTCCACTTCCAGATAGTACAAAAAGAGTGTTTCAAACCTGCTCTATGAATGGGAATGTTCAACACTGGGACTTCAATTGAAACATCCCAAAGCAGTTTCTGAGAATGCTTCTGTCTAGAGTTTACATGAAGACATTCCCGTTTCCAACGAAATCCTCAAAGCTATCCAAATATCCTCTTGCAGATTTTACAAAAAGTGTGTTTCAGAACTGCTCTATCAAAACAAAGGTTCAACACTGTCAGTTGAGGGCACACATCACAAATAAGTTTCTGAGAATGCTTCTGTCTAGTTTTCATGGGAAGATATTTCCTTTTTCACCATAGGCCTGAAAGCGATCCAAATGTCCACATCCAGATACTACAAAAAGAGTGTTTCAAACCTGCTCTATGAAAGGGAATGTTCAACTCTGTGACTTGAATGCAAACATCACAAAGAAGTTTCTGAGAATGCTGCTGTCTGCTTTTTGTATGTAATCCCGTTTCCAACGAAATCCTCCCAGCTAGCCAAATATCCACTTGCAGATTCCGCAAAAAGAGTGTTTCAAAACTGCTCCTTCAAAACGATGGTTTAGTTCTGTTACTTGAGTACATACATCACAAATAAGTTTCTGAGAATGCTTCTGTCTAGTTTTTATGGGAGGATATTTCCTTTTTCAACACAAGCCTGAATGCGCTCCGAATGGACACTTCCAGATATGACAAAAGGCGTGTTTCAAACCTGCTCTCTCAAAGGGAATGTTCAACTCTGTGACTTCAATGCAAACATCACAAAGAAGTTTCTGAGAATGCTGCTGTCTGCTTTTTACATGTATTCCCATTTCCAACGAAATCCTCAAAGCTGCCCTAATATCCACTTGCATATTCCACAAAAAGAGTGTTGCAAAACTGCTCTCTCAAAAGAAAGGTTCAACTCTGTTAGCTGAGTAGATCCATCACAGAAAAGTTTCTGACGTTGCTTCTATCTAGATTTTCTTGGAAGATATTTCCATTTTCACCGTCGTCCTGAAAGCGCTCCAAATGTCCACTTCCAGGGAATGCAGAAAGAGTGTTTCCAACCTGCTCTATAAAAGGGAATGTTCAACACTGGGACTTCAATCGAAACATCCCAACGAAGTTTCTGAGAATGCTTCTGTCTAGAGTTTATATGAAGCCATTCCCGTTTGCAACGAAATCCTCAAAGCTATCCAAATATCCTCTTGCAGATTTTACAAAAAGAGTGTTTCAAAACTGCTCTATCAAAAGAAAGGTTCAACTCTGTTAGTTGAGGGCACACATCACAAATAAATTTCTGAGAATGCTTCTGTCTAGTTTTTACGGGAAGATATTTCCTTTTTCACCATAGGCCTGAAAGCGCTCCAAATGTCCTCATCCAGATACTACAAAAAGAGTGTTTCCAACCTGCTCTATGAAAGGGAATGCTCAACTCTGTGAATTGAATGCAGACATCACAAAGAAGTTTCTGAGAATGCTGCTGTCTCCTTTTTATATGTAATCCCGTTTCCAACGAAATCCTCAAAGCTAGCCAAATATCCACTTGCAGATTCCACGAAAACAGTGTTTCAAAACTGCTCCTTCAAAACGATGGTTCAATCCTGTTAGTTGAGCAAACACATCACAAATAAGTTTCTGAGAATGCTTCCGTCTAGTTTTTATGGGAAGATATTTCCTTTTTCAACATAGGCCTGAAAGCGCTCCAAATGTCCACTTCCAGATACTACAAAAAGAGTGTTTCAAATCTGCTCTATGAATGGGAATGTTCTACTCTGTGACTTGAATGCAACATCCCAAAGAAGTTTCTGAGAATGCTTCTGTCTAGAGTTTATCTGAAGACATACCCGTTTCCAACGAAATCCTCAAAGCTATCCAAATATCCTCTTGCAGATTCTACAAAAAGAGTGTTTCAAAGATGCTCTTTGCAAAGAAAGGTTCAACTCTGTCAGTAGAAGGGACACATCAAGAACAAGTTTCTGAGAATGCTTCTGTCTAGTTTTTATGGGAAGATATTTCCTTTTTCACGTTAGGCCTGAAAGCACGCCAAATGTTCACTTATAGACACTACAAAAAGAGTGTTTCAAACCTGCTCTGTGAAAGGGAATGTTCAACACTGTGACTTCAATTGAAACATCCCAAAGAAGTTTCTGAGAATGCTTCTGTCTAGAGTTTATCTGAAGACATTCCCGTTTCCCAAGAAATCCTCAAAGCTATCCAAATATCCTCTTGCAGATTCTACAAAAAGAGTGTTTCAAAACTGCTCTTTGCAAAGAAAGGTTCAACTCTGTCAGTAGAGGGCACACATCACAAACAAGTTTCTGAGAATGCTTCTGTCTAGTTTTTATGGGAAGATATTTCCTTTTTCACCTCAGGCCTGAAAGCAATCCAAATGTTCACTTACAGACACTACAAAAAGAGTGTTTCAAACCTGCTCTGTGAAAGGGAGTGTTCAATTCTGTGACTTGAATGCAAACATCACAAAGTAGTTTCTGACAATGCTGCTGTCTGCTTTTTATACGTATTCCCGTTTCCAACGAAATCCTCCAAGCTGGCCTAATACCCACTTGCATATTCCACAAAAAGAGTGTTTCAAAACTGCTCTCTCAAAAGAAAGGTTCAACTCTGTTTGCTGAGTAGATACATCATGAAAAAAGTTCTGACATTGCTTCTATCTAGTTGTTATTGGAAGATATCTCCTTTTTCACCGTAGACCTGAAAGCGCTCCGAATGTCCACTTCCAGATAGTACAAAAAGAGTGTTTCAAACCTGCTCTATGAAAGGGAATGTTCAACACTGGGACTTCAATTGAAACATCCCAAAGCAGTTTCTGAGAATGCTTCTGTCTAGAAGTTTACATGAAGACATTCCCGTTTCCAACGAAATCCTCAAAGCTATCCAAATATCCTCTTGCAGATTTTACAAAAAGTGTGTTTCAGAACTGCTCTATCAAAACAAAGGTTCAACACTGTCAGTTGAGGGCACACATCACAAATAAGTTTCTGAGAATGCTTCTGTCTAGTTTTCATGGGAAGATATTTCCTTTTTCACCATAGGCCTGAAAGCGATCCAAATGTCCACATCCAGATACTACAAAAAGAGTGTTTCCAACCTGCTCTATGAAAGGGAATGTTCAACTCTGTGACTTGAATGCAAACATCACAAAGAAGTTTCTGAGAATGCTGCTGTCTGCTTTTTGTATGTAATCCCGTTTCCAACGAAATCCTCCCAGCTAGCCAAATATCCACTTGCAGATTCCGCAAAAAGAGTGTTTCAAAACTGCTCCTTCAAAACGATGGTTTAGTTCTGTTAGTTGAGTACATACATCACAGATAAGTTTCTGAGAATGCTTCTGTCTAGTTTTTATGGGAGGATATTTCCTTTTTCAACACAAGCCTGAATGCGCTCCGAATGGACACTTCCAGATATGACAAAAGGCGTGTTTCAAACCTGCTCTCTCAAAGGGAATGTTCAACTCTGTGACTTCAATGCAAACATCACAAAGAAGTTTCTGAGAATGCTGCTGTCTGCTTTTTACATGTATTCCCGTTTCCAACGAAATCCTCAAAGCTGCCCTAATATCCACTTGCATATTCCACAAAAAGAGTGTTGCAAAACTGCTCTCTCAAAAGAAAGGTTCAACTCTGTTAGCTGAGTAGATCCATCACAGAAAAGTTTCTGACGTTGCTTCTATCTAGATTTTCTTGGAAGATATTTCCATTTTCACCGTCGTCCTGAAAGCGCTCCAAATGTCCACTTCCAGGGAATGCAGAAAGAGTGTTTCCAACCTGCTCTATAAAAGGGAATGTTCAACACTGGGACTTCAATCGAAACATCCCAACGAAGTTTCTGAGAATGCTTCTGTCTAGAGTTTATATGAAGCCATTCCCGTTTGCAATGAAATCCTCAAAGCTATCCAAATATCCTCTTGCAGATTTTACAAAAAGAGTGTTTCAAAACTGCTCTATCAAAAGAAAGGTTCAACTCTGTTAGTTGAGGGCACACATCACAAATAAATTTCTGAGAATGCTTCTGTCTAGTTTTTACGGGAAGATATTTCCTTTTTCACCATACGCCTGAAAGCGCTCCAAATGTCCTCATCCAGATACTACAAAAAGAGTGTTTCCAACCTGCTCTATGAAAGGGAATGCTCAACTCTGTGAATTGAATGCAGACATCACAAAGAAGTTTCTGAGAATGCTGCTGTCTCCTTTTTATATGTAATCCCGTTTCCAACGAAATCCTCAAAGCTAGCCAAATATCCACTTGCAGATTCCACGAAAACAGTGTTTCAAAACTGCTCCTTCAAAACGATGGTTCAATTCTGTTAGTTGAGCAAACACATCACAAGTAAGTTTCTGAGAATGCTTCCGTCTAGTTTTTATGGGAAGATATTTCCTTTTTCAACATAGGCCTGAAGCGCTCCAAATGTCCACTTCCAGATACTACAAAAAGAGTGTTTCAAATCTGCTCTATGAATGGGAATGTTCTACTCTGTGACTTGAATGCAACATCCCAAAGAAGTTTCTGAGAATGCTTCTGTCTAGAGTTTATCTGAAGACATACCCGTTTCCAACGAAATCCTCCAAGCTATCCAAATATCCTCTTGCAGATTCTACAAAAAGTGTGTTTCAAAGCTGCTCTTTGCAAAGAAAGGTTCAACTCTGTCAGTAGAGGGCACACATCACGAACAAGTTTCTGAGAATGCTTCTGTCTAGTTTTTATGGGAAGATATTTCCTTTTTCACGTTAGGCCTGAAAGCACGCCAAATGTTCACTTATAGACACTACAAAAAGAGTGTTTCAAACCTGCTCTGTGAAAGGGAATGTTCAACACTGTGACTTCAATTGAAACATCCCAAAGAAGTTTCTGAGAATGCTTCTGTCTAGAGTTTATCTGAAGACATTCCCGTTTCCCAAGAAATCTTCAAAGCTATCCAAATATCCTCTTGCAGATTCTACAAAAAGAGTGTTTCAAAACTGCTCTTTGCAAAGAAAGGTTCAACTCTGTCAGTAGAGGGCACACATCACAAACAAGTTTCTGAGAATGCTTCTGTCTAGTTTTTATGGGAAGATATTTCCTTTTTCACCTTAGGCCTGAAAGCAATCCATATGTTCACTTACAGACACTACAAAAAGAGTGTTTCAAACCTGCTCTGTGAAAGGGAGTGTTCAATTCTGTGACTTGAATGCAAACATCACAAAGTAGTTTCTGACAATGCTGCTGTCTGCTTTTTATACGTATTCCCGTTTCCAACGAAATCCTCCAAGCTGGCCTAATACCCACTTGCATATTCCACAAAAAGAGTGTTTCAAAACTGCTCTCTCAAAAGAAAGGTTCAACTCTGTTTGCTGAGTAGATACATCATGAAAAAAGTTCTGACATTGCTTTCTATCTAGTTTTTATTGGAAGATATCTCCTTTTTCACCGTAGACCTGAAAGCGCTCCAAATGTCCACTTCCAGATAGTACAAAAAGAGTGTTTCAAACCTGCTCTATGAATGGGAATGTTCAACACTAGGACTTCAATTGAAACATCCCAAAGCAGTTTCTGAGAATGCTTCTGTGTAGAGTTTACATGAAGACATTCCCGTTTCCAACGAAATCCTCAAAGCTATCCAAATATCCTCTTGCAGATTTTACAAAAAGTGTGTTTCAGAACTGCTCTATCAAAACAAAGGTTCAACACTGTCAGTTGAGGGCACACATCACAAATAAGTTTCTGAGAATGCTTCTGTCTAGTTTTCATGGGAAGATATTTCCTTTTTCACCATAGGCCTGAAAGCGATCCAAATGTCCACATCCAGATACTACAAAAAGAGTGTTTCAAACCTGCTCTATGAAAGGGAATGTTCAACTCTGTGACTTGAATGCAAACATCACAAAGAAGTTTCTGAGAATGCTGCTGTCTGCTTTTTGTATGTAATCCCGTTTCCAACGAAATCCTCCCAGCTAGCCAAATATCCACTTGCAGATTCCGCAAAAAGAGTGTTTCAAAACTGCTCCTTCAAAACGATGGTTTAGTTCTGTTAGTTGAGTACATACATCACAGATAAGTTTCTGAGAATGCTTCTGTCTAGTTTTTATGGGAGGATATTTCCTTTTTCAACACAAGCCTGAATGCGCTCCGAATGGACACTTCCAGATATGACAAAAGGCGTGTTTCAAACCTGCTCTCTCAAAGGGAATGTTCAACTCTGTGACTTCAATGCAAACATCACAAAGAAGTTTCTGAGAATGCTGCTGTCTGCTTTTTACATGTATTCCCGTTTCCAACGAAATCCTCAAAGCTGCCCTAATAATCACTTGCATATTCCACAAAAAGAGTGTTGCAAAACTGCTCTCTCAAAAGAAAGGTTCAACTCTGTTAGCTGAGTAGATCCATCACAGAAAAGTTTCTGACATTGCTTCTATCTAGATTTTCTTGGAAGATATTTCCATTTTCACCGTCGTCCTGAAAGCGCTCCAAATGTCCACTTCCAGGGAATGCAGAAAGAGTGTTTCCAACCTGCTCTATAAAAGGGAATGTTCAACACTGGGACTTCAATCGAAACATCCCAACGAAGTTTCTGAGAATGCTTCTGTCTAGAGTTTATATGAAGCCATTCCCGTTTGCAATGAAATCCTCAAAGCTATCCAAATATCCTCTTGCAGATTTTACAAAAAGAGTGTTTCAAAACTGCTCTATCAAAAGAAAGGTTCAACTCTGTTAGTTGAGGGCACACATCACAAATAAATTTCTGAGAATGCTTCTGTCTAGTTTTTACGGGAAGATATTTCCTTTTTCACCATAGGCCTGAAAGCGCTCCAAATGTCCTCATCCAGATACTACAAAAAGAGTGTTTCCAACCTGCTCTATGAAAGGGAATGCTCAACTCTGTGACTTGAATGCAGACATCACAAAGAAGTTTCTGAGAATGCTGCTGTCTCCTTTTTATATGTAATCCCGTTTCCAACGAAATCCTCAAAGCTAGCCAAATATCCACTTGCAGATTCCACGAAAACAGTGTTTCAAAACTGCTCCTTCAAAACGATGGTTCAATTCTGTTAGTTGAGCAAACACATCACAAGTAAGTTTCTGAGAATGCTTCCGTCTAGTTTTTATGGGAAGATATTTCCTTTTTCAACATAGGCCTGAAAGCGCTCCAAATGTCCACTTCCAGATACTACAAAAAGAGTGTTTCAAATCTGCTCTATGAATGGGAATGTTCTACTCTGTGACTTGAATGCAACATCCCAAAGAAGTTTCTGAGAATGCTTCTGTCTAGAGTTTATCTGAAGACATACCCGTTTCCAACGAAATCCTCCAAGCTATCCAAATATCCTCTTGCAGATTCTACAAAAAGAGTGTTTCAAAGCTGCTCTTTGCAAAGAAAGGTTCAACTCTGTCAGTAGAGGGGACACATCAAGAACAAGTTTCTGAGAATGCTTCTGTCTAGTTTTTATGGGAAGATATTTCCTTTTTCACGTTAGGCCTGAAAGCACGCCAAATGTTCACTTATAGACACTACAAAAAGAGTGTTTCAAACCTGCTCTGTGAAAGGGAATGTTCAACACTGTGACTTCAATTGAAACATCCCAAAGAAGTTTCTGAGAATGCTTCTGTCTAGAGTTTATCTGAAGACATTCCCGTTTCCCAAGAAATCCTCAAAGCTATCCAAATATCCTCTTGCAGATTCTACAAAAAGAGTGTTTCAAAACTGCTCTTTGCAAAGAAAGGTTCAACTCTGTCAGTAGAGGGCACACATCAAGAACAAGTTTCTGAGAATGCTTCTGTCTAGTTTTTATGGGAAGATATTTCCTTTTTCACGTTACGCCTGAAAGCACGCCAAATGTTCACTTATAGACACTACAAAAAGAGAGTTTCAAACCTGCTCTGTGAAAGGGAGTGTTCAATTCTGTGACTTGAATGCAAACATCACAAAGTAGTTTCTGACAATGCTGCTGTCTGCTTTTTATACGTATTCCCATTTCCAACGAAATCCTCCAAGCTGGCCTAATACCCACTTGCATATTCCACAAAAGGAGTGTTTCAAAACTGCTCTCTCAAAAGAAAGGTTCAACTCTGTTTGCTGAGTAGATACATCATGAAAAAAGTTCTGACATTGCTTCTATCTAGTTTTTATTGGAAGATATCTCCTTTTTCACCGTAGACCTGAAAGCGCTCCAAATGTCCACTTCCAGATAGTACAAAAAGAGGGTTTCAAACCTGCTCTATGAAAGGGAATGTTCAACACTGGGACTTCAATTGAAACATCCCAAAGCAGTTTCTGAGAATGCTTCTGTCTAGAGTTTACATGAAGACACTCCCGTTTCCAACGAAATCCTCAAAGCTATCCAAATATCCTCTTGCAGATTTTACAAAAAGTGTGTTTCAGAACTGCTCTATCAAAACAAAGGTTCAACACTGTCAGTTGAGGGCACACATCACAAATAAGTTTCTGAGAATGCTTCTGTCTAGTTTTCATGGGAAGATATTTCCTTTTTCACCATAGGCCTGAAAGCGATCCAAATGTCCACATCCAGATACTACAAAAAGAGTGTTTCAAACCTGCTCTATGAAAGGGAATGTTCAACTCTGTGACTTGAATGCAAACATCACAAAGAAGTTTCTGAGAATGCTGCTGTCTCCTTTTTATATGTAATCCCGTTTCCAACGAAATCCTCAAAGCTAGCCAAATATCCACTTGCAGATTCCACGAAAACAGTGTTTCAAAACTGCTCCTTCCAAACGATGGTTCAATTCTGTTAGTTGAGCAAACACATCACAAGTAAGTTTCTGAGAATGCTTCCGTCTAGTTTTTATGGGAAGATATTTCCTTTTTCAACATAGGCCTGAAAGCGCTCCAAATGTCCACTTCCAGATACTACAAAAAGAGTGTTTCAAATCTGCTCTATGAATGGGAATGTTCTACTCTGTGACTTGAATGCAACATCCCAAAGAAGTTTCTGAGAATGCTTCTGTCTAGAGTTTATCTGAAGACATACCCGTTTCCAACGAAATCCTCCAAGCTATCCAAATATCCTCTTGCAGATTCTACAAAAAGAGTGTTTCAAAGCTGCTCTTTGCAAAGAAAGGTTCAACTCTGTCAGTAGAGGGCACACATCATGAACAAGTTTCTGAGAATGCTTCTGTCTAGTTTTTATGGGAAGATATTTCCTTTTTCACGTTAGGCCTGAAAGCACGCCAAATGTTCACTTATAGACACTACAAAAAGAGTGTTTCAAACCTGCTCTGTGAAAGGGAATGTTCAACACTGTGACTTCAATTGAAACATCCCAAAGAAGTTTCTGAGAATGCTTCCTGTCTAGAGTTTATCTGAAGACATTCCCGTTTCCCAAGAAATCTTCAAAGCTATCCAAATATCCTCTTGCAGATTCTACAAAAAGAGTGTTTCAAAACTGCTCTTTGCAAAGAAAGGTTCAACTCTGTCAGTAGAGGGCACACATCACAAACAAGTTTCTGAGAATGCTTCTGTCTAGTTTTTATGGGAAGATATTTCCTTTTTCACCTTAGGCCTGAAAGCAATCCATATGTTCACTTACAGACACTACAAAAAGAGTGTTTCAAACCTGCTCTGTGAAAGGGAGTGTTCAATTCTGTGACTTGAATGCAAACATCACAAAGTAGTTTCTGACAATGCTGCTGTCTGCTTTTTATACGTATTCCCGTTTCCAACGAAATCCTCCAAGCTGGCCTAATACCCACTTGCATATTCCACAAAAAGAGTGTTTCAAAACTGCTCTCTCAAAAGAAAGGTTCAACTCTGTGTGCTGAGTAGATACATCATGAAAAAAGTTCTGACATTGCTTCTATCTAGTTTTTATTGGAAGATATCTCCTTTTTCACCGTAGACCTGAAAGCGCTCCAAATGTCCACTTCCAGATAGTACAAAAAGAGTGTTTCAAACCTGCTCTATGAATGGGAATGTTCAACACTGGGACTTCAATTGAAACATCCCAAAGCAGTTTCTGAGAATGCTTCTGTGTAGAGTTTACATGAAGACATTCCCGTTTCCAACGAAATCCTCAAAGCTATCCAAATATCCTCTTGCAGATTTTACAAAAAGTGTGTTTCAGAACTGCTCTATCAAAACAAAGGTTCAACACTGTCAGTTGAGGGCACACATCACAAATAAGTTTCTGAGAATGCTTCTGTCTAGTTTTCATGGGAAGATATTTCCTTTTTCACCATAGGCCTGAAAGCGATCCAAATGTCCACATCCAGATACTACAAAAAGAGTGTTTCAAACCTGCTCTATGAAAGGGAATGTTCAACTCTGTGACTTGAATGCAAACATCACAAAGAAGTTTCTGAGAATGCTGCTGTCTGCTTTTTGTATGTAATCCCGTTTCCAACGAAATCCTCCCAGCTAGCCAAATATCCACTTGCAGATTCCGCAAAAAGAGTGTTTCAAAACTGCTCCTTCAAAACGATGGTTTAGTTCTGTTAGTTGAGTACATACATCACAGATAAGTTTCTGAGAATGCTTCTGTCTAGTTTTTATGGGAGGATATTTCCTTTTTCAACACAAGCCTGAATGCGCTCCGAATGGACACTTCCAGATATGACAAAAGGCGTGTTTCAAACCTGCTCTCTCAAAGGGAATGTTCAACTCTGTGACTTCAATGCAAACATCACAAAGAAGTTTCTGAGAATGCTGCTGTCTGCTTTTTACATGTATTCCCGTTTCCAACGAAATCCTCAAAGCTGCCCTAATATCCACTTGCATATTCCACAAAAAGAGTGTTGCAAAACTGCTCTCTCAAAAGAAAGGTTCAACTCTGTTAGCTGAGTAGATCCATCACAGAAAAGTTTCTGACGTTGCTTCTATCTAGATTTTCTTGGAAGATATTTCCATTTTCACCGTCGTCCTGAAAGCGCTCCAAATGTCCACTTCCAGGGAATGCAGAAAGAGTGTTTCCAACCTGCTCTATAAAAGGGAATGTTCAACACTGGGACTTCAATCGAAACATCCCAACGAAGTTTCTGAGAATGCTTCTGTCTAGAGTTTATATGAAGCCATTCCCGTTTGCAATGAAATCCTCAAAGCTATCCAAATATCCTCTTGCAGATTTTACAAAAAGAGTGTTTCAAAACTGCTCTATCAAAAGAAAGGTTCAACTCTGTTAGTTGAGGGCACACATCACAAATAAATTTCTGAGAATGCTTCTGTCTAGTTTTTACGGGAAGATATTTCCTTTTTCACCATACGCCTGAAAGCGCTCCAAATGTCCTCATCCAGATACTACAAAAAGAGTGTTTCCAACCTGCTCTATGAAAGGGAATGCTCAACTCTGTGACTTGAATGCAGACATCACAAAGAAGTTTCTGAGAATGCTGCTGTCTCCTTTTTATATGTAATCCCGTTTCCAACGAAATCCTCAAAGCTAGCCAAATATCCACTTGCAGATTCCACGAAAACAGTGTTTCAAAACTGCTCCTTCAAAACGATGGTTCAATTCTGTTAGTTGAGCAAACACATCACAAGTAAGTTTCTGAGAATGCTTCCGTCTAGTTTTTATGGGAAGATATTTCCTTTTTCAACATAGGCCTGAAAGCGCTCCAAATGTCCACTTCCAGATACTACAAAAAGAGTGTTTCAAATCTGCTCTATGAATGGGAATGTTCTACTCTGTGACTTGAATGCAACATCCCAAAGAAGTTTCTGAGAATGCTTCTGTCTAGAGTTTATCTGAAGACATACCCGTTTCCAACGAAATCCTCAAAGCTATCCAAATATCCTCTGGCAGATTCTACAAAAAGAGTGTTTCAAAGCTGCTCTTTGCAAAGAAAGGTTCAACTCTGTCAGTAGAGGGCACACATCACGAACAAGTTTCTGAGAATGCTTCTGTCTAGTTTTTATGGGAAGATATTTCCTTTTTCACGTTAGGCCTGAAAGCACGCCAAATGTTCACTTATAGACACTACAAAAAGAGTGTTTCAAACCTGCTCTGTGAAAGGGAATGTTCAACACTGTGACTTCAATTGAAACATCCCAAAGAAGTTTCTGAGAATGCTTCTGTCTAGAGTTTATCTGAAGACATTCCCGTTTCCCAAGAAATCCTCAAAGCTATCCAAATATCCTCTTGCAGATTCTACAAAAAGAGTGTTTCAAAACTGCTCTTTGCAAAGAAAGGTTCAACTCTGTCAGTAGAGGGCACACATCACAAACAAGTTTCTGAGAATGCTTCTGTCTAGTTTTTATGGGAAGATATTTCCTTTTTCACCTTAGGCCTGAAAGCAATCCAAATGTTCACTTACAGACACTACAAAAAGAGTGTTTCAAACCTGCTCTGTGAAAGGGAGTGTTCAATTCTGTGACTTGAATGCAAACATCACAAAGTAGTTTCTGACAATGCTGCTGTCTGCTTTTTATACGTATTCCCGTTTCCAACGAAATCCTCCAAGCTGGCCTAATACCCACTTGCATATTCCACAAAAAGAGTGTTGCAAAACTGCTCTCTCAAAAGAAAGCTTCAACTCTGTTTGCTGAGTAGATACATCATGAAAAAAGTTCTGACATTGCTTCTATCTAGTTTTTATTGGAAGATATCTCCTTTTTCACCGTAGACCTGAAAGCGCTCCAAATGTCCACTTCCAGATAGTACAAAAAGAGTGTTTCAAACCTGCTCTATGAAAGGGAATGTTCAACACTGGGACTTCAATTGAAACATCCCAAAGCAGTTTCTGAGAATGCTTCTGTCTAGAGTTTACATGAAGACATTCCCGTTTCCAACGAAATCCTCAAATCTATCCAAATATCCTCTTGCAGATTTTACAAAAAGTGTGTTTCAGAACTGCTCTATCAAAACAAAGGTTCAACACTGTCAGTTGAGGGCACACATCACAAATAAGTTTCTGAGAATGCTTCTGTCTAGTTTTCATGGGAAGATATTTCCTTTTTCACCATAGGCCTGAAAGCGATCCAAATGTCCACATCCAGATACTACAAAAAGAGTGTTTCAAACCTGCTCTATGAAAGGGAATGTTCAACTCTGTGACTTGAATGCAAACATCACAAAGAAGTTTCTGAGAATGCTGCTCTCTGCTTTTTGTATGTAATCCCGTTTCCAACGAAATCCTCCCAGCTAGCCAAATATCCACTTGCAGATTCCGCAAAAAGAGTGTTTCAAAACTGCTCCTTCAAAACGATGGTTTAGTTCTGTTAGTTGAGTACATACATCACAGATAAGTTTCTGAGAATGCTTCTGTCTAGTTTTTATGGGAGGATATTTCCTTTTTCAACACAAGCCTGAATGCGCTCCGAATGGACACTTCCAGATATGACAAAAGGCGTGTTTCAAACCTGCTCTCTCAAAGGGAATGTTCAACTCTGTGACTTCAATGCAAACATCACAAAGAAGTTTCTGAGAATGCTGCTGTCTGCTTTTTACATGTATTCCCGTTTCCAACGAAATCCTCAAAGCTGCCCTAATATCCACTTGCATATTCCACAAAAAGAGTGTTGCAAAACTGCTCTCTCAAAAGAAAGGTTCAACTCTGTTAGCTGAGTAGATCCATCACATAAAAGTTTCTGACATTGCTTCTATCTAGATTTTCTTGGAAGATATTTCCATTTTCACCGTCGTCCTGAAAGCGCTCCAAATGTCCACTTCCAGGGAATGCAGAAAGAGTGTTTCCAACCTGCTCTATAAAAGGGAATGTTCAACACTGGGACTTCAATCGAAACATCCCAACGAAGTTTCTGAGAATGCTTCTGTCTAGAGTTTATATGAAGCCATTCCCGTTTGCAATGAAATCCTCAAAGCTATCCAAATATCCTCTTGCAGATTTTACAAAAAGAGTGTTTCAAAACTGCTCTATCAAAAGAAAGGTTCAACTCTGTTAGTTGAGGGCACACATCACAAATAAATTTCTGAGAATGCTTCTGTCTAGTTTTTACGGGAAGATATTTCCTTTTTCACCATAGGCCTGAAAGCGCTCCAAATGTCCTCATCCAGATACTACAAAAAGAGTGTTTCCAACCTGCTCTATGAAAGGGAATGCTCAACTCTGTGACTTGAATGCAGACATCACAAAGAAGTTTCCTGAGAATGCGCTGTCTCCTTTGTATATGTAATCCCGTTTCCAACGAAATCCTCAAAGCTAGCCAAATATCCACTTGCAGATTCCACGAAAACAGTGTTTCAAAACTGCTCCTTCAAAACGATGGTTCAATTCTGTTAGTTGAGCAAACACATCACAAGTAAGTTTCTGAGAATGCTTCCGTCTAGTTTTTATGGGAAGATATTTCCTTTTTCAACATAGGCCTGAAAGCGCTCCAAATGTCCACTTCCAGATACTACAAAAAGAGTGTTTCAAATCTGCTCTATGAATGGGAATGTTCTACTCTGTGACTTGAATGCAACATCCCAAAGAAGTTTCTGAGAATGCTTCTGTCTAGAGTTTATCTGAAGACATACCCGTTTCCAACGAAATCCTCAAAGCTATCCAAATATCCTCTTGCAGATTCTACAAAAAGAGTGTTTCAAAGCTGCTCTTTGCAAAGAAAGGTTCAACTCTGTCAGTAGAGGGCACACATCACGAACAAGTTTCTGAGAATGCTTCTGTCTAGTTTTTATGGGAAGATATTTCCTTTTTCACGTTAGGCCTGAAAGCACGCCAAATGTTCAATTATAGACACTACAAAAAGAGTGTTTCAAACCTGCTCTGTGAAAGGGAATGTTCAACACTGTGACTTCAATTGAAACATCCCAAAGAAGTTTGCTGAGAATGCTTCTGTCTAGAGTTTACATGAAGACATTCCCGTTTCCAACGAAATCCTCAAAGCTATCCAAATATCCTCTTGCAGATTTTACAAAAAGTGTGTTTCAGAACTGCTCTATCAAAACAAAGGTTCAACACTGTCAGTTGAGGGCACACATCACAAATAAGTTTCTGAGAATGCTTCTGTCTAGTTTTCATGGGAAGATATTTCCTTTTTCACCATAGGCCTGAAAGCGATCCAAATGTCCACATCCAGATACTACAAAAAGAGTGTTTCAAACCTGCTCTATGAAAGGGAATGTTCAACTCTGTGACTTGAATGCAAACATCACAAAGAAGTTTCTGAGAATGCTGCTGTCTGCTTTTTGTATGTAATCCCGTTTCCAACGAAATCCTCCCAGCTAGCCAAATATCCACTTGCAGATTCCGCAAAAAGAGTGTTTCAAAACTGCTCCTTCAAAACGATGGTTTAGTTCTGTTAGTTGAGTACATATATCACAAATAAGTTTCTGAGAATGCTTCTGTCTAGTTTTTATGGGAGGATATTTCCTTTTTCAACACAAGCCTGAATGCGCTCCGAATGGACACTTCCAGATATGACAAAAGGCGTGTTTCAAACCTGCTCTCTCAAAGGGAATGTTCAACTCTGTGACTTCAATGCAAACATCACAAAGAAGTTTCTGAGAATGCTGCTGTCTGCTTTTTACATGTATTCCCGTTTCCAACGAAATCCTCAAAGCTGCCCTAATATCCACTTGCATATTCCACAAAAAGAGTGTTGCAAAACTGCTCTCTCAAAAGAAAGGTTCAACTCTGTTAGCTGAGTAGATCCATCACATAAAAGTTTCTGACATTGCTTCTATCTAGATTTTCTTGGAAGATATTTCCATTTTCACCGTCGTCCTGAAAGCGCTCCAAATGTCCACTTCCAGGGAATGCAGAAAGAGTGTTTCCAACCTGCTCTATAAAAGGGAATGTTCAACACTGGGACTTCAATCGAAACATCCCAACGAAGTTTCTGAGAATGCTTCTGTCTAGAGTTTATATGAAGCCATTCCCGTTCGCAACGAAATCCTCAAAGCTATCCAAATATCCTCTTGCAGATTTTACAAAAAGAGTGTTTCAAAACTGCTCTATCAAAAGAAAGGTTCAACTCTGTTAGTTGAGGGCACACATCACAAATAAACTTCTGAGAATGCTTCTGTCTAGTTTTTACGGGAAGATATTTCCTTTTTCACCATACGCCTGAAAGCGCTCCAAATGTCCTCATCCAGATACTACAAAAAGAGTGTTTCCAACCTGCTCTATGAAAGGGAATGCTCAACTCTGTGAATTGAATGCAGACATCACAAAGAAGTTTCTGAGAATGCTGCTGTCTCCTTTTTATATGTAATCCCGTTTCCAACGAAATCCTCAAAGCTAGCCAAATATCCACTTGCAGATTCCACGAAAACAGTGTTTCAAAACTGCTCCTTCAAAACGATGGTTCAATCCTGTTAGTTGAGCAAACACATCACAAATAAGTTTCTGAGAATGCTTCCGTCTAGTTTTTATGGGAAGATATTTCCTTTTTCAACATAGGCCTGAAAGCGCTCCAAATGTCCACTTCCAGATACTACAAAAAGAGTGTTTCAAATCTGCTCTATGAATGGGAATGTTCTACTCTGTGACTTGAATGCAACATCCCAAAGAAGTTTCTGAGAATGCTTCTGTCTAGAGTTTATCTGAAGACATACCCGTTTCCAACGAAATCCTCAAAGCTATCCAAATATCCTCTTGCAGATTCTACAAAAAGAGTGTTTCAAAGCTCCTCTTTGCAAAGAAAGGTTCAACTCTGTCAGTAGAGGGCACACATCACAAACAAGTTTCTGAGAATGCTTCTGTCTAGTTTTTATGGGAAGATATTTCCTTTTTCACGTTAGGCCTGAAAGCACGCCAAATGTTCACTTATAGACACTACAAAAAGAGTGTTTCAAACCTGCTCTGTGAAAGGGAGTGTTCAATTCTGTGACTTGAATGCAAACATCACAAAGTAGTTTCTGACAATGCTGCTGTCTGCTTTTTATACGTATTCCCGTTTCCAACGAAATCCTCCAAGCTGGCCTAATACCCACTTGCATATTCCACAAAAAGAGTGTTTCAAAACTGCTCTCTCAAAAGAAAGGTTCAACTCTGTTTGCTGAGTAGATACATCATGAAAAAAGTTCTGACATTGCTTCTATCTAGTTTTTATTGGAAGATATCTCCTTTTTCACCGTAGACCTGAAAGCGCTCCAAATGTCCACTTCCAGATAGTAGAAAAAGAGTGTTTCAAACCTGCTCTATGAATGGGAATGTTCAACACTGGGACTTCAATTGAAACATCCCAAAGCAGTTTCTGAGAATGCTTCTGTGTAGAGTTTACATGAAGACATTCCCGTTTCCAACGAAATCCTCAAAGCTATCCAAATATCCTCTTGCAGATTTTACAAAAAGTGTGTTTCAGAAGTGCTCTATCAAAACAAAGGTTCAACACTGTCAGTTGAGGGCACACATCACAAATAAGTTTCTGAGAATGCTTCTGTCTAGTTTTCATGGGAAGATATTTCCTTTTTCACCATAGGCCTGAAAGCGATCCAAATGTCCACATCCAGATACTACAAAAAGAGTGTTTCAAACCTGCTCTATGAAAGGGAATGTTCAACTCTGTGACTTGAATGCAAACATCACAAAGAAGTTTCTGAGAATGCTGCTGTCTGCTTTTTGTATGTAATCCCGTTTCCAACGAAATCCTCCCAGCTAGCCAAATATCCACTTGCAGATTCCGCAAAAAGAGTGTTTCAAAACTGCTCCTTCAAAACGATGGTTTAGTTCTGTTAGTTGAGTACATACATCACAGATAAGTTTCTGAGAATGCTTCTGTCTAGTTTTTATGGGAGGATATTTCCTTTTTCAACACAAGCCTGAATGCGCTCCGAATGGACACTTCCAGATATGACAAAAGGCGTGTTTCAAACCTGCTCTCTCAAAGGGAATGTTCAACTCTGTGACTTCAATGCAAACATCACAAAGAAGTTTCTGAGAATGCTGCTGTCTGCTTTTTACATGTATTCCCGTTTCCAACGAAATCCTCAAAGCTGCCCTAATATCCACTTGCATATTCCACAAAAAGAGTGTTGCAAAACTGCTCTCTCAAAAGAAAGGTTCAACTCTGTTAGCTGAGTAGATCCATCACAGAAAAGTTTCTGACGTTGCTTCTATCTAGATTTTCTTGGAAGATATTTCCATTTTCACCGTCGTCCTGAAAGCGCTCCAAATGTCCACTTCCAGGGAATGCAGAAAGAGTGTTTCCAACCTGCTCTATAAAAGGGAATGTTCAACACTGGGACTTCAATCGAAACATCCCAACGAAGTTTCTGAGAATGCTTCTGTCTAGAGTTTATATGAAGCCATTCCCGTTTGCAACGAAATCCTCAAAGCTATCCAAATATCCTCTTGCAGATTTTACAAAAAGAGTGTTTCAAAACTGCTCTATCAAAAGAAAGGTTCAACTCTGTTAGTTGAGGGCACACATCACAAATAAATTTCTGAGAATGCTTCTGTCTAGTTTTTACGGGAAGATATTTCCTTTTTCACCATACGCCTGAAAGCGCTCCAAATGTCCTCATCCAGATACTACAAAAAGAGTGTTTCCAACCTGCTCTATGAAAGGGAATGCTCAACTCTGTGACTTGAATGCAGACATCACAAAGAAGTTTCTGAGAATGCTGCTGTCTCCTTTTTATATGTAATCCCGTTTCCAACGAAATCCTCAAAGCTAGCCAAATATCCACTTGCAGATTCCACGAAAACAGTGTTTCAAAACTGCTCCTTCAAAACGATGGTTCAATTCTGTTAGTTGAGCAAACACATCACAAGTAAGTTTCTGAGAATGCTTCCGTCTAGTTTTTATGGGAAGATATTTCCTTTTTCAACATAGGCCTGAAAGCGCTCCAAATGTCCACTTCCAGATACTACAAAAAGAGTGTTTCAAATCTGCTGTATGAATGGGAATGTTCTACTCTGTGACTTGAATGCAACATCCCAAAGAAGTTTCTGAGAATGCTTCTGTCTAGAGTTTATCTGAAGACATACCCGTTTCCAACGAAATCCTCAAAGCTATCCAAATATCCTCTTGCAGATACTACAAAAAGAGTGTTTCAAAGCTGCTCTTTGCAAAGAAAGGTTCAACTCTGTCAGTAGAGGGCACACATCACGAACAAGTTTCTGAGAATGCTTCTGTCTAGTTTTTATGGGAAGTATATTTCCTTTTTCACCTTAGGCCTGAAAGCACGCCAAATGTTCACTTATAGACACTACAAAAAGAGTGTTTCAAACCTGCTCTGTGAAAGGGAATGTTCAACACTGTGACTTCAATTGAAACATCCCAAAGAAGTTTCTGAGAATGCTTCTGTCTAGAGTTTATCTGAAGACATTCCCGTTTCCCAAGAAATCCTCAAAGCTATCCAAATATCCTCTTGCAGATTCTACAAAAAGAGTGTTTCAAAACTGGTCTTTGCAAAGAAAGGTTCAACTCTGTCAGTAGAGGGCACACATCACAAACAAGTTTCTGAGAATGCTTCTGTCTAGTTTTTATGGGAAGATATTTCCTTTTTCACCTTAGGCCTGAAAGCAATCCAAATGTTCACTTACAGACACTACAAAAAGAGTGTTTCAAACCTGCTCTGTGAAAGGGAGTGTTCAATTCTGTGACTTGAATGCAAACATCACAAAGTAGTTTCTGACAATGCTGCTGTCTGCTTTTTATACGTATTCCCGTTTCCAACGAAATCCTCCAAGCTGGCCTAATACCCACTTGCATATTCCACAAAAAGAGTGTTTCAAAACTGCTCTCTCAAAAGAAAGGTTCAACTCTGTTTGCTGAGTAGATACATCATGAAAAAAGTTCTGACATTGCTTCTATCTAGTTTTTATTGGAAGATATCTCCTTTTTCACCGTAGACCTGAAAGCGCTCCAAATGTCCACTTCCAGATAGTACAAAAAGAGTGTTTCAAACCTGCTCTATGAAAGGGAATGTTCAACACTGGGACTTCAATTGAAACATCCCAAAGCAGTTTCTGAGAATGCTTCTGTCTAGAGTTTACATGAAGACATTCCCGTTTCCAACGAAATCCTCCAAGCTATCCAAATATCCTCTTGCAGATTTTACAAAAAGTGTGTTTCAGAACTGCTCTATCAAAACAAAGGTTCAACACTGTCAGTTGAGGGCACACATCACAAATAAGTTTCTGAGAATGCTTCTGTCTAGTTTTCATGGGAAGATATTTCCTTTTTCACCATAGGCCTGAAAGCGATCCAAATGTCCACATCCAGATACTACAAAAAGAGTGTTTCCAACCTGCTCTATGAAAGGGAATGCTCAACTCTGTGAATTGAATGCAAACATCACAAAGAAGTTTCTGAGAATGCTGCTGTCTCCTTTTTATATGTAATCCCGTTTCCAACGAAATCCTCAAAGCTAGCCAAATATCCACTTGCAGATTCCACGAAAACAGTGTTTCAAAACTGCTCCTTCAAAACGATGGTTCAATCCTGTTAGTTGAGCAAACACATCACAAATAAGTTTCTGAGAATGCTTCCGTCTAGTTTTTATGGGAAGATATTTCCTTTTTCAACATAGGCCTGAAAGCGCTCCAAATGTCCACTTCCAGATACTACAAAAAGAGTGTTTCAAATCTGCTCTATGAATGGGAATGTTCTACTCTGTGACTTGAATGCAACATCCCAAAGAAGTTTCTGAGAATGCTTCTGTCTAGAGTTTATCTGAAGACATACCCGTTTCCAACGAAATCCTCAAAGCTATCCAAATATCCTCTTGCAGATTCTACAAAAAGTGTGTTTCAAAGCTGCTCTTTGCAAAGAAAGGTTCAACTCTGTCAGTAGAGGGCACACATCACGAACAAGTTTCTGAGAATGCTTCTGTCTAGTTTTTATGGGAAGATATTTCCTTTTTCACGTTACGCCTGAAAGCACGCCAAATGTTC
Source organism: Homo sapiens (assembly GCF_000001405.40). Lineage (NCBI taxonomy): Eukaryota > Metazoa > Chordata > Mammalia > Primates > Hominidae > Homo > Homo sapiens. The sequence continues at coordinate 27,130,424 of NC_000020.11, read as the reverse complement.
ACTTATAGACACTACAAAAAGAGTGTTTCAAACCTGCTCTGTGAAAGGGAATGTTCAACACTGTGACTTCAATTGAAACATCCCAAAGAAGTTTCTGAGAATGCTTCTGTCTAGAGTTTATCTGAAGACATTCCCGTTTCCCAAGAAATCCTCAAAGCTATCCAAATATCCTCTTGCAGATTCTACAAAAAGAGTGTTTCAAAACTGCTCTTTGCAAAGAAAGGTTCAACTCTGTCAGTAGAGGGCACACATCACAAACAAGTTTGCTGAGAATGCTTCTGTCTAGTTTTTATGGGCAAGATATTTCCTTTTTCACCTTAGGCCTGAAAGCAATCCATATGTTCACTTACAGACACTACAAAAAGAGTGTTTCAAACCTGCTCTGTGAAAGGGAGTGTTCAATTCTGTGACTTGAATGCAAACATCACAAAGTAGTTTCTGACAATGCTGCTGTCTGCTTTTTATACGTATTCCCGTTTCCAACGAAATCCTCCAAGCTGGCCTAATACCCACTTGCATATTCCACAAAAAGAGTGTTTCAAAACTGCTCTCTCAAAAGAAAGGTTCAACTCTGTTTGCTGAGTAGATACATCATGAAAAAAGTTCTGACATTGCTTCTATCTAGTTTTTATTGGAAGATATCTCCTTTTTCACCGTAGACCTGAAAGCGCTCCAAATGTCCACTTCCAGATAGTACAAAAAGAGTGTTTCAAACCTGCTCTATGAATGGGAATGTTCAACACTGGGACTTCAATTGAAACATCCCAAAGCAGTTTCTGAGAATGCTTCTGTCTAGAGTTTACATGAAGACATTCCCGTTTCCAACGAAATCCTCAAAGCTATCCAAATATCCTCTTGCAGATTTTACAAAAAGTGTGTTTCAGAACTGCTCTATCAAAACAAAGGTTCAACACTGTCAGTTGAGGGCACACATCACAAATAAGTTTCTGAGAATGCTTCTGTCTAGTTTTCATGGGAAGATATTTCCTTTTTCACCATAGGCCTGAAAGCGATCCAAATGTCCACATCCAGATACTACAAAAAGAGTGTTTCCAACCTGCTCTATGAAAGGGAATGCTCAACTCTGTGAATTGAATGCAGACATCACAAAGAAGTTTCTGAGAATGCTGCTGTCTCCTTTTTATATGTAATCCCGTTTCCAACGAAATCCTCAAAGCTAGCCAAATATCCACTTGCAGATTCCACGAAAACAGTGTTTCAAAACTGCTCCTTCAAAACGATGGTTCAATCCTGTTAGTTGAGCAAACACATCACAATTAAGTTTCTGAGAATGCTTCCGTCTAGTTTTTATGGGAAGATATTTCCTTTTTCAACATAGGCCTGAAAGCGCTCCAAATGTCCACTTCCAGATACTACAAAAAGAGTGTTTCAAATCTGCTCTATGAATGGGAATGTTCTACTCTGTGACTTGAATGCAACATCCCAAAGAAGTTTCTGAGAATGCTTCTGTCTAGAGTTTATCTGAAGACATACCCGTTTCCAACGAAATCCTCCAAGCTATCCAAATATCCTCTTGCAGATTCTACAAAAAGAGTGTTTCAAAGCTGCTCTTTGCAAAGAAAGGTTCAACTCTGTCAGTAGAGGGGACACATCAAGAACAAGTTTCTGAGAATGCTTCTGTCTAGTTTTTATGGGAAGATATTTCCTTTTTCACGTTACGCCTGAAAGCACGCCAAATGTTCACTTATAGACACTACAAAAAGAGTGTTTCAAACCTGCTCTGTGAAAGGGAATGTTCAACACTGTGACTTCAATTGAAACATCCCAAAGAAGTTTCTGAGAATGCTTCTGTCTAGAGTTTATCTGAAGACATTCCCGTTTCCCAAGAAATCCTCAAAGCTATCCAAATATCCTCTTGCAGATTCTACAAAAAGAGTGTTTCAAAACTGCTCTTTGCAAAGAAAGGTTCAACTCTGTCAGTAGAGGGCACACATCACAAACAAGTTTCTGAGAATGCTTCTGTCTAGTTTTTATGGGAAGATATTTCCTTTTTCACCTTAGGCCTGAAAGCAATCCAAATGTTCACTTACAGACACTACAAAAAGAGTGTTTCAAACCTGCTCTGTGAAAGGGAGTGTTCAATTCTGTGACTTGAATGCAAACATCACAAAGTAGTTTCTGACAATGCTGCTGTCTGCTTTTTATACGTATTCCCGTTTCCAACGAAATCCTCCAAGCTGGCCTAATACCCACTTGCATATTCCACAAAAAGAGTGTTTCAAAACTGCTCTCTCAAAAGAAAGGTTCAACTCTGTTTGCTGAGTAGATACATCATGAAAAAAGTTCTGACATTGCTTCTATCTAGTTTTTATTGGAAGATATCTCCTTTTTCACCGTAGACCTGAAAGCGCTCCAAATGTCCACTTCCAGATAGTACAAAAAGAGTGTTTCAAACCTGCTCTATGAAAGGGAATGTTCAACACTGGGACTTCAATTGAAACATCCCAAAGCAGTTTCTGAGAATGCTTCTGTCCAGAGTTTACATGAAGACATTCCCGTTTCCAACGAAATCCTCAAAGCTATCCAAATATCCTCTTGCAGATTTTACAAAAAGTGTGTTTCAGAACTGCTCTATCAAAACAAAGGTTCAACACTGTCAGTTGAGGGCACACATCACAAAGAAGTTTCTGAGAATGCTGCTGTCTGCTTTTTATATGTAATCCCGTTTCCAACGAAATCCTCAAAGCTAGCCAAATATCCACTTGCAGATTCCACGAAAACAGTGTTTCAAAACTGCTCCTTCAAAACGATGGTTCAATCCTGTTAGTTGAGCAAACACATCACAATTAAGTTTCTGAGAATGCTGCTGTCTGCTTTTTGTATGTAATCCCGTTTCCAACGAAATCCTCCCAGCTAGCCAAATATCCACTTGCAGATTCCGCAAAAAGAGTGTTTCAAAACTGCTCCTTCAAAACGATGGTTTAGTTCTGTTAGTTGAGTACATACATCACAGATAAGTTTCTGAGAATGCTTCTGTCTAGTTTTTATGGGAGGATATTTCCTTTTTCAACACAAGCCTGAATGCGCTCCGAATGGACACTTCCAGATATGACAAAAGGCGTGTTTCAAACCTGCTCTCTCAAAGGGAATGTTCAACTCTGTGACTTCAATACAAACATCACAAAGAAGTTTCTGAGAATGCTGCTGTCTGCTTTTTACATGTATTCCCGTTTCCAACGAAATCCTCAAAGCTGCCCTAATATCCACTTGCATATTCCACAAAAAGAGTGTTGCAAAACTGCTCTCTCAAAAGAAAGGTTCAACTCTGTTAGCTGAGTAGATCCATCACATAAAAGTTTCTGACGTTGCTTCTATCTAGATTTTATTGGAAGATATTTCCATTTTCACCGTCGTCCTGAAAGCGCTCCAAATGTCCACTTCCAGGGAATGCAGAAAGAGTGTTTCCAACCTGCTCTATAAAAGGGAATGTTCAACACTGGGTCTTCAATCGAAACATCCCAACGAAGTTTCTGAGAATGCTTCTGTCTAGAGTTTATATGAAGCCATTCCCGTTTGCAATGAAATCCTCAAAGCTATCCAAATATCCTCTTGCAGATTTTACAAAAAGAGTGTTTCAAAACTGCTCTATCAAAAGAAAGGTTCAACTCTGTTAGTTGAGGGCACACATCACAAATAAATTTCTGAGAATGCTTCTGTCTAGTTTTTACGGGAAGATATTTCCTTTTTCACCATAGGCCTGAAAGCGCTCCAAATGTCCTCATCCAGATACTACAAAAAGAGTGTTTCCAACCTGCTCTATGAAAGGGAATGCTCAACTCTGTGAATTGAATGCAGACATCACAAAGAAGTTTCTGAGAATGCTGCTGTCTCCTTTTTATATGTAATCCCGTTTCCAACGAAATCCTCAAAGCTAGCCAAATATCCACTTGCAGATTCCACGAAAACAGTGTTTCAAAACTGCTCCTTTAAAACGATGGTTCAATTCTGTTAGTTGAGCAAACACATCACAAGTAAGTTTCTGAGAATGCTTCCGTCTAGTTTTTATGGGAAGATATTTCCTTTTTCAACATAGGCCTGAAAGCGCTCCAAATGTCCACTTCCAGATACTACAAAAAGAGTGTTTCAAACCTGCTCTATGAATGGGAATGTTCTACTCTGTGACTTGAATGCAACATCCCAATGAAGTTTCTGAGAATGTTTCTGTCTAGAGTTTATCTGAAGACATACCCGTTTCCAACGAAATCCTCCAAGCTATCCAAATATCCTCTTGCAGATTCTACAAAAAGAGTGTTTCAAAGCTGCTCTTTGCAAAGAAAGGTTCAACTCTGTCAGTAGAGGGCACACATCACGAACAAGTTTCTGAGAATGCTTCTGTCTAGTTTTTATGGGAAGATATTTCCTTTTTCACGTTAGGCCTGAAAGCACGCCAAATGTTCACTTATAGACACTACAAAAAGAGTGTTTCAAACCTGCTCTGTGAAAGGGAATGTTCAACACTGTGACTTCAATTGACACATCCCAAAGAAGTTTCTGAGAATGCTTCTGTCTAGAGTTTATCTGAAGACATTCCCGTTTCCCAAGAAATCCTCAAAGCTATCCAAATATCCTCTTGCAGATTCTACAAAAAGAGTGTTTCAAAACTGCTCTTTGCAAAGAAAGGTTCAACTCTGTCAGTAGAGGGCACACATCACAAACAAGTTTCTGAGAATGCTTCTGTCTAGTTTTTATGGGAAGATATTTCCTTTTTCACCTTAGGCCTGAAAGCAATCCAAATGTTCACTTACAGACACTACAAAAAGAGAGTTTCAAACCTGCTCTGTGAAAGGGAGTGTTCAATTCTGTGACTTGAATGCAAACATCACAAAGTAGTTTCTGACAATGCTGCTGTCTGCTTTTTATACGTATTCCCGTTTCCAACGAAATCCTCCAAGCTGGCCTAATACCCACTTGCATATTCCACAAAAGGAGTGTTTCAAAACTGCTCTCTCAAAAGAAAGGTTCAACTCTGTTTGCTGAGTAGATACATCATGAAAAAAGTTCTGACATTGCTTCTATCTAGTTTTTATTGGAAGATATCTCCTTTTTCACCGTAGACCTGAAAGCGCTCCAAATGTCCACTTCCAGATAGTACAAAAAGAGGGTTTCAAACCTGCTCTATGAAAGGGAATGTTCAACACTGGGACTTCAATTGAAACATCCCAAAGCAGTTTCTGAGAATGCTTCTGTCTAGAGTTTACATGAAGACATTCCCGTTTCCAACGAAATCCTCAAAGCTATCCAAATATCCTCTTGCAGATTTTACAAAAAGTGTGTTTCAGAACTGCTCTATCAAAACAAAGGTTCAACACTGTCAGTTGAGGGCACACATCACAAATAAGTTTCTGAGAATGCTTCTGTCTAGTTTTCATGGGAAGATATTTCCTTTTTCACCATAGGCCTGAAAGCGATCCAAATGTCCACATCCAGATACTACAAAAAGAGTGTTTCAAACCTGCTCTATGAAAGGGAATGTTCAACTCTGTGACTTGAATGCAAACATCACAAAGAAGTTTCTGAGAATGCTGCTGTCTGCTTTTTGTATGTAATCCCGTTTCCAACGAAATCCTCCCAGCTAGCCAAATATCCACTTGCAGATTCCGCAAAAAGAGTGTTTCAAAACTGCTCCTTCAAAACGATGGTTTAGTTCTGTTAGTTGAGTACATACATCACAGATAAGTTTCTGAGAATGCTTCTGTCTAGTTTTTCTGGGAGGATATTTCCTTTTTCAACACAAGCCTGAATGCGCTCCGAATGGACACTTCCAGATATGACAAAAGGCGTGTTTCAAACCTGCTCTCTCAAAGGGAATGTTCAACTCTGTGACTTCAATGCAAACATCACAAAGAAGTTTCTGAGAATGCTGCTGTCTGCTTTTTACATGTATTCCCGTTTCCAACGAAATCCTCAAAGCTGCCCTAATATCCACTTGCATATTCCACAAAAAGAGTGTTGCAAAACTGCTCTCTCAAAAGAAAGGTTCAACTCTGTTAGCTGAGTAGATCCATCACAGAAAAGTTTCTGACGTTGCTTCTATCTAGATTTTCTTGGAAGATATTTCCATTTTCACCGTCGTCCTGAAAGCGCTCCAAATGTCCACTTCCAGGGAATGCAGAAAGAGTGTTTCCAACCTGCTCTATAAAAGGGAATGTTCAACACTGGGACTTCAATCGAAACATCCCAACGAAGTTTCTGAGAATGCTTCTGTCTAGAGTTTATATGAAGCCATTCCCGTTTGCAACGAAATCCTCAAAGCTATCCAAATATCCTCTTGCAGATTTTACAAAAAGAGTGTTTCAAAACTGCTCTATCAGAAGAAAGGTTCAACTCTGTTAGTTGAGGGCACACATCACAAATAAATTTCTGAGAATGCTTCTGTCTAGTTTTTACGGGAAGATATTTCCTTTTTCACCATACGCCTGAAAGCGCTCCAAATGTCCTCATCCAGATACTACAAAAAGAGTGTTTCCAACCTTCTCTATGAAAGGGAATGCTCAACTCTGTGACTTGAATGCAGACATCACAAAGAAGTTTCTGAGAATGCTGCTGTCTCCTTTTTATATGTAATCCCGTTTCCAACGAAATCCTCAAAGCTAGCCAAATATCCACTTGCAGATTCCACGAAAACAGTGTTTCAAAACTGCTCCTTCAAAACGATGGTTCAATCCTGTTAGTTGAGCAAACACATCACAAATAAGTTTCTGAGAATGCTTCCGTCTAGTTTTTATGGGAAGATATTTCCTTTTTCAACATAGGCCTGAAAGCGCTCCAAATGTCCACTTCCAGATACTACAAAAAGAGTGTTTCAAATCTGCTCTATGAATGGGAATGTTCTACTCTGTGACTTGAATGCAACATCCCAAAGAAGTTTCTGAGAATGCTTCTGTCTAGAGTTTATCTGAAGACATACCCGTTTCCAACGAAATCCTCCAAGCTATCCAAATATCCTCTTGCAGATTCTACAAAAAGTGTGTTTCAAAGCTGCTCTTTGCAAAGAAAGGTTCAACTCTGTCAGTAGAGGGCACACATCACGAACAAGTTTCTGAGAATGCTTCTGTCTAGTTTTTATGGGAAGATATTTCCTTTTTCACGTTACGCCTGAAAGCACGCCAAATGTTCACTTATAGACACTACAAAAAGAGTGTTTCAAACCTGCTCTGTGAAAGGGAATGTTCAACACTGTGACTTCAATTGAAACATCCCAAAGAAGTTGCTGAGAATGCTTCTGTCTAGAGTTTATCTGAAGACATTCCCGTTTCCCAAGAAATCCTCAAAGCTATCCAAATATCCTCTTGCAGATTCTACAAAAAGAGTGTTTCAAAACTGCTCTTTGCAAAGAAAGGTTCAACTCTGTCAGTAGAGGGCACACATCACAAACAAGTTTCTGAGAATGCTTCTGTCTAGTTTTTATGGGAAGATATTTCCTTTTTCACCTTAGGCCTGAAAGCAATCCAAATGTTCACTTACAGACACTACAAAAAGAGTGTTTCAAACCTGCTCTGTGAAAGGGAGTGTTCAATTCTGTGACTTGAATGCAAACATCACAAAGTAGTTTCTGACAATGCTGCTGTCTGCTTTTTATACGTATTCCCGTTTCCAACGAAATCCTCCAAGCTGGCCTAATACCCACTTGCATATTCCACACAAAGAGTGTTTCAAAACTGCTCTCTCAAAAGAAAGGTTCAACTCTGTTAGCTGAGTAGATACATCATGAAAAAAGTTCTGACATTGCTTCTATCTAGTTTTTATTGGAAGATATCTCCTTTTTCACCGTAGACCTGAAAGCGCTCCAAATGTCCACTTCCAGATAGTACAAAAAGAGTGTTTCAAACCTGCTCTATGAATGGGAATGTTCAACACTGGGACTTCAATTGAAACATCCCAAAGCAGTTTCTGAGAATGCTTCTGTGTAGAGTTTACATGAAGACATTCCCGTTTCCAACGAAATCCTCAAAGCTATCCAAATATCCTCTTGCAGATTTTACAAAAAGTGTGTTTCAGAACTGCTCTATCAAAACAAAGGTTCAACACTGTCAGTTGAGGGCACACATCACAAATAAGTTTCTGAGAATGCTTCTGTCTAGTTTTCATGGGAAGATATTTCCTTTTTCACCATAGGCCTGAAAGCGATCCAAATGTCCACATCCAGATACTACAAAAAGAGTGTTTCAAACCTGCTCTATGAAAGGGAATGTTCAACTCTGTGACTTGAATGCAAACATCACAAAGAAGTTTCTGAGAATGCTGCTGTCTGCTTTTTGTATGTAATCCCGTTTCCAACGGAAATCCTCCCAGCTAGCCAAATATCCACTTGCAGATTCCGCAAAAAGAGTGTTTCAAAACTGCTCCTTCAAAACGATGGTTTAGTTCTGTTAGTTGAGTACATACATCACAGATAAGTTTCTGAGAATGCTTCTGTCTAGTTTTTATGGGAGGATATTTCCTTTTTCAACACAAGCCTGAATGCGCTCCGAATGGACACTTCCAGATATGACAAAAGGCGTGTTTCAAACCTGCTCTCTCAAAGGGAATGTTCAACTCTGTGACTTCAATGCAAACATCACAAAGAAGTTTCTGAGAATGCTGCTGTCTCCTTTTTACATGTATTCCCGTTTCCAACGAAATCCTCAAAGCTGCCCTAATATCCACTTGCATATTCCACAAAAAGAGTGTTGCAAAACTGCTCTCTCAAAAGAAAGGTTCAACTGCTGTTAGCTGAGTAGATCCATCACATAAAAGTTTCTGACGTTGCTTCTATCTAGATTTTCTTGGAAGATATTTCCATTTTCACCGTCGTCCTGAAAGCGCTCCAAATGTCCACTTCCAGGGAATGCAGAAAGAGTGTTTCCAACCTGCTCTATAAAAGGGAATGTTCAACACTGGGACTTCAATCGAAACATCCCAACGAAGTTTCTGAGAATGCTTCTGTCTAGAGTTTATATGAAGCCATTCCCGTTTGCAATGAAATCCTCAAAGCTATCCAAATATCCTCTTGCAGATTTTACAAAAAGAGTGTTTCAAAACTGCTCTATCAAAAGAAAGGTTCAACTCTGTTAGTTGAGGGCACACATCACAAATAAATTTCTGAGAATGCTTCTGTCTAGTTTTTACGGGAAGATATTTCCTTTTTCACCATAGGCCTGAAAGCGCTCCAAATGTCCTCATCCAGATACTACAAAAAGAGTGTTTCCAACCTGCTCTATGAAAGGGAATGCTCAACTCTGTGACTTGAATGCAGACATCACAAAGAAGTTTCTGAGAATGCTGCTGTCTCCTTTTTATATGTAATCCCGTTTCCAACGAAATCCTCAAAGCTAGCCAAATATCCACTTGCAGATTCCACGAAAACAGTGTTTCAAAACTGCTCCTTCAAAACGATGGTTCAATCCTGTTAGTTGAGCAAACACATCACAAATAAGTTTCTGAGAATGATTCCGTCTAGTTTTTATGGGAAGATATTTCCTTTTTCAACATAGGCCTGAAAGCGCTCCAAATGTCCACTTCCAGATACTACAAAAAGAGTGTTTCAAATCTGCTCTATGAATGGGAATGTTCTACTCTGTGACTTGAATGCAACATCCCAAAGAAGTTTCTGAGAATGCTTCTGTCTAGAGTTTATCTGAAGACATACCCGTTTCCAACGAAATCCTCCAAGCTATCCAAATATCCTCTTGCAGATTCTACAAAAAGTGTGTTTCAAAGCTGCTCTTTGCAAAGAAAGGTTCAACTCTGTCAGTAGAGGGCACACATCACGAACAAGTTTCTGAGAATGCTTCTGTCTGGTTTTTATGGGAAGATATTTCCTTTTTCACGTTACGCCTGAAAGCACGCCAAATGTTCACTTATAGACACTACAAAAAGAGTGTTTCAAACCTGCTCTGTGAAAGGGAATGTTCAACACTGTGACTTCAATTGAAACATCCCAAAGAAGTTTCTGAGAATGCTTCTGTCTAGAGTTTATCTGAAGACATTCCCGTTTCCCAAGAAATCCTCAAAGCTATCCAAATATCCTCTTGCAGATTCTACAAAAAGAGTGTTTCAAAACTGCTCTTTGCAAAGAAAGGTTCAACTCTGTCAGTAGAGGGCACACATCACAAACTAGTTTCTGAGAATGCTTCTGTCTAGTTTTTATGGGAAGATATTTCCTTTTTCACCTTAGGCCTGAAAGCAATCCAAATGTTCACTTACAGACACTACAAAAAGAGTGTTTCAAACCTGCTCTGTGAAAGGGAGTGTTCAATTCTGTGACTTGAATGCAAACATCACAATGTAGTTTCTGACAATGCTGCTGTCTGCTTTTTATACGTATTCCCGTTTCCAACGAAATCCTCCAAGCTGGCCTAATACCCACTTGCATATTCCACAAAAATAGTGTTTCAAAACTGCTCCCTCAAAAGAAAGGTTCAACTCTGTTTGCTGAGTAGATACATCATGAAAAAAGTTCTGACATTGCTTCTATCTAGTTTTTATTGGAAGATATCTCCTTTTTCACCGTAGACCTGAAAGCGCTCCAAATGTCCACTTCCAGATAGTACAAAAAGAGTGTTTCAAACCTGCTCTATGAATGGGAATGTTCAACACTGGGACTTCAATTGAAACATCCCAAAGCAGTTTCTGAGAATGCTTCTGTCCAGAGTTTACATGAAGACATTCCCGTTTCCAACGAAATCCTCAAAGCTATCCAAATATCCTCTTGCAGATTTTACAAAAAGTGTGTTTCAGAACTGCTCTATCAAAACAAAGGTTCAACACTGTCAGTTGAGGGCACACATCACAAATAAGTTTCTGAGAATGCTGCTGTCTGCTTTTTGTATGTAATCCCGTTTCCAACGAAATCCTCCCAGCTAGCCAAATATCCACTTGCAGATTCCGCACAAAGAGTGTTTCAAAACTGCTCCTTCAAAACGATGGTTTAGTTCTGTTAGTTGAGTACATACATCACAGATAAGTTTCTGAGAATGCTTCTGTCTAGTTTTTCTGGGAGGATATTTCCTTTTTCAACACAAGCCTGAATGCGCTCCGAATGGACACTTCCAGATATGACAAAAGGCGTGTTTCAAACCTGCTCTCTCAAAGGGAATGTTCAACTCTGTGACTTCAATGCAAACATCACAAAGAAGTTTCTGAGAATGCTGCTGTCTGCTTTTTACATGTATTCCCGTTTCCAACGAAATCCTCAAAGCTGCCCTAATATCCACTTGCATATTCCACAAAAAGAGTGTTGCAAAACTGCTCTCTCAAAAGAAAGGTTCAACTCTGTTAGCTGAGTAGATCCATCACATAAAAGTTTCTGACGTTGCTTCTATCTAGATTTTCTTGGAAGATATTTCCATTTTCACCGTCGTCCTGAAAGCGCTCCAAATGTCCACTTCCAGGGAATGCAGAAAGAGTGTTTCCAACCTGCTCTATAAAAGGGAATGTTCAACACTGGGACTTCAATCGAAACATCCCAACGAAGTTTCTGAGAATGCTTCTGTCTAGAGTTTATATGAAGCCATTCCCGTTTGCAACGAAATCCTCAAAGCTATCCAAATATCCTCTTGCAGATTTTACAAAAAGAGTGTTTGAAAACTGCTCTATCAAAAGAAAGGTTCAACTCTGTTAGTTGAGGGCACACATCACAAATAAATTTCTGAGAATCTTCTGTCTAGTTTTTACGGGAAGATATTTCCTTTTTCACCATACGCCTGAAAGCGCTCCAAATGTCCTCATCCAGATACTACAAAAAGAGTGTTTCCAACCTGCTCTATGAAAGGGAATGCTCAACTCTGTGACTTGAATGCAGACATCACAAAGAAGTTTCTGAGAATGCTGCTGTCTCCTTTTTATATGTAATCCCGTTTCCAACGAAATCCTCAAAGCTAGCCAAATATCCACTTGCAGATTCCACGAAAACAGTGTTTCAAAACTGCTCCTTCAAAACGATGGTTCAATTCTGTTAGTTGAGCAAACACATCACAAGTAAGTTTCTGAGAATGCTTCCGTCTAGTTTTTATGGGAAGATATTTCCTTTTTCATCATAGGCCTGAAAGCGCTCCAAATGTCCACTTTCAGATACTACAAAAAGAGTGTTTCAAATCTGCTCTATGAATGGGAATGTTCTACTCTGTGACTTGAATGCAACATCTCAAAGAAGTTTCTGAGAATGCTTCTGTCTAGAGTTTATCTGAAGACATACCCGTTTCCAACGAAATCCTCAAAGCTATCCAAATAGCCTCTTGCAGATTCTACAAAAAGAGTGTGTCAAAGCTGCTCTTTGCAAGGAAAGGTTCAACTCTGTCAGTAGAGTGCACACATCACAAACAAGTTTCTGAGAATGCTTCTGTCTAGTTCTTATGGGAAGATATTTCCTTTTTCACGTTAGGCCTGAAAGCACGCCAAATGTTCACTTATAGACACTACAAAAAGAGTGTTTCAAACCTGCTCTGTGAAAGGGAATGTTCAACACTGTGACTTCAATTGAAACATCCCAAAGAAGTTTCTGAGAATGCTTCTGTCTAGAGTTTATCTGAAGACATTCCCGTTTCCCAAGAAATCCTCAAAGCTATCCAAATATCCTCTTGCAGATTCTACAAAAAGGGTGTTTCAAAACTGCTCTTTGCAAAGAAAGGTTCAACTCTGTCAGTAGAGGGCACACATCACAAACAAGTTTCTGAGAATGCTTCTGTCTAGTTTTTATGGGAAGATATTTCCTTTTTCACCTTAGGCCTGAAAGCAATCCAAATGTTCACTTACAGACACTACAAAAAGAGTGTTTCAAACCTGCTCTGTGAAAGGGAGTGTTCAATTCTGTGACTTGAATGCAAACATCACAAAGTAGTTTCTGACAATGCTGCTGTCTGCTTTTTATACGTATTCCCGTTTCCAACGAAATCCTCCAAGCTGGCCTAATACCCACTTGCATATTCCACAAAAAGAGTGTTTCAAAACTGCTCTCTCAAAAGAAAGGTTCAACTCTGTTTGCTGAGTAGATACATCATGAAAAAAGTTCTGACATTGCTTCTATCTAGTTTTTATTGGAAGATATCTCCTTTTTCACCGTAGACCTGAAAGCGCTCCAAATGTCCACTTCCAGATAGTACAAAAAGAGTGTTTCAAACCTGCTCTATGAAAGGGAATGTTCAACACTGGGACTTCAATTGAAACATCCCAAAGCAGTTTCTGAGAATGCTTCTGTCTAGAGTTTACATGAAGACATTCCCGTTTCCAACGAAATCCTCAAAGCTATCCAAATATCCTCTTGCAGATTTTACAAAAAGTGTGTTTCAGAACTGCTCTATCAAAACAAAGGTTCAACACTGTCAGTTGAGGGCACACATCACAAATAAGTTTCTGAGAATGCTTCTGTCTAGTTTTCATGGGAAGATATTTCCTTTTTCACCATAGGCCTGAAAGCGATCCAAATGTCCACATCCAGATACTACAAAAAGAGTGTTTCAAACCTGCTCTATGAAAGGGAATGTTCAACTCTGTGACTTGAATGCAAACATCACAAAGAAGTTTCTGAGAATGCTGCTGTCTGCTTTTTGTATGTAATCCCGTTTCCAACGAAATCCTCCCAGCTAGCCAAATATCCACTTGCAGATTCCGCAAAAAGAGTGTTTCAAAACTGCTCCTTCAAAACGATGGTTTAGTTCTGTTAGTTGAGTACATACATCACAGATAAGTTTCTGAGAATGCTTCTGTCTAGTTTTTATGGGAGGATATTTCCTTTTTCAACACAAGCCTGAATGCGCTCCGAATGGACACTTCCAGATATGACAAAAGGCGTGTTTCAAACCTGCTCTCTCAAAGGGAATGTTCAACTCTGTGACTTCAATGCAAACATCACAAAGAAGTTTCTGAGAATGCTGCTGTCTGCTTTTTACATGTATTCCCGTTTCCAACGAAATCCTCAAAGCTGCCCTAATATCCACTTGCATATTCCACAAAAAGAGTGTTGCAAAACTGCTCTCTCAAAAGAAAGCTTCAACTCTGTTAGCTGAGTAGATCCATCACATAGAAGTTTCTGACATTGCTTCTATCTAGATTTTCTTGGAAGATATTTCCATTTTCACCGTCGTCCTGAAAGCGCTCCAAATGTCCACTTCCAGGGAATGCAGAAAGAGTGTTTCCAACCTGCTCTATAAAAGGGAATGTTCAACACTGGGACTTCAATCGAAACATCCCAACGAAGTTTCTGAGAATGCTTCTGTCTAGAGTTTATATGAAGCCATTCCCGTTTGCAACGAAATCCTCAAAGCTATCCAAATATCCTCTTGCAGATTTTACAAAAAGAGTGTTTCAAAACTGCTCTATCAAAAGAAAGGTTCAACTCTGTTAGTTGAGGGCACACATCACAAATAAACTTCTGAGAATGCTTCTGTCTAGTTTTTACGGGAAGATATTTCCTTTCTCACCATACGCCTGAAAGCGCTCCCAATGTCCTCATCCAGATACTACAAAAAGAGTGTTTCCAACCTGCTCTATGAAAGGGAATGCTCAACTCTGTGAATTGAATGCAGACATCACAAAGTAGTTTCTGAGAATGCTGCTGTCTCCTTTTTATATGTAATCCCGTTTCCAACGAAATCCTCAAAGCTAGCCAAATATCCACTTGCAGATTCCACGAAAACAGTGTTTCAAAACTGCTCCTTCCAAACGATGGTTCAATTCTGTTAGTTGAGCAAACACATCACAAGTAAGTTTCTGAGAATGCTTCCGTCTAGTTTTTATGGGAAGATATTTCCTTTTTCAACATAGGCCTGAAAGCGCTCCAAATGTCCACTTCCAGATACTACAAAAAGAGTGTTTCAAATCTGCTCTATGAATGGGAATGTTCTACTCTGTGACTTGAATGCAACATCCCAAAGAAGTTTCTGAGAATGCTTCTGTCTAGAGTTTATCTGAAGACATACCCGTTTCCAACGAAATCCTCAAAGCTATCCAAATATCCTCTTGCAGATTCTACAAAAAGAGTGTTTCAAAGCTGCTCTTTGCAAAGAAAGGTTCAACTCTGTCAGTAGAGGGCACACATCACGAACAAGTTTCTGAGAATGCTTCTGTCTAGTTTTTATGGGAAGATATTTCCTTTTTCACGTTAGGCCTGAAAGCACGCCAAATGTTCACTTATAGACACTACAAAAAGAGTGTTTCAAACCTGCTCTGTGAAAGGGAATGTTCAACACTGTGACTTCAATTGAAACATCCCAAAGAAGTTTCTGAGAATGCTTCTGTCTAGAGTTTATCTGAAGACATTCCCGTTTCCCAAGAAATCCTCAAAGCTATCCAAATATCCTCTTGCAGATTCTACAAAAAGAGTGTTTCAAAACTGCTCTTTGCAAAGAAAGGTTCAACTCTGTCAGTAGAGGGCACACATCACAAACAAGTTTCTGAGAATGCTTCTGTCTAGTTTTTATGGGAAGATATTTCCTTTTTCACCATAGGCCTGAAAGCAATCCAAATGTTCACTTACAGACACTACAAAAAGAGTGTTTCAAACCTGCTCTGTGAAAGGGAGTGTTCAATTCTGTGACTTGAATGCAAACATCACAAAGTAGTTTCTGACAATGCTGCTGTCTGCTTTTTATACGTATTCCCGTTTCCAACGAAATCCTCCAAGCTGGCCTAATACCCACTTGCATATTCCACAAAGACAGTGTCAAAACTGCTCTCTCAAAAGAAAGGTTCAACTCTGTTTGCTGAGTAGATACATCATGAAAAAAGTTCTGACATTGCTTCTATCTAGTTTTTATTGGAAGATATCTCCTTTTTCACCGTAGACCTGAAAGCGCTCCAAATGTCCACTTCCAGATAGTAGAAAAAGAGTGTTTCAAACCTGCTCTATGAATGGGAATGTTCAACACTGGGACTTCAATTGAAACATCCCAAATCAGTTTCTGAGAATGCTTCTGTCTAGAGTTTACATGAAGACATTCCCGTTTCCAACGAAATCCTCAAAGCTATCCAAATATCCTCTTGCAGATTTTACAAAAAGTGTGTTTCAGAACTGCTCTATCAAAACAAAGGTTCAACACTGTCAGTTGAGTGCACACATCACAAATAAGTTTCTGAGAATGCTTCTGTCTAGTTTTCATGGGAAGATATTTCCTTTTTCACCATAGGCCTGAAAGCGATCCAAATGTCCACATCCAGATACTACAAAAAGAGTGTTTCCAACCTGCTCTATGAAAGGGAATGTTCAACTCTGTGACTTGAATGCAAACATCACAAAGAAGTTTCTGAGAATGCTGCTGTCTCCTTTTTATATGTAATCCCGTTTCCAACGAAATCCTCAAAGCTAGCCAAATATCCACTTGCAGATTCCACGAAAACAGTGTTTCAAAACTGCTCCTTCAAAACGATGGTTCAATCCTGTTAGTTGAGCAAACACATCACAAATAAGTTTCTGAGAATGCTTCCGTCTAGTTTTTATGGGAAGATATTTCCTTTTTCAACATAGGCCTGAAAGCGCTCCAAATGTCCATTTCCAGATACTACAAAAAGAGTGTTTCAAATCTGCTCTATGAATGGGAATGTTCTACTCTGTGACTTGAATGCAACATCCCAAAGAAGTTTCTGAGAATGCTTCTGTCTAGAGTTTATCTGAAGACATACCCGTTTCCAACGAAATCCTCAAAGCTATCCAAATATCCTCTTGCAGATTCTACAAAAAGTGTGTTTCAAAGCTGCTCTTTGCAAAGAAAGGTTCAACTCTGTCAGTAGAGGGCACACATCACGAACAAGTTTCTGAGAATGCTTCTGTCTAGTTTTTATGGGAAGATATTTCCTTTTTCACGTTAGGCCTGAAAGCACGCCAAATGTTCAATTATAGACACTACAAAAAGAGTGTTTCAAACCTGCTCTGTGAAAGGGAATGTTCAACACTGTGACTTCAATTGAAACATCCCAAAGAAGTTTCTGAGAATGCTTCTGTCTAGAGTTTATCTGAAGACATTCCCGTTTCCCAAGAAATCCTCAAAGCTATCCAAATATCCTCTTGCAGATTCTACAAAAAGAGTGTTTCAAAACTGCTCTTTGCAAAGAAAGGTTCAACTCTGTCAGTAGAGGGCACACATCACAAACAAGTTTCTGAGAATGCTTCTGTCTAGTTTTTATGGGAAGATATTTCCTTTTTCACCTTAGGCCTGAAAGCAATCCATATGTTCACTTACAGACACTACAAAAAGAGTGTTTCAAACCTGCTCTGTGAAAGGGAGTGTTCAATTCTGTGACTTGAATGCAAACATCACAAAGTAGTTTCTGACAATGCTGCTGTCTGCTTTTTATACGTATTCCCGTTTCCAACGAAATCCTCCAAGCTGGCCTAATACCCACTTGCATATTCCACAAAAAGAGTGTTTCAAAACTGCTCTCTCAAAAGAAAGGTTCAACTCTGTTTGCTGAGTAGATACATCACGAAAAAAGTTCTGACATTGCTTCTATCTAGTTTTTATTGGAAGATATCTCCTTTTTCACCGTAGACCTGAAAGCGCTCCAAATGTCCACTTCCAGATAGTACAAAAAGAGTGTTTCAAACCTGCTCTATGAAAGGGAATGTTCAACACTGGGACTTCAATTGAAACATCCCAAAGCAGTTTCTGAGAATGCTTCTGTCTAGAGTTTACATGAAGACATTCCCGTTTCCAACGAAATCCTCAAAGCTATCCAAATATCCTCTTGCAGATTTTACAAAAAGTGTGTTTCAGAACTGCTCTATCAAAACAAAGGTTCAACACTGTCAGTTGAGGGCACACATCACAAATAAGTTTCTGAGAATGCTTCTGTCTAGTTTTCATGGGAAGATATTTCCTTTTTCACCATAGGCCTGAAAGCGATCCAAATGTCCACATCCAGATACTACAAAAAGAGTGTTTCAAACCTGCTCTATGAAAGGGAATGTTCAACTCTGTGACTTGAATGCAAACATCACAAAGAAGTTTCTGAGAATGCTGCTGTCTGCTTTTTGTATGTAATCCCGTTTCCAACGAAATCCTCCCAGCTAGCCAAATATCCACTTGCAGATTCCGCAAAAAGAGTGTTTCAAAACTGCTCCTTCAAAACGATGGTTTAGTTCTGTTAGTTGAGTACATACATCACAGATAAGTTTCTGAGAATGCTTCTGTCTAGTTTTTATGGGAGGATATTTCCTTTTTCAACACAAGCCTGAATGCGCTCCGAATGGACACTTCCAGATATGACAAAAGGCGTGTTTCAAACCTGCTCTCTCAAAGGGAATGTTCAACTCTGTGACTTCAATGCAAACATCACAAAGAAGTTTCTGAGAATGCTGCTGTCTGCTTTTTACATGTATTCCCGTTTCCAACGAAATCCTCAAAGCTGCCCTAATATCCACTTGCATATTCCACAAAAAGAGTGTTGCAAAACTGCTCTCTCAAAAGAAAGGTTCAACTCTGTTAGCTGAGTAGATCCATCACATAAAAGTTTCTGACATTGCTTCTATCTAGATTTTCTTGGAAGATATTTCCATTTTCACCGTCGTCCTGAAAGCGCTCCAAATGTCCACTTCCAGGGAATGCAGAAAGAGTGTTTCCAACCTGCTCTATAAAAGGGAATGTTCAACACTGGGACTTCAATCGAAACATCCCAACGAAGTTTCTGAGAATGCTTCTGTCTAGAGTTTATATGAAGCCATTCCCGTTTGCAACGAAATCCTCAAAGCTATCCAAATATCCTCTTGCAGATTTTACAAAAAGAGTGTTTCAAAACTGCTCTATCAAAAGAAAGGTTCAACTCTGTTAGTTGAGGGCACACATCAGAAATAAACTTCTGAGAATGCTTCTGTCTAGTTTTTAGGGGAAGATATTTCCTTTTTCACCATAGGCCTGAAAGCGCTCCAAATGTCCACATCCAGATACTACAAAAAGAGTGTTTCAAACCTGCTCTATGAAAGGGAATGTTCAACTCTGTGACTTGAATGCAAACATCACAAAGAAGTTTCTGATAATGCTGCTGTCTCCTTTTTATATGTAATCCCGTTTCCAACGAAATCCTCAAATCTAGCCAAATATCCACTTGCAGATTCCACGAAAACAGTGTTTCAAAACTGCTCCTTCAAAACGATGGTTCAATCCTGTTAGTTGAGCAAACACATCACAAATAAGTTTCTGAGAATGCTTCCGTCTAGTTTTTATGGGAAGATATTTCCTTTTTCAACATAGGCCTGAAAGCGCTCCAAATGTCCACTTCCAGATACTACAAAAAGAGTGTTTCAAATCTGCTCTATGAATGGGAATGTTCTACTCTGTGACTTGAATGCAACATCCCAAAGAAGTTTCTGAGAATGCTTCTGTCTAGAGTTTATCTGAAGACATACCCGTTTCCAACGAAATCCTCAAAGCTATCCAAATATCCTCTTGCAGATTCTACAAAAAGTGTGTTTCAAAGCTGCTCTTTGCAAAGAAAGGTTCAACTCTGTCAGTAGAGGGCACACATCACGAACAAGTTTCTGAGAATGCTTCTGTCTAGTTTTTATGGGAAGATATTTCCTTTTTCACGTTAGGCCTGAAAGCACGCCAAATGTTCACTTATAGACACTACAAAAAGAGTGTTTCAAACCTGCTCTGTGAAAGGGAATGTTCAACACTGTGACTTCAATTGAAACATCCCAAAGAAGTTTCTGAGAATGCTTCTGTCTAGAGTTTATCTGAAGACATTCCCGTTTCCCAAGAAATCCTCAAAGCTATCCAAATATCCTCTTGCAGATTCTACAAAAAGAGTGTTTCAAAACTGGTCTTTGCAAAGAAAGGTTCAACTCTGTCAGTAGAGGGCACACATCACAAACAAGTTTCTGAGAATGCTTCTGTCTAGTTTTTATGGGAAGATATTTCCTTTTTCACCTTAGGCCTGAAAGCAATCCATATGTTCACTTACAGACACTACAAAAAGAGTGTTTCAAACCTGCTCTGTGAAAGGGAGTGTTCAATTCTGTGACTTGAATGCAAACATCACAAAGTAGTTTCCTGACAATGCTGCTGTCTGCTTTTTATACGTATTCCCGTTTCCAACGAAATCCTCCAAGCTGGCCTAATACCCACTTGCATATTCCACAAAAAGAGTGTTTCAAAACTGCTCTCTCAAAAGAAAGATTCAACTCTGTTAGCTGAGTAGATACATCATGAAAAAAGTTCTGACATTGCTTCTATCTAGTTTTTATTGGAAGATATCTCCTTTTTCACCGTAGACCTGAAAGCGCTCCAAATGTCCACTTCCAGATAGTACAAAAAGAGTGTTTCAAACCTGCTCTATGAATGGGAATGTTCAACACTGGGACTTCAATTGAAACATCCCAAAGCAGTTTCTGAGAATGCTTCTGTGTAGAGTTTACATGAAGACATTCCCGTTTCCAACGAAATCCTCAAAGCTATCCAAATATCCTCTTGCAGATTTTACAAAAAGTGTGTTTCAGAACTGCTCTATCAAAACAAAGGTTCAACACTGTCAGTTGAGGGCACACATCACAAATAAGTTTCTGAGAATGCTTCTGTCTAGTTTTCATGGGAAGATATTTCCTTTTTCACCATAGGCCTGAAAGCGATCCAAATGTCCACATCCAGATACTACAAAAAGAGTGTTTCAAACCTGCTCTATGAAAGGGAATGTTCAACTCTGTGACTTGAATGCAAACATCACAAAGAAGTTTCTGAGAATGCTGCTGTCTGCTTTTTGTATGTAATCCCGTTTCCAACGAAATCCTCCCAGCTAGCCAAATATCCACTTGCAGATTCCGCAAAAAGAGTGTTTCTAAACTGCCCTTCAAAACGATGGTTTAGTTCTGTTAGTTGAGTACATACATCACAGATAAGTTTCTGAGAATGCTTCTGTCTAGTTTTTATGGGAGGATATTTCCTTTTTCAACACAAGCCTGAATGCGCTCCGAATGGACACTTCCAGATATGACAAAAGGCGTGTTTCAAACCTGCTCTCTCAAAGGGAATGTTCAACTCTGTGACTTCAATGCAAACATCACAAAGAAGTTTCTGAGAATGCTGCTGTCTGCTTTTTACATGTATTCCCGTTTCCAACGAAATCCTCAAAGCTGCCCTAATATCCACTTGCATATTCCACAAAAAGAGTGTTGCAAAACTGCTCTCTCAAAAGAAAGGTTCAACTCTGTTAGCTGAGTAGATCCATCACATAAAAGTTTCTGACATTGCTTCTATCTAGATTTTCTTGGAAGATATTTCCATTTTCACCGCCGTCCTGAAAGCGCTCCAAATGTCCACTTCCAGGGAATGCAGAAAGAGTGTTTCCAACCTGCTCTATAAAAGGGAATGTTCAACACTGGGACTTCAATCGAAACATCCCAACGAAGTTTCTGAGAATGCTTCTGTCTAGAGTTTATATGAAGCCATTCCCGTTTGCAACGAAATCCTCAAAGCTATCCAAATATCCTCTTGCAGATTTTACAAAAAGAGTGTTTCAAAACTGCTCTATCAAAAGAAAGGTTCAACTCTGTTAGTTGAGGGCACACATCACAAATAAACTTCTGAGAATGCTTCTGTCTAGTTTTTACGGGAAGATATTTCCTTTTTCACGATACGCCTGAAAGCGCTCCAAATGTCCTCATCCAGATACTACAAAAAGAGTGTTTCCAACCTGCTCTATGAAAGGGAATGCTCAACTCTGTGACTTGAATGCAGACATCACAAAGAAGTTTCTGAGAATGCTGCTGTCTCCTTTTTATATGTAATCCCGTTTCCAACGAAATCCTCAAAGCTAGCCAAATATCCACTTGCAGATTCCACGAAAACAGTGTTTCAAAACTGCTCCTTCAAAACGATGGTTCAATTCTGTTAGTTGAGCAAACACATCACAAGTAAGTTTCTGAGAATGCTTCCGTCTAGTTTTTATGGGAAGATATTTCCTTTTTCAACATAGGCCTGAAAGCGCTCCAAATGTCCACTTCCAGATACTACAAAAAGAGTGTTTCAAATCTGCTCTATGAATGGGAATGTTCTACTCTGTGACTTGAATGCAACATCCCAAAGAAGTTTCTGAGAATGCTTCTGTCTAGAGTTTATCTGAAGACATACCCGTTTCCAACGAAATCCTCAAAGCTATCCACATATCCTCTTGCAGATTCTACAAAAAGAGTGTTTCAAAGCTGCTCTTTGCAAAGAAAGGTTCAACTCTGTCAGTAGAGGGCACACATCACAAACAAGTTTCTGAGAATGCTCTGTCTAGTTTTTATGGGAAGATATTTCCTTTTTCACGTTAGGCCTGAAAGCACGCCAAATGTTCACTTATAGACACTACAAAAAGAGTGTTTCAAACCTGCTCTGTGAAAGGGAATGTTCAACACTGTGACTTCAATTGAAACATCCCAAAGAAGTTTCTGAGAATGCTTTCTGTCTAGAGTTTATCTGAAGACATTCCCGTTTCCCAAGAAATCCTCAAAGCTATCCAAATATCCTCTTGCAGATTCTACAAAAAGAGTGTTTCAAAACTGCTCTTTGCAAAGAAAGGTTCAACTCTGTCAGTAGAGGGCACACATCACAAACAAGTTTCTGAGAATGCTTCTGTCTAGTTTTTATGGGAAGATATTTCCTTTTTCACATAGGCCTGAAAGCAATCCAAATGTTCACTTACAGACACTACAAAAAGAGTGTTTCAAACCTGCTCTGTGAAAGGGAGTGTTCAATTCTGTGACTTGAATGCAAACATCACAAAGTAGTTTCTGACAATGCTGCTGTCTGCTTTTTATACGTATTCCCGTTTCCAACGAAATCCTCCAAGCTGGCCTAATACCCACTTGCATATTCCACAAAAAGAGTGTTTCAAAACTGCTCTCTCAAAAGAAAGGTTCAACTCTGTTTGCTGAGTAGATACATCATGACAAAAGTTCTGACATTGCTTCTATCTAGTTTTTATTGGAAGATATCTCCTTTTTCACCGTAGACCTGAAAGCGCTCCAAATGTCCACTTCCAGATAGTACAAAAAGAGTGTTTCAAACCTGCTCTATGAAAGGGAATGTTCAACACTGGGACTTCAATTGAAACATCCCAAAGCAGTTTCTGAGAATGCTTCTGTCTAGAGTTTACATGAAGACATTCCCGTTTCCAACGAAATCCTCAAAGCTATCCAAATATCCTCTTGCAGATTTTACAAAAAGTGTGTTTCAGAACTGCTCTATCAAAACAAAGGTTCAACACTGTCAGTTGAGGGCACACATCACAAATAAGTTTCTGAGAATGCTTCTGTCTAGTTTTCATGGGAAGATATTTCCTTTTTCACCATAGGCCTGAAAGCGATCCAAATGTCCACATCCAGATACTACAAAAAGAGTGTTTCAAACCTGCTCTATGAAAGGGAATGTTCAACTCTGTGACTTCAATGCAAACATCACAAAGAAGTTTCTGAGAATGCTGCTCTCTGCTTTTTGTATGTAATCCCGTTTCCAACGAAATCCTCCCAGCTAGCCAAATATCCACTTGCAGATTCCGCAAAAAGAGTGTTTCAAAACTGCTCCTTCAAAACGATGGTTTAGTTCTGTTAGTTGAGTACATACATCACAGATAAGTTTCTGAGAATGCTTCTGTCTAGTTTTTATGGGAGGATATTTCCTTTTTCAACACAAGCCTGAATGCGCTCCGAATGGACACTTCCAGATATGACAAAAGGCGTGTTTCAAACCTGCTCTCTCAAAGGGAATGTTCAACTCTGTGACTTCAATGCAAACATCACAAAGAAGTTTCTGAGAATGCTGCTGTCTGCTTTTTACATGTATTCCCGTTTCCAACGAAATCCTCAAAGCTGCCCTAATATCCACTTGCATATTCCACAAAAAGAGTGTTGCAAAACTGCTCTCTCAAAAGAAAGGTTCAACTCTGTTAGCTGAGTAGATCCATCACATAAAAGTTTCTGACATTGCTTCTATCTAGATTTTGCTTGGAAGATATTTCCATTTTCACCGTCGTCCTGAAAGCGCTCCAAATGTCCACTTCCAGGGAATGCAGAAAGAGTGTTTCCAACCTGCTCTATAAAAGGGAATGTTCAACACTGGGACTTCAATCGAAACATCCCAACGAAGTTTCTGAGAATGCTTCTGTCTAGAGTTTATATGAAGCCATTCCCGTTTGCAACGAAATCCTCAAAGCTATCCAAATATCCTCTTGCAGATTTTACAAAAAGAGTGTTTCAAAACTGCTCTATCAAAAGAAAGGTTCAACTCTGTTAGTTGAGGGCACACATCACAAATAAACTTCTGAGAATGCTTCTGTCTAGTTTTTACGGGAAGATATTTCCTTTTTCACCATACGCCTGAAAGCGCTCCAAATGTCCTCATCCAGATACTACAAAAAGAGTGTTTCCAACCTGCTCTATGAAAGGGAATGCTCAACTCTGTGAATTGAATGCAGACATCACAAAGAAGTTTCTGAGAATGCTGCTGTCTCCTTTTTATATGTAATCCCGTTTCCAACGAAATCCTCAAAGCTAGCCAAATATCCACTTGCAGATTCCACGAAAACAGTGTTTCAAAACTGCTCCTTCAAAACGATGGTTCAATCCTGTTAGTTGAGCAAACACATCACAATTAAGTTTCTGAGAATGCTTCCGTCTAGTTTTTATGGGAAGATATTTCCTTTTTCAACATAGGCCTGAAAGCGCTCCAAATGTCCACTTCCAGATACTACAAAAAGAGTGTTTCAAATCTGCTCTATGAATGGGAATGTTCTACTCTGTGACTTGAATGCAACATCCCAAAGAAGTTTCTGAGAATGCTTCTGTCTAGAGTTTATCTGAAGACATACCCGTTTCCAACGAAATCCTCCAAGCTATCCAAATATCCTCTTGCAGATTCTACAAAAAGTGTGTTTCAAAGCTGCTCTTTGCAAAGAAAGGTTCAACTCTGTCAGTAGAGGGCACACATCACGAACAAGTTTCTGAGAATGCTTCTGTCTAGTTTTTATGGGAAGATATTTCCTTTTTCACGTTAGGCCTGAAAGCACGCCAAATGTTCACTTATAGACACTACAAAAAGAGTGTTTCAAACCTGCTCTGTGAAAGGGAATGTTCAACACTGTGACTTCAATTGAAACATCCCAAAGAAGTTTCTGAGAATGCTTCTGTCTAGAGTTTATCTGAAGACATTCCCGTTTCCCAAGAAATCCTCAAAGCTATCCAAATATCCTCTTGCAGATTCTACAAAAAGAGTGTTTCAAAACTGCTCTTTGCAAAGAAAGGTTCAACTCTGTCAGTAGAGGGCACACATCACAAACAAGTTTCTGAGAATGCTTCTGTCTAGTTTTTATGGGAAGATATTTCCTTTTTCACCTTAGGCCTGAAAGCAATCCAAATGTTCACTTACAGACACTACAAAAAGAGTGTTTCAAACCTGCTCTGTGAAAGGGAGTGTTCAATTCTGTGACTTGAATGCAAACATCACAAAGTAGTTTCTGACAATGCTGCTGTCTGCTTTTTATACGTATTCCCGTTTCCAACGAAATCCTCCAAGCTGGCCTAATACCCACTTGCATATTCCACAAAAAGAGTGTTTCAAAACTGCTCTCTCAAAAGAAAGGTTCAACTCTGTTTGCTGAGTAGATACATCATGAAAAAAGTTCTGACATTGCTTCTATCTAGTTGTTATTGGAAGATATCTCCTTTTTCACCGTAGACCTGAAAGCGCTCCGAATGTCCACTTCCAGATAGTACAAAAAGAGTGTTTCAAACCTGCTCTATGAAAGGGAATGTTCAACACTGGGACTTCAATTGAAACATCCCAAAGCAGTTTCTGAGAATGCTTCTGTCTAGAGTTTACATGAAGACATTCCCGTTTCCAACGAAATCCTCAAAGCTATCCAAATATCCTCTTGCAGATTTTACAAAAAGTGTGTTTCAGAACTGCTCTATCAAAACAAAGGTTCAACACTGTCAGTTGAGGGCACACATCACAAATAAGTTTCTGAGAATGCTTCTGTCTAGTTTTCATGGGAAGATATTTCCTTTTTCACCATAGGCCTGAAAGCGATCCAAATGTCCACATCCAGATACTACAAAAAGAGTGTTTCAAACCTGCTCTATGAAAGGGAATGTTCAACTCTGTGACTTGAATGCAAACATCACAAAGAAGTTTCTGAGAATGCTGCTGTCTGCTTTTTGTATGTAATCCCGTTTCCAACGAAATCCTCCCAGCTAGCCAAATATCCACTTGCAGATTCCGCAAAAAGAGTGTTTCAAAACTGCTCCTTCAAAACGATGGTTTAGTTCTGTTAGTTGAGTACATACATCACAGATAAGTTTCTGAGAATGCTTCTGTCTAGTTTTTATGGGAGGATATTTCCTTTTTCAACACAAGCCTGAATGCGCTCCGAATGGACACTTCCAGATATGACAAAAGGCGTGTTTCAAACCTGCTCTCTCAAAGGGAATGTTCAACTCTGTGACTTCAATGCAAACATCACAAAGAAGTTTCTGAGAATGCTGCTGTCTGCTTTTTACATGTATTCCCGTTTCCAACGAAATCCTCAAAGCTGCCCTAATATCCACTTGCATATTCCACAAAAAGAGTGTTGCAAAACTGCTCTCTCAAAAGAAAGGTTCAACTCTGTTAGCTGAGTAGATCCATCACAGAAAAGTTTCTGACGTTGCTTCTATCTAGATTTTCTTGGAAGATATTTCCATTTTCACCGTCGTCCTGAAAGCGCTCCAAATGTCCACTTCCAGGGAATGCAGAAAGAGTGTTTCCAACCTGCTCTATAAAAGGGAATGTTCAACACTGGGACTTCAATCGAAACATCCCAACGAAGTTTCTGAGAATGCTTCTGTCTAGAGTTTATATGAAGCCATTCCCGTTTGCAACGAAATCCTCAAAGCTATCCCAATATCCTCTTGCAGATTTTACAAAAAGAGTGTTTCAAAACTGCTCTATCAAAAGAAAGGTTCAACTCTGTTAGTTGAGGGCACACATCACAAATAAATTTCTGAGAATGCTTCTGTCTAGTTTTTACGGGAAGATATTTCCTTTTTCACCATACGCCTGAAAGCGCTCCAAATGTCCTCATCCAGATACTACAAAAAGAGTGTTTCCAACCTGCTCTATGAAAGGGAATGCTCAACTCTGTGAATTGAATGCAGACATCACAAAGAAGTTTCTGGGAATGCTGCTGTCTCCTTTGTATATGTAATCCCGTTTCCAACGAAATCCTCAAAGCTAGCCAAATATCCACTTGCAGATTCCACGAAAACAGTGTTTCAAAACTGCTCCTTCAAAACGGTGGTTCAATCCTGTTAGTTGAGCAAACACATCACAAATAAGTTTCTGAGAATGCTTCCGTCTAGTTTTTATGGGAAGATATATCCTTTTTCAACATAGGCTTGAAAGCGCTCCAAATGTCCACTTCCAGATACTACAAAAAGAGTGTTTCAAATCTGCTCTATGAATGGGAATGTTCTACTCTGTGACTTGAATGCAACATCCCAAAGAAGTTTCTGAGAATGCTTCTGTCTAGAGTTTATCTGAAGACATACCCGTTTCCAACGAAATCCTCAAAGCTATCCAAATATCCTCTTGCAGATTCTACAAAAAGAGTGTTTCAAAGCTGCTCTTTGCAAAGAAAGGTTCAACTCTGTCAGTAGAGGGAACACATCACGAACAAGTTTCTGAGAATGCTTCTGTCTAGTTTTTATGGGAAGATATTTCCTTTTTCACGTTAGGCCTGAAAGCACGCCAAATGTTCACTTATAGACACTACAAAAAGAGTGTTTCAAACCTGCTCTGTGAAAGGGAATGTTCAACACTGTGACTTCAATTGAAACATCCCAAAGAAGTTTCTGAGAATGCTTCTGTCTAGAGTTTATCTGAAGACATTCCCGTTTCCCAAGAAATCCTCAAAGCTATCCAAATATCCTCTTGCAGATTCTACAAAAAGAGTGTTTCAAAACTGCTCTTTGCAAAGAAAGGTTCAACTCTGTCAGTAGAGGGCACACATCACAAACTAGTTTCTGAGAATGCTTCTGTCTAGTTTTTATGGGAAGATATTTCCTTTTTCACCTTAGGCCTGAAAGCAATCCAAATGTTCACTTACAGACACTACAAAAAGAGTGTTTCAAACCTGCTCTGTGAAAGGGAGTGTTCAATTCTGTGACTTGAATGCAAACATCACAAAGTAGTTTCTGACAATGCTGCTGTCTGCTTTTTATACGTATTCCCGTTTCCAACGAAATCCTCCAAGCTGGCCTAATACCCACTTGCATATTCCACAAAAAGAGTGTTTCAAAACTGCTCTCTCAAAAGAAAGGTTCAACTCTGTTTGCTGAGTAGATACATCATGAAAAAAGTTCTGACATTGCTTCTATCTAGTTTTTATTGGAAGATATCTCCTTTTTCACCGTAGACCTGAAAGCGCTCCAAATGTCCACTTCCAGATAGTACAAAAAGAGTGTTTCAAACCTGCTCTATGAATGGGAATGTTCAACACTGGGACTTCAATCGAAACATCCCAACGAAGTTTCTGAGAATGCTTCTGTCTAGAGTTTATATGAAGCCATTCCCGTTTGCAACGAAATCCTCAAAGCTATCAAAATATCCTCTTGCAGATTTTACAAAAAGAGTGTTTCAAAACTGCTCTATCAAAAGAAAGGTTCAACTCTGTTAGTTGAGGGCACACATCAGAAATAAACTTCTGAGAATGCTTCTGTCTAGTTTTCATGGGAAGATATTTCCTTTTTCACCGTAGGCCTGAAAGCGATCCAAATGTCCACATCCAGATACTACAAAAAGAGTGTTTCAAACCTGCTCTATGAAAGGGAATGTTCAACTCTGTGACTTGAATGCAAACATCACAAAGAAGTTTCTGAGAATGCTGCTCTCTGCTTTTTGTATGTAATCCCGTTTCCAACGAAATCCTCCCAGCTAGCCAAATATCCACTTGCAGATTCCGCAAAAAGAGTGTTTCAAAACTGCTCCTTCAAAACGATGGTTTAGTTCTGTTAGTTGAGTACATACATCACAGATAAGTTTCTGAGAATGCTTCTGTCTAGTTTTTATGGGAGGATATTTCCTTTTTCAACACAAGCCTGAATGCGCTCCGAATGGACACTTCCAGATATGACAAAAGGCGTGTTTCAAACCTGCTCTCTCAAAGGGAATGTTCAACTCTGTGACTTCAATGCAAACATCACAAAGAAGTTTCTGAGAATGCTGCTGTCTGCTTTTTACATGTATTCCCGTTTCCAACGAAATCCTCAAAGCTGCCCTAATATCCACTTGCATATTCCACAAAAAGAGTGTTGCAAAACTGCTCTCTCAAAAGAAAGGTTCAACTCTGTTAGCTGAGTAGATCCATCACATAAAAGTTTCTGACATTGCTTCTATCTAGATTTTCTTGGAAGATATTTCCATTTTCACCGTCGTCCTGAAAGCGCTCCAAATGTCCACTTCCAGGGAATGCAGAAAGAGTGTTTCCAACCTGCTCTATAAAAGGGAATGTTCAACACTGGGACTTCAATCGAAACATCCCAACGAAGTTTCTGAGAATGCTTCTGTCTAGAGTTTATATGAAGCCATTCCCGTTTGCAATGAAATCCTCAAAGCTATCCAAATATCCTCTTGCAGATTTTACAAAAAGAGTGTTTCAAAACTGCTCTATCAAAAGAAAGGTTCAACTCTGTTAGTTGAGGGCACACATCACAAATAAATTTCTGAGAATGCTTCTGTCTAGTTTTTACGGGAAGATATTTCCTTTTTCACCATACGCCTGAAAGCGCTCCAAATGTCCTCATCCAGATACTACAAAAAGAGTGTTTCCAACCTGCTCTATGAAAGGGAATGCTCAACTCTGTGAATTGAATGCAGACATCACAAAGAAGTTTCTGAGAATGCTGCTGTCTCCTTTTTATATGTAATCCCGTTTCCAACGAAATCCTCAAAGCTAGCCAAATATCCACTTGCAGATTCCACGAAAACAGTGTTTCAAAACTGCTCCTTCAAAACGATGGTTCAATCCTGTTAGTTGAGCAAACACATCACAAATAAGTTTCTGAGAATGCTTCCGTCTAGTTTTTATGGGAAGATATTTCCTTTTTCAACATAGGCCTGAAAGCGCTCCAAATGTCCACTTCCAGATACTACAAAAAGAGTGTTTCAAATCTGCTCTATGAATGGGAATGTTCTACTCTGTGACTTGAATGCAAAATCCCAAAGAAGTTTCTGAGAATGCTTCTGTCTAGAGTTTATCTGAAGACATACCCGTTTCCAACGAAATCCTCCAAGCTATCCAAATATCCTCTTGCAGATTCTACAAAAAGAGTGTTTCAAAGCTGCTCTTTGCAAAGAAAGGTTCAACTCTGTCAGTAGAGGGGACACATCAAGAACAAGTTTCTGAGAATGCTTCTGTCTAGTTTTTATGGGAAGATATTTCCTTTTTCACGTTAGGCCTGAAAGCACGCCAAATGTTCACTTATAGACACTACAAAAAGAGTGTTTCAAACCTGCTCTGTGAAAGGGAATGTTCAACACTGTGACTTCAATTGAAACATCCCAAAGAAGTTTCTGAGAATGCTTCTGTCTAGAGTTTATCTGAAGACATTCCCGTTTCCCAAGAAATCCTCAAAGCTATCCAAATATCCTCTTGCAGATTCTACAAAAAGAGTGTTTCAAAACTGCTCTTTGCAAAGAAAGGTTCAACTCTGTCAGTAGAGGGCACACATCACAAACAAGTTTCTGAGAATGCTTCTGTCTAGTTTTTATGGGAAGATATTTCCTTTTTCACCTTAGGCCTGAAAGCAATCCAAATGTTCACTTACAGACACTACAAAAAGAGTGTTTCAAACCTGCTCTGTGAAAGGGAGTGTTCAATTCTGTGACTTGAATGCAAACATCACAAAGTAGTTTCTGACAATGCTGCTGTCTGCTTTTTATACGTATTCCCGTTTCCAACGAAATCCTCCAAGCTGGCCTAATACCCACTTGCATATTCCACAAAAAGAGTGTTTCAAAACTGCTCTCTCAAAAGAAAGGTTCAACTCTGTTTGCTGAGTAGATACATCATGAAAAAAGTTCTGACATTGCTTCTATCTAGTTTTTATTGGAAGATATCTCCTTTTTCACCGTAGACCTGAAAGCGCTCCAAATGTCCACTTCCAGATAGTACAAAAAGAGTGTTTCAAACCTGCTCTATGAATGGGAATGTTCAACACTGGGACTTCAATTGAAACATCCCAAAGCAGTTTCTGAGAATGCTTCTGTCTAGAGTTTACATGAAGACATTCCCGTTTCCAACGAAATCCTCAAAGCTATCCAAATATCCTCTTGCAGATTTTACAAAAAGTGTGTTTCAGAACTGCTCTATCAAAACAAAGGTTCAACACTGTCAGTTGAGGGCACACATCACAAATAAGTTTCTGAGAATGCTTCTGTCTAGTTTTCATGGGAAGATATTTCCTTTTTCACCATAGGCCTGAAAGCCATCTAAATGTCCACATCCAGATACTACAAAAAGAGTGTTTCCAACCTGCTCTATGAAAGGGAATGTTCAACTCTGTGACTTGAATGCAAACATCACAAAGAAGTTTCTGAGAATGCTGCTGTCTCCTTTTTATATGTAATCCCGTTTCCAACGAAATCCTCAAAGCTAGCCAAATATCCACTTGCAGATTCCACGAAAACAGTGTTTCAAAACTGCTCCTTCAAAACGATGGTTCAATTCTGTTAGTTGAGCAAACACATCACAAGTAAGTTTCTGAGAATGCTTCCGTCTAGTTTTTATGGGAAGATATTTCCTTTTTCAACATAGGCCTGAAAGCGCTCCAAATGTCCACTTCCAGATACTACAAAAAGAGTGTTTCAAATCTGCTCTATGAATGGGAATGTTCTACTCTGTGACTTGAATGCAATATCTCAAAGAAGTTTCTGAGAATGCTTCTGTCTAGAGTTTATCTGAAGACATACCCGTTTCCAACGAAATCCTCAAAGCTATCCAAATATCCTCTTGCAGATTCTACAAAAAGAGTGTTTCAAAGCTGCTCTTTGCAAAGAAAGGTTCAACTCTGTCAGTAGAGGGCACACATCACGAACAAGTTTCTGAGAATGCTTCTGTCTAGTTTTTATGGGAAGATATTTCCTTTTTCACGTTAGGCCTGAAAGCACGCCAAATGTTCACTTATAGACACTACAAAAAGAGTGTTTCAAACCTGCTCTGTGAAAGGGAATGTTCAACACTGTGACTTCAATTGAAACATCCCAAAGAAGTTTCTGAGAATGCTTCTGTCTAGAGTTTATCTGAAGACATACCCGTTTCCAACGAAATCCCAAAAGCTATCCAAATATCCTCTTGCAGATTCTACAAAAAGAGTGTTTCAAAGCTGCTCTTTGCAAAGAAAGGTTCAAATCTGTCAGTAGAGGGCACACATCACAAACAAGTTTCTGAGAATGCTTCTGTCTAGTTTTTATGGGAAGATATTTCCTTTTTCAACATATGCCTGAAAGCGCTCCAAATGTCCACTTCCAGATACTACAAAAAGAGTGTTTCAAATCTGGTGTATGAATGGGAATGTTCTACTCTGTGACTTGAATGCAACATCCCAAAGAAGTTTCTGAGAATGCTTCTGTCTAGAGTTTATCTGAAGACATACCCGTTTCCAACGAAATCCTCAAAGCTATCCAAATATCCTCTTGCAGATTCTACAAAAAGAGTGTTTCAAAGCTGCTCTTTGCAAAGAAAGGTTCAACTCTGTCAGTAGAGGGCACACATCACGAACAAGTTTCTGAGAATGCTTCTGTCTAGTTTTTATGGGAAGATATTTCCTTTTTCACGTTAGGCCTGAAAGCACGCCAAATGTTCACTTATAGACACTACAAAAAGAGTGTTTCAAACCTGCTCTGTGAAAGGGAATGTTCAACACTGTGACTTCAATTGAAACATCCCAAAGAAGTTTCTGAGAATGCTTCTGTCTAGAGTTTATCTGAAGACATTCCCGTTTCCCAAGAAATCCTCAAAGCTATCCAAATATCCTCTTGCAGATTCTACAAAAAGAGTGTTTCAAAACTGCTCTTTGCAAAGAAAGGTTCAACTCTGTCAGTAGAGGGCACACATCACAAACAAGTTTCTGAGAATGCTTATCTGTCTAGTTTTTATGGGAAGATATTTCCTTTTTCACCTTAGGCCTGAAAGCAATCCAAATGTTCACTTACAGACACTACAAAAAGAGTGTTTCCAACCTGCTCTGTGAAAGGGAGTGTTCAATTCTGTGACTTGAATGCAAACATCACAAAGTAGTTTCTGACAATGCTGCTGTCTGCTTTTTATACGTATTCCCGTTTCCAACGAAATCCTCCAAGCTGGCCTAATACCCACTTGCATATTCCACAAAAAGAGTGTTTCAAAACTGCTCTCTCAAAAGAAAGGTTCAACTCTGTTTGCTGAGTAGATACATCATGAAAAAAGTTCTGACATTGCTTCTATCTAGTTTTTATTGGAAGATATCTCCTTTTTCACCGTAGACCTGAAAGCGCTCCAAATGTCCACTTCCAGATACTACAAAAAGAGTGTTTCAAACCTGCTCTATGAAAGGGAATGTTCAACACTGGGACTTCAATTGAAACATCCCAAAGCAGTTTCTGAGAATGCTTCTGTCCAGAGTTTACATGAAGACATTCCCGTTTCCAACGAAATCCTCAAAGCTATCCAAATATCCTCTTGCAGATTTTACAAAAAGTGTGTTTCAGAACTGCTCTATCAAAACAAAGGTTCAACACTGTCAGTTGAGGGCACACATCACAAATAAGTTTCTGAGAATGCTTCTGTCTAGTTTTCATGGGAAGATATTTCCTTTTTCACCATAGGCCTGAAAGCGATCCAAATGTCCACATCCAGATACTACAAAAAGAGTGTTTCAAACCTGCTCTATGAAAGGGAATGTTCAACTCTGTGACTTGAATGCAAACATCACAAAGAAGTTTCTGAGAATGCTGCTGTCTGCTTTTTGTATGTAATCCCGTTTCCAACGAAATCCTCCCAGCTAGCCAAATATCCACTTGCAGATTCCGCAAAAAGAGTGTTTCAAAACTGCTCCTTCAAAACGATGGTTTAGTTCTGTTAGTTGAGTACATACATCACAGATAAGTTTCTGAGAATGCTTCTGTCTAGTTTTTATGGGAGGATATTTCCTTTTTCAACACAAGCCTGAATGCGCTCCGAATGGACACTTCCAGATATGACAAAAGGCGTGTTTCAAACCTGCTCTCTCAAAGGGAATGTTCAACTCTGTGACTTCAATGCAAACATCACAAAGAAGTTTCTGAGAATGCTGCTGTCTGCTTTTTACATGTATTCCCGTTTCCAACGAAATCCTCAAAGCTGCCCTAATATCCACTTGCATATTCCACAAAAAGAGTGTTGCAAAACTGCTCTCTCAAAAGAAAGGTTCAACTCTGTTAGCTGAGTAGATCCATCACATAAAAGTTTCTGACGTTGCTTCTATCTAGATTTTATTGGAAGATATTTCCATTTTCACCGTCGTCCTGAAAGCGCTCCAAAGGTCCACTTCCAGGGAATGCAGAAAGAGTGTTTCCAACCTGCTCTATAAAAGGGAATGTTCAACACTGGGACTTCAATCGAAACATCCCAACGAAGTTTCTGAGAATGCTTCTGTCTAGAGTTTATATGAAGCCATTCCCGTTTGCA
Source organism: Homo sapiens (assembly GCF_000001405.40). Classification (NCBI taxonomy): domain Eukaryota; kingdom Metazoa; phylum Chordata; class Mammalia; order Primates; family Hominidae; genus Homo; species Homo sapiens. Next base: position 27,095,780 of record NC_000020.11, on the reverse strand, counting down.
ATGAAATCCTCAAAGCTATCCAAATATCCTCTTGCAGATTTTACAAAAAGAGTGTTTCAAAACTGCTCTATCAAAAGAAAGGTTCAACTCTGTTAGTTGAGGGCACACATCACAAATAAATTTCTGAGAATGCTTCTGTCTAGTTTTTACGGGAAGATATTTCCTTTTTCACCATACGCCTGAAAGCGCTCCAAATGTCCTCATCCAGATACTACAAAAAGAGTGTTTCCAACCTGCTCTATGAAAGGGAATGCTCAACTCTGTGACTTGAATGCAGACAGCACAAAGAAGTTTCTGAGAATGCTGCTGTCTCCTTTTTATATGTAATCCCGTTTCCAACGAAATCCTCAAAGCTAGCCAAATATCCACTTGCAGATTCCACGAAAACAGTGTTTCAAAACTGCTCCTTCAAAACGATGGTTCAATTCTGTTAGTTGAGCAAACACATCACAAGTAAGTTTCTGAGAATGCTTCCGTCTAGTTTTTATGGGAAGATATTTCCTTTTTCAACATAGGCCTGAAAGCGCTCCAAATGTCCACTTCCAGATACTACAAAAAGAGTGTTTCAAATCTGCTCTATGAATGGGAATGTTCTACTCTGTGACTTGAATGCAACATCCCAAAGAAGTTTCTGAGAATGCTTCTGTCTAGAGTTTATCTGAAGACATACCCGTTTCCAACGAAATCCTCCAAGCTATCCAAATATCCTCTTGCAGATTCTACAAAAAGAGTGTTTCAAAGCTGCTCTTTGCAAAGAAAGGTTCAACTCTGTCAGTAGAGGGCACACATCATGAACAAGTTTCTGAGAATGCTTCTGTCTAGTTTTTATGGGAAGATATTTCCTTTTTCACGTTAGGCCTGAAAGCACGCGAAATGTTCACTTATACACACTACAAAAAGAGTGTTTCAAACCTGCTCTGTGAAAGGGAATGTTCAACACTGTGACTTCAATTGAAACATCCCAAAGAAGTTTCTGAGAATGCTTCTGTCTAGAGTTTATCTGAAGACATTCCCGTTTCCCAAGAAATCTTCAAAGCTATCCAAATATCCTCTTGCAGATTCTACAAAAAGAGTGTTTCAAAACTGCTCTTTGCAAAGAAAGGTTCAACTCTGTCAGTAGAGGGCACACATCACAAACAAGTTTCTGAGAATGCTTCTGTCTAGTTTTTATGGGAAGATATTTCCTTTTTCACCTTAGGCCTGAAAGCAATCCATATGTTCACTTACAGACACTACAAAAAGAGTGTTTCAAACCTGCTCTGTGAAAGGGAGTGTTCAGTTCTGTGACTTGAATGCAAACATCACAAAGTAGTTTCTGACAATGCTGCTGTCTGCTTTTTATACGTATTCCCGTTTCCAACGAAATCCTCCAAGCTGGCCTAATACCCACTTGCATATTCCACAAAAAGAGTGTTTCAAAACTGCTCTCTCAAAAGAAAGGTTCAACTCTGTTAGCTGAGTAGATACATCATGAAAAAAGTTCTGACATTGCTTCTATCTAGTTTTTATTGGAAGATATCTCCTTTTTCACCGTAGACCTGAAAGCGCTCCAAATGTCCACTTCCAGATAGTACAAAAAGAGTGTTTCAAACCTGCTCTATGAATGGGAATGTTCAACACTGGGACTTCAATTGAAACATCCCAAAGCAGTTTCTGAGAATGCTTCTGTGTAGAGTTTACATGAAGACATTCCCGTTTCCAACGAAATCCTCAAAGCTATCCAAATATCCTCTTGCAGATTTTACAAAAAGTGTGTTTCAGAACTGCTCTATCAAAACAAAGGTTCAACACTGTCAGTTGAGGGCACACATCACAAATAAGTTTCTGAGAATGCTTCTGTCTAGTTTTCATGGGAAGATATTTCCTTTTTCACCATAGGCCTGAAAGCGATCCAAATGTCCACATCCAGATACTACAAAAAGAGTGTTTCAAACCTGCTCTATGAAAGGGAATGTTCAACTCTGTGACTTGAATGCAAACATCACAAAGAAGTTTCTGAGAATGCTTGCTGTCTCCTTTTTATATGTAATCCCGTTTCCAACGAAATCCTCAAAGCTAGCCAAATATCCACTTGCAGATTCCATGAAAACAGTGTTTCAAAACTGCTCCTTCAAAACGATGGTTCAATCCTGTTAGTTGAGCAAACACATCACAAATAAGTTTCTGAGAATGCTTCCGTCTAGTTTTTATGGGAAGATATTTCCTTTTTCAACATAGGCCTGAAAGCGCTCCAAATGTCCACTTCCAGATACTACAAAAAGAGTGTTTCAAATCTGCTCTATGAATGGGAATGTTCTACTCTGTGACTTGAATGCAACATCCCAAAGAAGTTTCTGAGAATGCTTCTGTCTAGAGTTTATCTGAAGACATACCCGTTTCCAACGAAATCCTCCAAGCTATCCAAATATCCTCTTGCAGATTCTACAAAAAGAGTGTTTCAAAGCTGCTCTTTGCAAAGAAAGGTTCAACTCTGTCAGTAGAGGGGACACATCAAGAACAAGTTTCTGAGAATGCTTCTGTCTAGTTTTTATGGGAAGATATTTCCTTTTTCACGTTACGCCTGAAAGCACGCCAAATGTTCACTTATAGACACTACAAAAAGAGTGTTTCAAACCTGTTCTGTGAAAGGGAATGTTCAACACTGTGACTTCAATTGAAACATCCCAAAGAAGTTTCTGAGAATGCTTCTGTCTAGAGTTTATCTGAAGACATTCCCGTTTCCCAAGAAATCCTCAAAGCTATCCAAATATCCTCTTGCAGATTCTACAAAAAGAGTGTTTCAAAACTGCTCTTTGCAAAGAAAGGTTCAACTCTGTCAGTAGAGGGCACACATCACAAACAAGTTTCTGAGAATGCTTCTGTCTAGTTTTTATGGGAAGATATTTCCTTTTTCACCTTAGGCCTGAAAGCAATCCAAATGTTCACTTACAGACACTACAAAAAGCGTGTTTCAAACCTGCTCTGTGAAAGGGAGTGTTCAATTCTGTGACTTGAATGCAAACATCACAAAGTAGTTTCTGACAATGCTGCTGTCTGCTTTTTATACGTATTCCCGTTTCCAACGAAATCCTCCAAGCTGGCCTAATACCCACTTGCATATTCCACAAAAAGAGTGTTTCAAAACTGCTCTCTCAAAAGAAAGGTTCAACTCTGTTTGCTGAGTAGATACATCATGAAAAAAGTTCTGACATTGCTTCTATCTAGTTTTTATTGGAAGATATCTCCTTTTTCACCTTAGACCTGAAAGCGCTCCAAATGTCCACTTCCAGATAGTACAAAAAGAGTGTTTCAAACCTGCTCTATGAAAGGGAATGTTCAACACTGGGACTTCAATTGAAACATCCCAAAGCAGTTTCTGAGAATGCTTCTGTCTAGAAGTTTACATGAAGACATTCCCGTTTCCAACGAAATCCTCAAAGCTATCCAAATATCCTCTTGCAGATTTTACAAAAAGTGTGTTTCAGAACTGCTCTATCAAAACAAAGGTTCAACACTGTCAGTTGAGGGCACACATCACAAATAAGTTTCTGAGAATGCTTCTGTCTAGTTTTCATGGGAAGATATTTCCTTTTTCACCATAGGCCTGAAAGCGATCCAAATGTCCACATCCAGATACTACAAAAAGAGTGTTTCAAACCTGCTCTATGAAAGGGAATGTTCAACTCTGTGACTTGAATGCAAACATCACAAAGAAGTTTCTGAGAATGCTGCTCTCTGCTTTTTGTATGTAATCCCGTTTCCAACGAAATCCTCCCAGCTAGCCAAATATCCACTTGCAGATTCCGCAAAAAGAGTGTTTCAAAACTGCTCCTTCAAAACGATGGTTTAGTTCTGTTAGTTGAGTACATACATCACAGATAAGTTTCTGAGAATGCTTCTGTCTAGTTTTTATGGGAGGATATTTCCTTTTTCAACACAAGCCTGAATGCGCTCCGAATGGACACTTCCAGATATGACAAAAGGCGTGTTTCAAACCTGCTCTCTCAAAGGGAATGTTCAACTCTGTGACTTCAATGCAAACATCACAAAGAAGTTTCTGAGAATGCTGCTGTCTGCTTTTTACATGTATTCCCGTTTCCAACGAAATCCTCAAAGCTGCCCTAATATCCACTTGCATATTCTACAAAAAGAGTGTTGCAAAACTGCTCTCTCAAAAGAAAGGTTCAACTCTGTTAGCTGAGTAGATCCATCACATAAAAGTTTCTGACATTGCTTCTATCTAGATTTTCTTGGAAGATATTTCCATTTTCACCGTCGTCCTGAAAGCGCTCCAAATGTCCACTTCCAGGGAATGCAGAAAGAGTGTTTCCAACCTGCTCTATAAAAGGGAATGTTCAACACTGGGACTTCAATCGAAACATCCCAACGAAGTTTCTGAGAATGCTTCTGTCTAGAGTTTATATGAAGCCATTCCCGTTTGCAACGAAATCCTCAAAGCTATCCAAATATCCTCTTGCAGATTTTACAAAAAGAGTGTTTCAAAACTGCTCTATCAAAAGAAAGGTTCAACTCTGTTAGTTGAGGGCACACATCACAAATAAACTTCTGAGAATGCTTCTGTCTAGTTTTTACGGGAAGATATTTCCTTTTTCACCATACGCCTGAAAGCGCTCCAAATGTCCTCATCCAGATACTACAAAAAGAGTGTTTCCAACCTGCTCTATGAAAGGGAATGCTCAACTCTGTGACTTGAATGCAGACATCACAAAGAAGTTTCTGAGAATGCTGCTGTCTCCTTTTTATATGTAATCCCGTTTCCAACGAAATCCTCAAAGCTAGCCAAATATCCACTTGCAGATTCCACGAAAACAGTGTTTCAAAACTGCTCCTTCAAAACGATGGTTCAATTCTGTTAGTTGAGCAAACACATCACAAGTAAGTTTCTGAGAATGCTTCCGTCTAGTTTTTATGGGAAGATATTTCCTTTTTCAACATAGGCCTGAAAGCGCTCCAAATGTCCACTTCCAGATACTACAAAAAGAGTGTTTCAAATCTGCTCTATGAATGGGAATGTTCTACTCTGTGACTTGAATGCAACATCCCAAAGAAGTTTCTGAGAATGCTTCTGTCTAGAGTTTATCTGAAGACATACCCGTTTCCAACGAAATCCTCAAAGCTATCCAAATATCCTCTTGCAGATTCTACAAAAAGAGTGTTTCAAAGCTGCTCTTTGCAAAGAAAGGTTCAACTCTGTCAGTAGAGGGCACACATCATGAACAAGTTTCTGAGAATGCTTCTGTCTAGTTTTTATGGGAAGATATTTCCTTTTTCACGTTAGGCCTGAAAGCACGCCAAATGTTCACTTATAGACACTACAAAAAGAGTGTTTCAAACCTGCTCTGTGAAAGGGAATGTTCAACACTGTGACTTCAATTGAAACATCCCAAAGAAGTTTCTGAGAATGCTTCTGTCTAGAGTTTATCTGAAGACATAACCGTTTCCAACGAAATCCTCAAAGCTATCCAAATAGCCTCTTGCAGATTCTACAAAAAGAGTGTTTCAAAGCTGCTCTTTGCAAGGAAAGGTTCAACTCTGTCAGTAGAGGGCACACATCACAAACAAGTTTCTGAGAATGCTTCTGTCTAGTTTTTATGGGAAGATATTTCCTTTTTCACGTTAGGCCTGAAAGCACGCCAAATGTTCACTTATAGACACTACAAAAAGAGTGTTTCAAACCTGCTCTGTGAAAGGGAATGTTCAACACTGTGACTTCAATTGAAACATCCCAAAGAAGTTTCTGAGAATGCTTCTGTCTAGAGTTTATCTGAAGACATTCCCGTTTCCCAAGAAATCCTCAAAGCTATCCAAATATCCTCTTGCAGATTCTACAAAAAGAGTGTTTCAAAACTGCTCTTTGCAAAGAAAGGTTCAACTCTGTCAGTAGAGGGCACACATCACAAACAAGTTTCTGAGAATGCTTCTGTCTAGTTTTTATGGGAAGATATTTCCTTTTTCACCTTAGGCCTGAAAGCAATCCAAATGTTCACTTACAGACACTACAAAAAGAGTGTTTCAAACCTGCTCTGTGAAAGGGAGTGTTCAATTCTGTGACTTGAATGCAAACATCACAAAGTAGTTTCTGACAATGCTGCTGTCTGCTTTTTATACGTATTCCCGTTTCCAACGAAATCCTCCAAGCTGGCCTAATACCCACTTGCATATTCCACAAAAAGAGTGTTTCAAAACTGCTCTCTCAAAAGAAAGGTTCAACTCTGTTTGCTGAGTAGATACATCATGAAAAAAGTTCTGACATTGCTTCTATCTAGTTTTTATTGGAAGATATCTCCTTTTTCACCGTAGACCTGAAAGCGCTCCAAATGTCCACTTCCAGATAGTACAAAAAGAGTGTTTCAAACCTGCTCCTATGAAAGGGAATGTTCAACACTGGGACTTCAATTGAAACATCCCAAAGCAGTTTCTGAGAATGCTTCTGTCTAGAGTTTACATGAAGTCATTCCCGTTTCCAACGAAATCCTCAAAGCTATCCAAATATCCTCTTGCAGATTTTACAAAAAGTGTGTTTCAGAACTGCTCTATCAAAACAAAGGTTCAACACTGTCAGTTGAGGGCACACATCACAAATAAGTTTCTGAGAATGCTTCTGTCTAGTTTTCATGGGAAGATATTTCCTTTTTCACCGTAGGCCTGAAAGCGATCCAAATGTCCACATCCAGATACTACAAAAAGAGTGTTTCAAACCTGCTCTATGAAAGGGAATGTTCAACTCTGTGACTTGAATGCAAACATCACAAAGAAGTTTCTGAGAATGCTGCTCTCTGCTTTTTGTATGTAATCCCGTTTCCAACGAAATCCTCCCAGCTAGCCAAATATCCACTTGCAGATTCCGCAAAAAGAGTGTTTCAAAACTGCTCCTTCAAAACGATGGTTTAGTTCTGTTAGTTGAGTACATACATCACAAATAAGTTTCTGAGAATGCTTCTGTCTAGTTTTTATGGGAGGATATTTCCTTTTTCAACACAAGCCTGAATGCGCTCCGAATGGACACTTCCAGATATGACAAAAGGCGTGTTTCAAACCTGCTCTCTCAAAGGGAATGTTCAACTCTGTGACTTCAATGCAAACATCACAAAGAAGTTTCTGAGAATGCTGCTGTCTGCTTTTTACATGTATTCCCGTTTCCAACGAAATCCTCAAAGCTGCCCTAATATCCACTTGCATATTCCACAAAAGGAGTGTTGCAAAACTGCTCTCTCAAAAGAAAGGTTCAACTCTGTTAGCTGAGTAGATCCATCACATAAAAGTTTCTGACATTGCTTCTATCTAGATTTTCTTGGAAGATATTTCCATTTTCACCGTCGTCCAGAAAGCGCTCCAAATGTCCACTTCCAGGGAATGCAGAAAGAGTGTTTCCAACCTGCTCTATAAAAGGGAATGTTCAACACTGGGACTTCAATCGAAACATCCCAACGAAGTTTCTGAGAATGCTTCTGTCTAGAGTTTATATGAAGCCATTCCCGTTTGCAACGAAATCCTCAAAGCTATCCAAATATCCTCTTGCAGATTTTACAAAAAGAGTGTTTCAAAACTGCTCTATCAAAAGAAAGGTTCAACTCTGTTAGTTGAGGGCACACATCACAAATAAACTTCTGAGAATGCTTCTGTCTAGTTTTTACGGGAAGATATTTCCTTTTTCACCATACGCCTGAAAGCGCTCCAAATGTCCTCATCCAGATACTACAAAAAGAGTGTTTCCAACCTGCTCTATGAAAGGGAATGCTCAACTCTGTGAATTGAATGCAGACATCACAAAGAAGTTTCTGAGAATGCTGCTGTCTCCTTTTTATATGTAATCCCGTTTCCAACGAAATCCTCAAAGCTAGCCAAATATCCACTTGCAGATTCCACGAAAACAGTGTTTCAAAACTGCTCCTTCAAAACGATGGTTCAATCCTGTTAGTTGAGCAAACACATCACAAATAAGTTTCTGAGAATGCTTCCGTCTAGTTTTTATGGGAAGATATTTCCTTTTTCAACATAGGCCTGAAAGCGCTCCAAATGTCCACTTCCAGATACTACAAAAAGAGTGTTTCAAATCTGCTCTATGAATGGGAATGTTCTACTCTGTGACTTGAATGCAACATCCCAAAGAAGTTTCTGAGAATGCTTCTGTCTAGAGTTTATCTGAAGACATACCCGTTTCCAACGAAATCCTCAAAGCTATCCAAATATCCTCTGGCAGATTCTACAAAAAGAGTGTTTCAAAGCTGCTCTTTGCAAAGAAAGGTTCAACTCTGTCAGTAGAGGGGACACATCAAGAACAAGTTTCTGAGAATGCTTCTGTCTAGTTTTTATGGGAAGATATTTCCTTTTTCACGTTAGGCCTGAAAGCACGCCAAATGTTCACTTATAGACACTACAAAAAGAGTGTTTCAAACCTGCTCTGTGAAAGGGAATGTTCAACACTGTGACTTCAATTGAAACATCCCAAAGAAGTTTCTGAGAATGCTTCTGTCTAGAGTTTATCTGAAGACATTCCCGTTTCCCAAGAAATCCTCAAAGCTATCCAAATATCCTCTTGCAGATTCTACAAAAAGAGTGTTTCAAAACTGCTCTTTGCAAAGAAAGGTTCAACTCTGTCAGTAGAGGGCACACATCAGAAACAAGTTTCTGAGAATGCTTCTGTCTAGTTTTTATGGGAAGATATTTCCTTTTTCACCTTAGGCCTGAAAGCAATCCATATGTTCACTTACAGACACTACAAAAAGAGTGTTTCAAACCTGCTCTGTGAAAGGGAGTGTTCAATTCTGTGACTTGAATGCAAACATCACAAAGTAGTTTCTGACAATGCTGCTGTCTGCTTTTTATACGTATTCCCGTTTCCAACGAAATCCTCCAAGCTGGCCTAATACCCACTTGCATATTCCACAAAAAGAGTGTTTCAAAACTGCTCTCTCAAAAGAAAGGTTCAACTCTGTTTGCTGAGTAGATACATCATGAAAAAAGTTCTGACATTGCTTCTATCTAGTTTTTATTGGAAGATATCTCCTTTTTCACCGTAGACCTGAAAGCGCTCCAAATGTCCACTTCCAGATAGTACAAAAAGAGTGTTTCAAACCTGCTCTATGAATGGGAATGTTCAACACTGGGACTTCAATTGAAACATCCCAAAGCAGTTTCTGAGAATGCTTCTGTCCAGAGTTTACATGAAGACATTCCCGTTTCCAACGAAATCCTCAAAGCTATCCAAATATCCTCTTGCAGATTTTACAAAAAGTGTGTTTCAGAACTGCTCTATCAAAACAAAGGTTCAACACTGTCAGTTGAGGGCACACATCACAAATAAGTTTCTGAGAATGCTGCTCTCTGCTTTTTGTATGTAATCCCGTTTCCAACGAAATCCTCCAAGCTAGCCAAATATCCACTTGCAGATTCCGCAAAAAGAGTGTTTCAAAACTGCTCCTTCAAAACGATGGTTTAGTTCTGTTAGTTGAGTACATACATCACAGATAAGTTTCTGAGAATGCTTCTGTCTAGTTTTTATGGGAGGATATTTCCTTTTTCAACACAAGCCTGAATGCGCTCCGAATGGACACTTCCAGATATGACAAAAGGCGTGTTTCAAACCTGCTCTCTCAAAGGGAATGTTCAACTCTGTGACTTCAATGCAAACATCACAAAGAAGTTTCTGAGAATGCTGCTGTCTGCTTTTTACATGTATTCCCGTTTCCAACGAAATCCTCAAAGCTGCCCTAATATCCACTTGCATATTCCACAAAAAGAGTGTTGCAAAACTGCTCTCTCAAAAGAAAGGTTCAACTCTGTTAGCTGAGTAGATCCATCACATAAAAGTTTCTGACATTGCTTCTATCTAGATTTTCTTGGAAGATATTTCCATTTTCACCGTCGTCCTGAAAGCGCTCCAAATGTCCACTTCCAGGGAATGCAGAAAGAGTGTTTCCAACCTGCTCTATAAAAGGGAATGTTCAACACTGGGACTTCAATCGAAACATCCCAACGAAGTTTCTGAGAATGCTTCTGTCTAGAGTTTATATGAAGCCATTCCCGTTTGCAACGAAATCCTCAAAGCTATCCAAATATCCTCTTGCAGATTTTACAAAAAGAGTGTTTCAAAACTGCTCTATCAAAAGAAAGGTTCAACTCTGTTAGTTGAGGGCACACATCACAAATAAATTTCTGAGAATGCTTCTGTCTAGTTTTTACGGGAAGATATTTCCTTTTTCACCATACGCCTGAAAGCGCTCCAAATGTCCTCATCCAGATACTACAAAAAGAGTGTTTCCAACCTTCTCTATGAAAGGGAATGCTCAACTCTGTGACTTGAATGCAGACATCACAAAGAAGTTTCTGAGAATGCTGCTGTCTCCTTTTTATATGTAATCCCGTTTCCAACGAAATCCTCAAAGCTAGCCAAATATCCACTTGCAGATTCCACGAAAACAGTGTTTCAAAACTGCTCCTTCAAAACGATGGTTCAATCCTGTTAGTTGAGCAAACACATCACAAATAAGTTTCTGAGAATGCTTCCGTCTAGTTTTTATGGGAAGATATTTCCTTTTTCAACATAGGCCTGAAAGCGCTCCAAATGTCCACTTCCAGATACTACAAAAAGAGTGTTTCAAATCTGCTCTATGAATGGGAATGTTCTACTCTGTGACTTGAATGCAACATCCCAAAGAAGTTTCTGAGAATGCTTCTGTCTAGAGTTTATCTGAAGACATACCCGTTTCCAACGAAATCCTCCAAGCTATCCAAATATCCTCTTGCAGATTCTACAAAAAGAGTGTTTCAAAGCTGCTCTTTGCAAAGAAAGGTTCAACTCTGTCAGTAGAGGGGACACATCAAGAACAAGTTTCTGAGAATGCTTCTGTCTGGTTTTTATGGGAAGATATTTCCTTTTTCACGTTACGCCTGAAAGCACGCCAAATGTTCACTTATAGACACTACAAAAAGAGTGTTTCAAACCTGCTCTGTGAAAGGGAATGTTCAACACTGTGACTTCAATTGAAACATCCCAAAGAAGTTTCTGAGAATGCTTCTGTCTAGAGTTTATCTGAAGACATTCCCGTTTCCCAAGAAATCCTCAAAGCTATCCAAATATCCTCTTGCAGATTCTACAAAAAGAGTGTTTCAAAACTGCTCTTTGCAAAGAAAGGTTCAACTCTGTCAGTAGAGGGCACACATCACAAACAAGTTTCTGAGAATGCTTCTGTCTAGTTTTTATGGGAAGATATTTCCTTTTTCACCTTAGGCCTGAAAGCAATCCAAATGTTCACTTACAGACACTACAAAAAGAGTGTTTCAAACCTGCTCTGTGAAAGGGAGTGTTCAGTTCTGTGACTTGAATGCAAACATCACAAAGTAGTTTCTGACAATGCTGCTGTCTGCTTTTTATACGTATTCCCGTTTCCAACGAAATCCTCCAAGCTGGCCTAATACCCACTTGCATATTCCACAAAAAGAGTGTTTCAAAACTGCTCTCTCAAAAGAAAGGTTCAACTCTGTTTGCTGAGTAGATACATCATGAAAAAAGTTCTGACATTGCTTCTATCTAGTTTTTATTGGAAGATATCTCCTTTTTCACCGTAGACCTGAAAGCGCTCCAAATGTCCACTTCCAGATAGTACAAAAAGAGTGTTTCAAACCTGCTCTATGAATGGGAATGTTCAACACTGGGACTTCAATTGAAACATCCCAAAGCAGTTTCTGAGAATGCTTTCTGTCTAGAGTTTATATGAAGACAATCCCGTTTCCAACGAAATCCTCAAAGCTATCCAAATATCCTCTTGCAGATTTAACAAAATTGTGTTTCAAAACTGCTCTATGAAAAGAAAGGTTCAACACTGTTAGTTGAGGGCACACATCACAATTAAGTTTCTGAGAGTGCTTCTGTCTAGTTTTCAGGGGAAGATATTTCCTTTTTCACCATAGGCCTGAAAGCGCTCCAAATGTCCACATCCAGATTCTACAAAAAGAGTTTTTCAATCCTGCTCTATGAAAGGGAATGTTCAACTCTGTGACTTGAATGCAAACATCACAAAGAAGTTTCTGAGAATGCTGCGGCCTGCTTTTTATATGTAATCCCGTTTCCAACGAAATCCTCAAATCTAGCTAAATATGCACTTGCAGATTCCACAAAAAGAGTGTTTCAAAACTGCTCCTTCAAAACGATTGTTGAATTCTGTTAGTTGAGTACACACATCACAAATAAGTTTCTGAGAATGCTTCTGTCTGGTTTCTATGGGAAGGTATTTCCTTTTTCAACACAAGCCTGAATGCACTCCAAATGGACACTTCCAGATATGACAAAAGGCGTGTTTCCAACCTGCTCTATGATACGGAACGTTCAACTCTGTGACTTGAATGCAAACATCATAAAGACGTTTCTCACAACGCTGCTGTCTGCTTTTTGTATGTAATCCCGTTTCCAACGAAATCCTCCCAGCTAGCCAAATATCCACTTGCAGATTCCGCACAAAGAGTGTTTCAAAACTGCTCCTTCAAAACGATGGTTTAGTTGCTGTTAGTTGAGTACATACATCACAGATAAGTTTCTGAGAATGCTTCCGTCTAGTTTTTATGGGAAGATATTTCCTTTTTCAACATAGGCCTGAAAGCGCTCCAAATGTCCACTTCCAGATACTACAAAAAGAGTGTTTCAAATCTGCTCTATGAATGGGAATGTTCAACACTGTGACTTCAATTGAAACATCCCAAAGAAGTTTCTGAGAATGCTTCTGTCTAGAGTTTATATGAAGACAATCCCGTTTCCAACGAAATCCTCAAAGCTGTCCAAATATGTTCTTGCAGATTTTACAAAAAGAGTGTTTCAAAACTGCTCTATCAAAAGAAAGGTTCAACACTGTTAGTTGAGGGCGCACATCACAAATAAATTTCTGAGAATGCTTCTGTCTAGTTTTTATGGGAAGATATTTCCTTTTTCACCTTAGGCCTGAAAGCAACCCAAATGTTCACTTACAGACACTACAAAAAGAGTGTTTCAAACCTGCTCTGTGAAAGGGAGTGTTCAATTCTGTGACTTGAATGCAAACATCACAAAGTAGTTTCTGACAATGCTGCTGTCTGCTTTTTATACGTATTACCGTTTCCAACGAAATCCTCCAAGCTGGCCTAATACCCACTTGCATATTCCACAAAAATAGTGTTTCAAAACTGCTCCCTCAAAAGAAAGGTTCAACTCTGTTTGCTGAGTAGATACATCATGAAAAAAGATCTGACATTGCTTCTATCTAGTTTTTATTGGAAGATATCTCCTTTTTCACCGTAGACCTGAAAGCGCTCCAAATGTCCACTTCCAGATAGTACAAAAAGAGTGCTTCAAACCTGCCCTATGAATGGGAATGTTCAACACTGGGACTTCAATTGAAACATCCCAAAGCAGTTTCTGAGAATGCTTCTGTGTAGAGTTTACATGAAGACATTCCCGTTTCCAACGAAATCCTCAAAGCTATCCAAATATCCTCTTGCAGATTTTACAAAAAGTGTGTTTCAGAACTGCTCTATCAAAACAAAGGTTCAACACTGTCAGTTGAGGGCACACATCACAAATAAGTTTCTGAGAATGCTTCTGTCTAGTTTTCATGGGAAGATATTTCCTTTTTCACCATAGGCCTGAAAGCGATCCAAATGTCCACATCCAGATACTACAAAAAGAGTGTTTCAAACCTGCTCTATGAAAGGGAATGTTCAACTCTGTGACTTGAATGCAAACATCACAAAGAAGTTTCTGAGAATGCTGCTGTCTGCTTTTTGTATGTAATCCCGTTTCCAACGAAATCCTCCCAGCTAGCCAAATATCCACTTGCAGATTCCGCAAAAAGAGTGTTTCAAAACTGCCCTTCAAAACGATGGTTTAGTTCTGTTAGTTGAGTACATACATCACAGATAAGTTTCTGAGAATGCTTCTGTCTAGTTTTTATGGGAGGATATTTCCTTTTTCAACACAAGCCTGAATGCGCTCCGAATGGACACTTCCAGATATGACAAAAGGCGTGTTTCAAACCTGCTCTCTGAAAGGGAATGTTCAACTCTGTGACTTCAATGCAAACATCACAAAGAAGTTTCTGAGAATGCTGCTGTCTGCTTTTTACATGTATTCCCGTTTCCAACGAAATCCTCAAAGCTGCCCTAATATCCACTTGCATATTCCACAAAAAGAGTGTTGCAAAACTGCTCTCTCAAAAGAAAGGTTCAACTCTGTTAGCTGAGTAGATCCATCACAGAAAAGTTTCTGACGTTGCTTCTATCTAGATTTTCTTGGAAGATATTTCCATTTTCACCGTCGTCCTGAAAGCGCTCCAAATGTCCACTTCCAGGGAATGCAGAAAGAGTGTTTCCAACCTGCTCTATAAAAGGGAATGTTCAACACTGGGACTTCAATCGAAACATCCCAACGAAGTTTCTGAGAATGCTTCTGTCTAGAGTTTATATGAAGCCATTCCCGTTTGCAACGAAATCCTCAAAGCTATCCAAATATCCTCTTGCAGATTTTACAAAAAGAGTGTTTCAAAACTGCTCTATCAAAAGAAAGGTTCAACTCTGTTAGTTGAGGGCACACATCACAAATAAAATTCTGAGAATGCTTCTGTCTAGTTTTTACGGGAAGATATTTCCTTTTTCACCATACGCCTGAAAGCGCTCCAAATGTCCTCATCCAGATACTACAAAAAGAGTGTTTCCAACCTGCTCTATGAAAGGGAATGCTCAACTCTGTGACTTGAATGCAGACATCACAAAGAAGTTTCTGAGAATGCTGCTGTCTCCTTTTTATATGTAATCCCGTTTCCAACGAAATCCTCAAAGCTAGCCAAATATCCACTTGCAGATTCCACGAAAACAGTGTTTCAAAACTGCTCCTTCAAAACGATGGTTCAATCCTGTTAGTTGAGCAAACACATCACAAGTAAGTTTCTGAGAATGCTTCCGTCTAGTTTTTATGGGAAGATATTTCCTTTTTCAACATAGGCCTGAAAGCGCTCCAAATGTCCACTTCCAGATACTACAAAAAGAGTGTTTCAAATCTGCTCTATGAATGGGAATGTTCTACTCTGTGACTTGAATGCAACATCCCAAAGAAGTTTCTGAGAATGCTTCTGTCTAGAGTTTATCTGAAGACATACCCGTTTCCAACGAAATCCTCAAAGCTATCCAAATATCCTCTTGCAGATTCTACAAAAAGTGTGTTTCAAAGCTGCTCTTTGCAAAGAAAGGTTCAACTCTGTCAGTAGAGGGCACACATCACGAACAAGTTTCTGAGAATGCTTCTGTCTAGTTTTTATGGGAAGATATTTCCTTTTTCACGTTAGGCCTGAAAGCACGCCAAATGTTCACTTATAGACACTACAAAAAGAGTGTTTCAAACCTGCTCTGTGAAAGGGAATGTTCAACACTGTGACTTCAATTGAAACATCCCAAAGAAGTTTCTGAGAATGCTTCTGTCTAGAGTTTATCTGAAGACATTCCCGTTTCCCAAGAAATCCTCAAAGCTATCCAAATATCCTCTTGCAGATTCTACAAAAAGAGTGTTTCAAAACTGCCCTTTGCAAAGAAAGGTTCAACTCTGTCAGTAGAGGGCACACATCACAAACAAGTTTCTGAGAATGCTTCTGTCTAGTTTTTATGGGAAGATATTTCCTTTTTCACCTTAGGCCTGAAAGCAATCCAAATGTTCACTTACAGACACTACAAAAAGAGTGTTTCAAACCTGCTCTGTGAAAGGGAGTGTTCAATTCTGTGACTTGAATGCAAACATCACAAAGTAGTTTCTGACAATGCTGCTGTCTGCTTTTTATACGTATTCCCGTTTCCAACGAAATCCTCCAAGCTGGCCTAATACCCACTTGCATATTCCACAAAAAGAGTGTTTCAAAACTGCTCTCTCAAAAGAAAGGTTCAACTCTGTTTGCTGAGTAGATACATCATGAAAAAAGTTCTGACATTGCTTCTATCTAGTTTTTATTGGAAGATATCTCCTTTTTCACCGTAGACCTGAAAGCGCTCCAAATGTCCACTTCCAGATAGTACAAAAAGAGTGTTTCAAACCTGCTCTATGAAAGGGAATGTTCAACACTGGGACTTCAATTGAAACATCCCAAAGCAGTTTCTGAGAATGCTTCTGTCTAGAGTTTACATGAAGACATTCCCGTTTCCAACGAAATCCTCAAAGCTATCCAAATATCCTCTTGCAGATTTTACAAAAAGTGTGTTTCAGAACTGCTCTATCAAAACAAAGGTTCAACACTGTCAGTTGAGGGCACACATCACAAATAAGTTTCTGAGAATGCTTCTGTCTAGTTTTCATGGGAAGATATTTCCTTTTTCACCATAGGCCTGAAAGCGATCCAAATGTCCACATCCAGATACTACAAAAAGAGTGTTTCAAACCTGCTCTATGAAAGGGAATGTTCAACTCTGTGACTTGAATGCAAACATCACAAAGAAGTTTCTGAGAATGCTGCTGTCTGCTTTTTGTATGTAATCCCGTTTCCAACGAAATCCTCCCAGCTAGCCAAATATCCACTTGCAGATTCCGCAAAAAGAGTGTTTCAAAACTGCTCCTTCAAAACGATGGTTTAGTTCTGTTAGTTGAGTACATACATCACAGATAAGTTTCTGAGAATGCTTCTGTCTAGTTTTTATGGGAGGATATTTCCTTTTTCAACACAAGCCTGAATGCGCTCCGAATGGACACTTCCAGATATGACAAAAGGCGTGTTTCAAACCTGCTCTCTCAAAGGGAATGTTCAACTCTGTGACTTCAATGCAAACATCACAAAGAAGTTTCTGAGAATGCTGCTGTCTGCTTTTTACATGTATTCCCGTTTCCAACGAAATCCTCAAAGCTGCCCTAATATCCACTTGCATATTCCACAAAAAGAGTGTTGCAAAACTGCTCTCTCAAAAGAAAGGTTCAACTCTGTTAGCTGAGTAGATCCATCACAGAAAAGTTTCTGACGTTGCTTCTATCTAGATTTTCTTGGAAGATATTTCCATTTTCACCGTCGTCCTGAAAGCGCTCCAAATGTCCACTTCCAGGGAATGCAGAAAGAGTGTTTCCAACCTGCTCTATAAAAGGGAATGTTCAACACTGGGACTTCAATCGAAACATCCCAACGAAGTTTCTGAGAATGCTTCTGTCTAGAGTGTATATGAAGCCATTCCCGTTTGCAACGAAATCCTCAAAGCTATCCAAATATCCTCTTGCAGATTTTACAAAAAGAGTGTTTCAAAACTGCTCTATCAAAAGAAAGGTTCAACTCTGTTAGTTGAGGGCACACATCACAAATAAATTTCTGAGAATGCTTCTGTCTAGTTTTTACGGGAAGATATTTCCTTTTTCACCATACGCCTGAAAGCGCTCCAAATGTCCTCATCCAGATACTACAAAAAGAGTGTTTCCAACCTGCTCTATGAAAGGGAATGCTCAACTCTGTGACTTGAATGCAGACATCACAAAGAAGTTTCTGAGAATGCTGCTGTCTCCTTTTTATATGTAATCCCGTTTCCAACGAAATCCTCAAAGCTAGCCAAATATCCACTTGCAGATTCCACGAAAACAGTGTTTCAAAACTGCTCCTTCAAAACGATGGTTCAATTCTGTTAGTTGAGCAAACACATCACAAGTAAGTTTCTGAGAATGCTTCCGTCTAGTTTTTATGGGAAGATATTTCCTTTTTCAACATAGGCCTGAAAGCGCTCCAAATGTCCACTTCCAGATACTACAAAAAGAGTGTTTCAAATCTGCTCTATGAATGGGAATGTTCTACTCTGTGACTTGAATGCAACATCCCAAAGAAGTTTCTGAGAATGCTTCTGTCTAGAGTTTATCTGAAGACATACCCGTTTCCAACGAAATCCTCAAAGCTATCCAAATATCCTCTTACAGATTCTACAAAAAGAGTGTTTCAAAGCTGCTCTTTGCAAAGAAAGGTTCAACTCTGTCAGTAGAGGGCACACATCACAAACAAGTTTCTGAGAATGCTTCTGTCTAGTTTTTATGGGAAGATATTTCCTTTTTCACCTTAGGCCTGAAAGCACGCCAAATGTTCACTTATAGACACTACAAAAAGAGTGTTTCAAACCTGCTCTGTGAAAGGGAGTGTTCAATTCTGTGACTTGAATGCAAACATCACAAAGTAGTTTCTGACAATGCTGCTGTCTGCTTTTTATACGTATTCCCGTTTCCAACGAAATCCTCCAAGCTGGCCTAATACCCACTTGCATATTCCACACAAAGAGTGTTTCAAAACTGCTCTCTCAAAAGAAAGGTTCAACTCTGTTAGCTGAGTAGATACATCATGAAAAAAGTTCTGACATTGCTTCTATCTAGTTTTTATTGGAAGATATCTCCTTTTTCACCGTAGACCTGAAAGCGCTCCAAATGTCCACTTCCAGATACTACAAAAAGAGTGTTTCAAACCTGCTCTATGAATGGGAATGTTCAACACTGGGACTTCAATTGAAACATCCCAAAGCAGTTTCTGAGAATGCTTCTGTCTAGAGTTTACATGAAGACATTCCCGTTTCCAACGAAATCCTCAAAGCTATCCAAATATCCTCTTGCAGATTTTACAAAAAGTGTGTTTCAGAACTGCTCTATCAAAACAAAGGTTCAACACTGTCAGTTGAGGGCACACATCACAAATAAGTTTCTGAGAATGCTTCTGTCTAGTTTTCATGGGAAGATATTTCCTTTTTCACCATAGGCCTGAAAGCGATCCAAATGTCCACATCCAGATACTACAAAAAGAGTGTTTCAAACCTGCTCTATGAAAGGGAATGTTCAACTCTGTGACTTGAATGCAAACATCACAAAGAAGTTTCTGAGAATGCTGCTGTCTGCTTTTTGTA
This sequence comes from Homo sapiens, assembly GCF_000001405.40. Taxonomy (NCBI): domain Eukaryota; kingdom Metazoa; phylum Chordata; class Mammalia; order Primates; family Hominidae; genus Homo; species Homo sapiens. The sequence goes on along the minus strand of NC_000020.11, from coordinate 27,076,931 downwards.
TGTAATCCCGTTTCCAACGAAATCCTCCCAGCTAGCCAAATATCCACTTGCAGATTCCGCAAAAAGAGTGTTTCAAAACTGCTCCTTCAAAACGATGGTTTAGTTGCTGTTAGTTGAGTACATACATCACAGATAAGTTTCTGAGAATGCTTCTGTATACTTTTTATGGGAGGATATTTCCTTTTTCAACACAAGCCTGAATGCGCTCCGAATGGACACTTCCAGATATGACAAAAGGCGTGTTTCAATCCTGCTCTCTCAAAGGGAATGTTCAACTCTGTGACTTCAATGCAAACATCACAAAGTAAGTTTCTGAGAATGCTGCTGTCTGCTTTTTACATGTATTCCCGTTTCCAACGAAATCCTCAAAGCTGCCCTAATATCCACTTGCATATTCCACAAAAAGAGTGTTGCAAAACTGCTCTCTCAAAAGAAAGGTTCAACTGTGTTAGCTGAGTAGATCCATCACATAAAAGTTTCTGACATTGCTTCTATCTAGATTTTCTTGGAAGATATTTCCATTTTCACCGTCGTCCTGAAAGCGCTCCAAATGTCCACTTCCAGGGAATGCAGAAAGAGTGTTTCCAACCTGCTCTATAAAAGGGAATGTTCAACACTGGGACTTCAATCGAAACATCCCAACGAAGTTTCTGAGAATGCTTCTGTCTAGAGTTTATATGAAGCCATTCCCGTTTGCAACGAAATCCTCAAAGCTATCCAAATATCCTCTTGCAGATTTTACAAAAAGAGTGTTTCAAAACTGCTCTATCAAAAGAAAGGTTCAACTCTGTTAGTTGAGGGCACACATCACAAATAAACTTCTGAGAATGCTTCTGTCTAGTTTTTACGGGAAGATATTTCCTTTTTCACCATACGCCTGAAAGCGCTCCAAATGTCCTCATCCAGATACTACAAAAAGAGTGTTTCCAACCTGCTCTATGAAAGGGAATGCTCAACTGCTGTGAATTGAATGCAGACATCACAAAGAAGTTTACTGAGAATGCTGGCTGTCTCCTTTGTATATGTAATCCCGTTTCCAACGAAATCCTCAAAGCTAGCCAAATATCCACTTGCAGATTCCACGAAAACAGTGTTTCAAAACTGCTCCTTCAAAACGATGGTTCAATCCTGTTAGTTGAGCAAACACATCACAAATAAGTTTCTGAGAATGCTTCCCGTCTAGTTTTTATGGGAAGATATTTCCTTTTTCAACATAGGCCTGAAAGCGCTCCAAATGTCCACTTCCAGATACTACAAAAAGAGTGTTTCAAATCTGCTCTATGCATGGGAATGTTCTACTCTGTGACTTGAATGCAACATCCCAAAGAAGTTTCTGAGAATGTTTCTGTCTAGAGTTTATCTGAAGACATACCCGTTTCCAACGAAATCCTCCAAGCTATCCAAATATCCTCTTGCAGATTCTACAAACAGAGTGTTTCAAAGCTGCTCTTTGCAAAGAAAGGTTCAACTCTGTCAGTAGAGGGCACACATCACGAACAAGTTTCTGAGAATGCTTCTGTCTAGTTTTTATGGGAAGATATTTCCTTTTTCACGTTAGGCCTGAAAGCACGCCAAATGTTCACTTATAGACACTACAAAAAGAGTGTTTCAAACCTGCTCTGTGAAAGGGAATGTTCAACACTGTGACTTCAATTGAAACATCCCAAAGAAGTTTCTGAGAATGCTTCTGTCTAGAGTTTATCTGAAGACATTCCCGTTTCCCAAGAAATCCTCAAAGCTATCCAAATATCCTCTTGCAGATTCTACAAAAAGAGTGTTTCAAAACTGCTCTTTGCAAAGAAAGGTTCAACTCTGTCAGTAGAGGGCACACATCACAAACAAGTTTCTGAGAATGCTTCTGTCTAGTTTTTATGGGAAGATATTTCCTTTTTCACCTTAGGCCTGAAAGCAATCCAAATGTTCACTTACAGACACTACAAAAAGAGTGTTTCAAACCTGCTCTGTGAAAGGGAGTGTTCAATTCTGTGACTTGAATGCAAACATCACAAAGTAGTTTCTGACAATGCTGCTGTCTGCTTTTTATACGTATTCCCGTTTCCAACGAAATCCTCCAAGCTGGCCTAATACCCACTTGCATATTCCACAAAAAGAGTGTTTCAAAACTGCTCTCTCAAAAGAAAGGTTCAACTCTGTTTGCTGAGTAGATACATCATGAAAAAAGTTCTGACATTGCTTCTATCTAGTTTTTATTGGAAGATATCTCCTTTTTCACCGTAGACCTGAAAGCGCTCCAAATGTCCACTTCCAGATAGTACAAAAAGAGTGTTTCAAACCTGCTCTATGAATGGGAATGTTCAACACTGGGACTTCAATTGAAACATCCCAAAGCAGTTTCTGAGAATGCTTCTGTCTAGAGTTTACATGAAGACATTCCCGTTTCCAACGAAATCCTCAAAGCTATCCAAATATCCTCTTGCAGATTTTACAAAAAGTGTGTTTCAGAACTGCTCTATCAAAACAAAGGTTCAACACTGTCAGTTGAGGGCACACATCACAAATAAGTTTCTGAGAATGCTTCTGTCTAGTTTTCATGGGAAGATATTTCCTTTTTCACCATAGGCCTGAAAGCGATCCAAATGTCCACATCCAGATACTACAAAAAGAGTGTTTCAAACCTGCTCTATGAAAGGGAATGTTCAACTCTGTGACTTGAATGCAAACATCACAAAGAAGTTTCTCAGAATGCTGCTGTCTGCTTGTTGTATGTAATCCCGTTTCCAACGAAATCCTCCCAGCTAGCCAAATATCCACTTGCAGATTCCGCAAAAAGAGTGTTTCAAAACTGCTCCTTCAAAACGATGGTTTAGTTCTGTTAGTTGAGTACATACATCACAAATAAGTTTCTGAGAATGCTTCTGTCTAGTTTTTATGGGAGGATATTTCCTTTTTCAACACAAGCCTGAATGCGCTCCGAATGGACACTTCCAGATATGACAAAAGGCGTGTTTCAAACCTGCTCTCTCAAAGGGAATGTTCAACTCTGTGACTTCAATGCAAACATCACAAAGAAGTTTCTGAGAATGCTGGCTGTCTGCTTTTTACATGTATTCCCGTTTCCAACGAAATCCTCAAAGCTGCCCTAATATCCACTTGCATATTCCACAAAAGGAGTGTTGCAAAACTGCTCTCTCAAAAGAAAGGTTCAACTCTGTTAGCTGAGTAGATCCATCACATAAAAGTTTCTGACATTGCTTCTATCTAGATTTTCTTGGAAGATATTTCCATTTTCACCGTCGTCCTGAAAGCGCTCCAAATGTCCACTTCCAGGGAATGCAGAAAGAGTGTTTCCAACCTGCTCTATAAAAGGGAATGTTCAACACTGGGACTTCAATCGAAACATCCCAACGAAGTTTCTGAGAATGCTTCTGTCTAGAGTTTATATGAAGCCATTCCCGTTTGCAACGAAATCCTCAAAGCTATCCAAATATCCTCTTGCAGATTTTACAAAAAGAGTGTTTCAAAACTGCTCTATCAAAAGAAAGGTTCAACTCTGTTAGTTGAGGGCACACATCACAAATAAACTTCTGAGAATGCTTCTGTCTAGTTTTTACGGGAAGATATTTCCCTTTTCACCATACGCCTGAAAGCGCTCCAAATGTCCTCATCCAGATACTACAAAAAGAGTGTTTCCAACCTGCTCTATGAAAAGGAATGCTCAACTCTGTGAATTGAATGCAGACATCACAAAGAAGTTTCTGAGAATGCTGCTGTCTCCTTTTTATATGTAATCCCGTTTCCAACGAAATCCTCAAAGCTAGCCAAATATCCACTTGCAGATTCCACGAAAACAGTGTTTCAAAACTGCTCCTTCAAAACGACGGTTCAATCCTGTTAGTTGAGCAAACACATCACAATTAAGTTTCTGAGAATGCTTCCGTCTAGTTTTTATGGGAAGATATTTCCTTTTTCAACATAGGCCTGAAAGCGCTCCAAATGTCCACTTCCAGATACTACAAAAAGAGTGTTTCAAATCTGCTCTATGAATGGGAATGTTCTACTCTGTGACTTGCATGCAACATCCCAAAGAAGTTTCTGAGAATGCTTCTGTCTAGAGTTTATCTGAAGACATACCCGTTTCCAACGAAATCCTCAAACACTATCCAAATATCCTCTTGCAGATTCTACAAAAAGTGTGTTTCAAAGCTGCTCTTTGCAAAGAAAGGTTCAACTCTGTCAGTAGAGGGCACACATCACGAACAAGTTTCTGAGAATGCTTCTGTCTGGTTTTTATGGGAAGATATTTCCTTTTTCACGTTACGCCTGAAAGCACGCCAAATGTTCACTTATAGACACTACAAAAAGAGTGTTTCAAACCTGCTCTGTGAAAGGGAATGTTCAACACTGTGACTTCAATTGAAACATCCCAAAGAAGTTTCTGAGAATGCTTCTGTCTAGAGTTTATCTGAAGACATTCCCGTTTCCCAAGAAATCCTCAAAGCTATCCAAATATCCTCTTGCAGATTCTACAAAAAGAGTGTTTCAAAACTGGTCTTTGCAAAGAAAGGTTCAACTCTGTCAGTAGAGGGCACACATCACAAACAAGTTTCTGAGAATGCTTCTGTCTAGTTTTTATGGGAAGATATTTCCTTTTTCACCTTAGGCCTGAAAGCAATCCAAATGTTCACTTACAGACACTACAAAAAGAGTGTTTCAAACCTGCTCTGTGAAAGGGAGTGTTCAATTCTGTGACTTGAATGCAAACATCACAAAGTAGTTTCTGACAATGCTGCTGTCTGCTTTTTATACGTATTCCCGTTTCCAAAGAAATCCTCCAAGCTGGCCTAATACCCACTTGCATATTCCACAAAAAGAGTGTTTCAAAACTGCTCTCTCAAAAGAAAGGTTCAACTCTGTTTGCTGAGTAGATACATCATGAAAAAAGTTCTGACATTGCTTCTATCTAGTTTTTATTGGAAGATATCTCCTTTTTCACCGTAGACCTGAAAGCGCTCCAAATGTCCACTTCCAGATAGTACAAAAAGAGTGTTTCAAACCTGCTCTATGAAAGGGAATGTTCAACACTGGGACTTCAATTGAAACATCCCAAAGCAGTTTCTGAGAATGCTTCTGTGTAGAGTTTACATGAAGACATTCCCGTTTCCAACGAAATCCTCAAAGCTATCCAAATATCCTCTTGCAGATTTTACAAAAAGTGTGTTTCAGAACTGCTCTATCAAAACAAAGGTTCAACACTGTCAGTTGAGGGCACACATCACAAATAAGTTTCTGAGAATGCTTCTGTCTAGTTTTCATGGGAAGATATTTCCTTTTTCACCATAGGCCTGAAAGCGATCCAAATGTCCACATCCAGATACTACAAAAAGAGTGTTTCCAACCTGCTCTATGAAAGGGAATGTTCAACTCTGTGACTTGAATGCAAACATCACAAAGAAGTTTCTGAGAATGCTGCTGTCTGCTTTTTGTATGTAATCCCGTTTCCAACGAAATCCTCCCAGCTAGCCAAATATCCACTTGCAGATTCCGCAAAAAGAGTGTTTCAAAACTGCTCCTTCAAAACGATGGTTTAGTTCTGTTAGTTGAGTACATACATCACAGATAAGTTTCTGAGAATGCTTCTGTCTAGTTTTTATGGGAGGATATTTCCTTTTTCAACACAAGCCTGAATGCGCTTCGAATGGACACTTCCAGATATGACAAAAGGCGTGTTTCAAACCTGCTCTCTCAAAGGGAATGTTCAACTCTGTGACTTCAATGCAAACATCACAAACAAGTTTCTGAGAATGCTGCTGTCTGCTTTTTACATGTATTCCCGTTTCCAACGAAATCCTCAAAGCTGCCCTAATATCCACTTGCATATTTCACAAAAAGAGTGTTGCAAAACTGCTCTCTCAAAAGAAAGGTTCAACTCTGTTAGCTGAGTAGATCCATCACAGAAAAGTTTCTGACGTTGCTTCTATCTAGATTTTCTTGGAAGATATTTCCATTTTCACCGTCGTCCTGAAAGCGCTCCAAATGTCCACTTCCAGGGAATGCAGAAAGAGTGTTTCCAACCTGCTCTATAAAAGGGAATGTTCAACACTGGGACTTCAATCGAAACATCCCAACGAAGTTTCTGAGAATGCTTCTGTCTAGAGTTTATATGAAGCCATTCCCGTTTGCAACGAAATCCTCAAAGCTATCCAAATATCCTCTTGCAGATTTTACAAAAAGAGTGTTTCAAAACTGCTGTATCAAAAGAAAGGTTCAACTCTGTTAGTTGAGGGCACACATCACAAATAAACTTCTGAGAATGCTTCTGTCTAGTTTTTACGGGAAGATATTTCCTTTTTCACCATACGCCTGAAAGCGCTCCAAATGTCCTCATCCAGATACTACAAAAAGAGTGTTTCCAACCTGCTCTATGAAAGGGAATGCTCAACTCTGTGACTTGAATGCAGACATCACAAAGAAGTTTCTGAGAATGCTGCTGTCTCCTTTTTATATGTAATCCCGTTTCCAAGGAAATCCTCAAAGCTAGCCAAATATCCACTTGCAGATTCCACGAAAACAGTGTTTCAAAACTGCTCCTTCAAAACGATGGTTCAATTCTGTTAGTTGAGCAAACACATCACAAGTAAGTTTCTGAGAATGCTTCCGTCTAGTTTTTATGGGAAGATATTTCCTTTTTCAACATAGGCCTGAAAGCGCTCCAAATGTCCACTTCCAGATACTACAAAAAGAGTGTTTCAAATCTGCTCTATGAATGGGAATGTTCTACTCTGTGACTTGAATGCAACATCCCAAAGAAGTTTCTGAGAATGCTTCTGTCTAGAGTTTATCTGAAGACATACCCGTTTCCAACGAAATCCTCAAAGCTATCCAAATATCCTCTTGCAGATTCTACAAAAAGAGTGTTTCAAAGCTGCTCTTTGCAAAGAAAGGTTCAACTCTGTCAGTAGAGGGCACACATCACGAACAAGTTTCTGAGAATGCTTCTGTCTGGTTTTTATGGGAAGATATTTCCTTTTTCACGTTACGCCTGAAAGCACGCCAAATGTTCACTTATAGACACTACAAAAAGAGTGTTTCAAACCTGCTCTGTGAAAGGGAATGTTCAACACTGTGACTTCAATTGAAACATCCCAAAGAAGTTTCTGAGAATGCTTCTGTCTAGAGTTTATCTGAAGACATTCCCGTTTCCCAAGAAATCCTCAAAGCTATCCAAATATCCTCTTGCAGATTCTACAAAAAGAGTGTTTCAAAACTGCTCTTTGCAAAGAAAGGTTCAACTCTGTCAGTAGAGGGCACACATCACAAACAAGTTTCTGAGAATGCTTCTGTCTAGTTTTTATGGGAAGATATTTCCTTTTTCACCTTAGGCCTGAAATCAATCCAAATGTTCACTTACAGACACTACAAAAAGAGTGTTTCAAACCTGCTCTGTGAAAGGGAGTGTTCAATTCTGTGACTTGAATGCAAACATCACAAAGTAGTTTGCTGACAATGCTGCTGTCTGCTTTTTATACGTATTCCCGTTTCCAACGAAATCCTCCAAGCTGGCCTAATACCCACTTGCATATTCCACAAAAAGAGTGTTTCAAAACTGCTCTCTCAAAAGAAAGGTTCAACTCTGTTTGCTGAGTAGATACATCATGAAAAAAGTTCTGACATTGCTTCTATCTAGTTTTTATTGGAAGATATCTCCTTTTTCACCGTAGACCTGAAAGCGCTCCAAATGTCCACTTCCAGATAGTACAAAAAGAGTGTTTCAAACCTGCTCTATGAATGGGAATGTTCAACACTGGGACTTCAATTGAAACATCCCAAAGCAGTTTCTGAGAATGCTTCTGTGTAGAGTTTACATGAAGACATTCCCGTTTCCAACGAAATCCTCAAAGCTATCCAAATATCCTCTTGCAGATTTTACAAAAAGTGTGTTTCAGAACTGCTCTATCAAAACAAAGGTTCAACACTGTCAGTTGAGGGCACACATCACAAATAAGTTTCTGAGAATGCTTCTGTCTAGTTTTCATGGGAAGATATTTCCTTTTTCACCATAGGCCTGAAAGCGATCCAAATGTCCACATCCAGATACTACAAAAAGAGTGTTTCAAACCTGCTCTATGAAAGGGAATGTTCAACTCTGTGACTTGAATGCAAACATCACAAAGAAGTTTCTGAGAATGCTGCTGTCTGCTTTTTGTATGTAATCCCGTTTCCAACGAAATCCTCCCAGCTAGCCAAATATCCACTTGCAGATTCCGCAAAAAGAGTGTTTCAAAACTGCTCCTTCAAAACGATGGTTTAGTTCTGTTAGTTGAGTACATACATCACAGATAAGTTTCTGAGAATGCTTCTGTCTAGTTTTTATGGGAGGATATTTCCTTTTTCAACACAAGCCTGAATGCGCTCCGAATGGACACTTCCAGATATGACAAAAGGCGTGTTTCAAACCTGCTCTCTCAAAGGGAATGTTCAACTCTGTGACTTCAATGCAAACATCACAAAGAAGTTTCTGAGAATGCTGCTGTCTGCTTTTTACATGTATTCCCGTTTCCAACGAAATCCTCAAAGCTGCCCTAATATCCACTTGCATATTCCACAAAAAGAGTGTTGCAAAACTGCTCTCTCAAAAGAAAGGTTCAACTCTGTTAGCTGAGTAGATCCATCACAGAAAAGTTTCTGACGTTGCTTCTATCTAGATTTTCTTGGAAGATATTTCCATTTTCACCGTCGTCCTGAAAGCGCTCCAAATGTCCACTTCCAGGGAATGCAGAAAGAGTGTTTCCAACCTGCTCTATAAAAGGGAATGTTCAACACTGGGACTTCAATCGAAACATCCCAACGAAGTTTCTGAGAATGCTTCTGTCTAGAGTTTATATGAAGCCATTCCCGTTTGCAACGAAATCCTCAAAGCTATCCAAATATCCTCTTGCAGATTTTACAAAAAGAGTGTTTCAAAACTGCTCTATCAAAAGAAAGGTTCAACTCTGTTAGTTGAGGGCACACATCACAAATAAATTTCTGAGAATGCTTCTGTCTAGTTTTTACGGGAAGATATTTCCTTTTTCACCATACGCCTGAAAGCGCTCCAAATGTCCTCATCCAGATACTACAAAAAGAGTGTTTCCAACCTGCTCTATGAAAGGGAATGCTCAACTCTGTGACTTGAATGCAGACATCACAAAGAAGTTTCTGAGAATGCTGCTGTCTCCTTTTTATATGTAATCCCGTTTCCAACGAAATCCTCAAAGCTAGCCAAATATCCACTTGCAGATTCCACGAAAACAGTGTTTCAAAACTGCTCCTTCAAAACGATGGTTCAATTCTGTTAGTTGAGCAAACACATCACAAGTAAGTTTCTGAGAATGCTTCCGTCTAGTTTTTATGGGAAGATATTTCCTTTTTCATCATAGGCCTGAAAGCGCTCCAAATGTCCACTTTCAGATACTACAAAAAGAGTGTTTCAAATCTGCTCTATGAATGGGAATGTTCTACTCTGTGACTTGAATGCAACATCTCAAAGAAGTTTCTGAGAATGCTTCTGTCTAGAGTTTATCTGAAGACATAACAGTTTCCAACGAAATCCTCAAAGCTATCCAAATAGCCTCTTGCAGATTCTACAAAAAGAGTGTGTCAAAGCTGCTCTTTGCAAGGAAAGGTTCAACTCTGTCAGTAGAGGGCACACATCACAAACAAGTTTCTGAGAATGCTTCTGTCTAGTTCTTATGGGAAGATATTTCCTTTTTCACGTTAGGCCTGAAAGCACGCCAAATGTTCACTTATACACACTACAAAAAGAGTGTTTCAAACCTGCTCTGTGAAAGGGAATGTTCAACACTGTGACTTCAATTGAAACATCCCAAAGAAGTTTCTGAGAATGCTTCTGTCTAGAGTTTATCTGAAGACATTCCCGTTTCCCAAGAAATCCTCAAAGCTATCCAAATATCCTCTTGCAGATTCTACAAAAAGAGTGTTTCAAAACTGCTCTTTGCAAAGAAAGGTTCAACTCTGTCAGTAGAGGGCACACATCACAAACAAGTTTCTGAGAATGCTTCTGTCTAGTTTTTATGGGAAGATATTTCCTTTTTCACCTTAGGCCTGAAAGCAATCCATATGTTCACTTACAGACACTACAAAAAGAGTGTTTCAAACCTGCTCTGTGAAAGGGAGTGTTCAATTCTGTGACTTGAATGCAAACATCACAAAGTAGTTTCTGACAATGCTGCTGTCTGCTTTTTATACGTATTCCCGTTTCCAACGAAATCCTCCAAGCTGGCCTAATACCCACTTGCATATTCCACAAAAAGAGTGTTTCAAAACTGCTCTCTCAAAAGAAAGGTTCAACTCTGTTAGCTGAGTAGATATATCATGAAAAAAGTTCTGACATTGCTTCTATCTAGTTTTTACTGGAAGATATCTCCTTTTTCACCGTAGACCTGAAAGCGCTCAAAATGTCCACTTCCAGATAGTACAAAAAGAGTGTTTCAAACCTGCTCTATGAATGGGAAGGTTCAACACTGGGACTTCAATTGAAACATCCCAAAGCAGTTTCTGAGAATGCTTCTGTGTAGAGTTTACATGAAGACATTCCCGTTTCCAACGAAATCCTCAAAGCTATCCAAATATCCTCTTGCAGATTTTACAAAAAGTGTGTTTCAGAACTGCTCTATCAAAACAAAGGTTCAACACTGTCAGTTGAGGGCACACATCACAAATAAGTTTCTGAGAATGCTTCTGTCTAGTTTTCATGGGAAGATATTTCCTTTTTCACCATAGGCCTGAAAGCGATCCAAATGTCCACATCCAGATACTACAAAAAGAGTGTTTCAAACCTGCTCTATGAAAGGGAATGTTCAACTCTGTGACTTGAATGCAAACATCACAAAGAAGTTTCTGAGAATGCTGCTGTCTGCTTTTTGTATGTAATCCCGTTTCCAACGAAATCCTCCCAGCTAGCCAAATATCCACTTGCAGATTCCGCAAAAAGAGTGTTTCAAAACTGCTCCTTCAAAACGATGGTTTAGTTCTGTTAGTTGAGTACATACATCACAGATAAGTTTCTGAGAATGCTTCTGTCTAGTTTTTCTGGGAGGATATTTCCTTTTTCAACACAAGCCTGAATGCGCTCCGAATGGACACTTCCAGATATGACAAAAGGCGTGTTTCAAACCTGCTCTCTCAAAGGGAATGTTCAACTGCTGTGACTTCAATGCAAACATCACAAAGAAGTTTCTGAGAATGCTGCTGTCTGCTTTTTATATGTATTGCCGTTTCCAACAAAATCCTCAAAGCTGCCCTAATATCCACTTGCATATTCCACGAAAAGAGTGTTGCAAAACTGCTTTCTCAAAAGAAAGTTTCAACTCTGTTAGCTGAGTAGATACATGACATGAAAGTTTCTGACATTGCTTCTATCTAGATTTTATTGGAAGATATTTCCATTTTCACCGTCGTCCTGAAAGCGCTCCAAATGTCCACTTCCAGATACTACAAAAAGAGTGTTTCAAACCTGCTCTATAAAAAGGAATGTTCAACACTGTGACTTCAATCGAAACATCCCAACGAAGTTTCTGAGAATGCTTGTGTCTAGAGTTTATCTGAAGACATACCCGTTTCCAACGAAATCCTCAAAGCTATCCAAATATCCTCTTGCAGATTCTACAAAAAGAGTGTTTCAAAGCTGCTCTTTGCAAAGAAAGGTTCAACTCTGTCAGTAGAGGGCACACATCACAAACAAGTTTCTGAGAATGCTTCTGTCTAGCTTTTATGGGAAGATATTTCCTTTTTCACGTTAGGCCTGAAAGCACGCCAAATGTTCACTTATAGACACTACAAAAAGAGTGTTTCAAACATGCTCTGTGAAAGGGAATGTTCAACACTGTGACTTCAATTGAAACATCCCAAAGAAGTTTCTGAGAATGCTTCTGTCTAGAGTTTATCTGAAGACATACCCGTTTCCAACGAAATCCTCAAAGCTATCCACATATCCTCTTGCAGATTCTACAAAAAGAGTGTTTCAAAGCTGCTCTTTGCAAAGAAAGGTTCAACTCTGTCAGTAGAGGGCACACATCACGAACAAGTTTCTGAGAATGCTTCTGTCTAGTTTTTATGGGAAGATATTTCCTTTTTCACGTTAGGCCTGAAAGCACGCCAAATGTTCAATTATAGACACTACAAAAAGAGTGTTTCAAACCTGCTCTGTGAAAGGGAATGTTCAACACTGTGACTTCTATTGAAACATCCCAAAGAAGTTTCTGAGAATGCTTCTGTCTAGAGTTTATCTGAAGACATTCCCGTTTCCCAAGAAATCCTCAAAGCTATCCAAATATCCTCTTGCAGATTCTACAAAAAGAGTGTTTCAAAACTGCTCTTTGCAAAGAAAGGTTCAACTCTGTCAGTAGAGGGCACACATCACAAACAAGTTTCTGAGAATGCTTCTGTCTAGTTTTTATGGGAAGATATTTCCTTTTTCACCTTAGGCCTGAAAGCAATCCAAATGTTCACTTACAGACACTACAAAAAGAGTGTTTCAAACCTGCTCTGTGAAAGGGAGTGTTCAGTTCTGTGACTTGAATGCAAACATCACAAAGTAGTTTCTGACAATGCTGCTGTCTGCTTTTTATACGTATTCCCGTTTCCAACGAAATCCTCCAAGCTGGCCTAATACCCACTTTCATATTCCACAAAAAGAGTGTTTCAAAACTGCTCTCTCAAAAGAAAGGTTCAACTCTGTTTGCTGAGTAGATACATCATGAAAAAAGTTCTGACATTGCTTCTATCTAGTTTTTATTGGAAGATATCTCCTTTTTCACCGTAGACCTGAAAGCGCTCCAAATGTCCACTTCCAGATAGTACAAAAAGAGTGCTTCAAACCTGCTCTATGAATGGGAATGTTCAACACTGGGACTTCAATTGAAACATCCCAAAGCAGTTTCTGAGAATGCTTCTGTGTAGAGTTTACATGAAGACATTCCCGTTTCCAACGAAATCCTCAAAGCTATCCAAATATCCTCTTGCAGATTTTACAAAAAGTGTGTTTCAGAACTGCTCTATCAAAACAAAGGTTCAACACTGTCAGTTGAGGGCACACATCACAAATAAGTTTCTGAGAATGCTTCTGTCTAGTTTTCATGGGAAGATATTTCCTTTTTCACCATAGGCCTGAAAGCGATCCAAATGTCCACATCCAGATACTACAAAAAGAGTGTTTCAAACCTGCTCTATGAAAGGGAATGTTCAACTCTGTGACTTGAATGCAAACATCACAAAGAAGTTTCTGAGAATGCTGCTGTCTGCTTTTTGTATGTAATCCCGTTTCCAACGAAATCCTCCCAGCTAGCCAAATATCCACTTGCAGATTCCGCAAAAAGAGTGTTTCAAAACTGCTCCTTCAAAAGGATGGTTTAGTTCTGTTAGTTGAGTACATACATCACAGATAAGTTTCTGAGAATGCTTCTGTCTAGTTTTTATGGGAGGATATTTCCTTTTTCAACACAAGCCTGAATGCGCTCCGAATGGACACTTCCAGATATGACAAAAGGCGTGTTTCAAACCTGCTCTCTCAAAGGGAATGTTCAACTGCTGTGACTTCAATGCAAACATCACAAAGAAGTTTCTGAGAATGCTGCTGTCTGCTTTTTACATGTATTCCCGTTTCCAACGAAATCCTCAAAGCTGCCCTAATATCCACTTGCATATTCCACAAAAAGAGTGTTGCAAAACTGCTCTCTCAAAAGAAAGGTTCAACTCTGTTAGCTGAGTAGATCCATCACATAAAAGTTTCTGACATTGCTTCTATCTAGATTTTCTTGGAAGATATTTCCATTTTCACCGTCGTCCTGAAAGCGCTCCAAATGTCCACTTCCAGGGAATGCAGAAAGAGTGTTTCCAACCTGCTCTATAAAAGGGAATGTTCAACACTGGGACTTCAATCGAAACATCCCAACGAAGTTTCTGAGAATGCTTCTGTCTAGAGTTTATATGAAGCCATTCCCGTTTGCAACGAAATCCTCAAAGCTATCCAAATATCCTCTTGCAGATTTTACAAAAAGAGTGTTTCAAAACTGCTCTATCAAAAGAAAGGTTCAACTCTGTTAGTTGAGGGCACACATCACAAATAAATTTCTGAGAATGCTTCTGTCTAGTTTTTACGGGAAGATATTTCCTTTTTCACCATAGGCCTGAAAGCGCTCCAAATGTCCTCATCCAGATACTACAAAAAGAGTGTTTCCAACCTGCTCTATGAAAGGGAATGCTCAACTCTGTGAATTGAATGCAGACATCACAAAGAAGTTTCTGGGAATGCTGCTGTCTCCTTTGTATATGTAACCCCGTTTCCAACGAAATCCTCAAAGCTAGCCAAATATCCACTTGCAGATTCCACGAAAACAGTGTTTCAAAACTGCTCCTTCAAAACGATGGTTCAATCCTGTTAGTTGAGCAAACACATCACAAATAAGTTTCTGAGAATGCTTCCGTCTAGTTTTTATGGGAAGATATTTCCTTTTTCAACATAGGCCTGAAAGCGCTCCAAATGTCCACTTCCAGATACTACAAAAAGAGTGTTTCAAATCTGCTCTATGAATGGGAATGTTCTACTCTGTGACTTGAATGCAACATCCCAAAGAAGTTTCTGAGAATGCTTCTGTCTAGAGTTTATCTGAAGACATACCCGTTTCCAACGAAATCCTCCAAGCTATCCAAATATCCTCTTGCAGATTCTACAAAAAGAGTGTTTCAAAGATGCTCTTTGCAAAGAAAGGTTCAACTCTGTCAGTAGAGGGCACACATCACGAACAAGTTTCTGAGAATGCTTCTGTCTAGTTTTTATGGGAAGATATTTCCTTTTTCACGTTACGCCTGAAAGCACGCCAAATGTTCACTTATAGACACTACAAAAAGAGTGTTTCAAACCTGCTCTGTGAAAGGGAATGTTCAACACTGACTTCAATTGAAACATCCCAAAGAAGTTTCTGAGAATGCTTCTGTCTAGAGTTTATCTGAAGACATTCCCGTTTCCCAAGAAATCCTCAAAGCTATCCAAATATCCTCTTGCAGATTCTACAAAAAGAGTGTTTCAAAACTGGTCTTTGCAAAGAAAGGTTCAACTCTGTCAGTAGAGGGCACACATCACAAACAAGTTTCTGAGAATGCTTCTGTCTAGTTTTTATGGGAAGATATTTCCTTTTTCACCTTAGGCCTGAAAGCAATCCAAATGTTCACTTACAGACACTACAAAAAGAGTGTTTCAAACCTGCTCTGTGAAAGGGAGTGTTCAATTCTGTGACTTGAATGCAAACATCACAAAGTAGTTTCTGACAATGCTGCTGTCTGCTTTTTATACGTATTCCCGTTTCCAACGAAATCCTCCAAGCTGGCCTAATACCCACTTGCATATTCCACAAAAAGAGTGTTTCAAAACTGCTCTCTCAAAAGAAAGGTTCAACTCTGTTTGCTGAGTAGATACATCATGAAAAAAGTTCTGACATTGCTTCTATCTAGTTTTTATTGGAAGATATCTCCTTTTTCACCGTAGACCTGAAAGCGCTCCAAATGTCCACTTCCAGATAGTACAAAAAGAGTGTTTCAAACCTGCTCTATGAAAGGGAATGTTCAACACTGGGACTTCAATTGAAACATCCCAAAGCAGTTTCTGAGAATGCTT
This sequence comes from Homo sapiens, assembly GCF_000001405.40. Lineage (NCBI taxonomy): Eukaryota > Metazoa > Chordata > Mammalia > Primates > Hominidae > Homo > Homo sapiens. The sequence goes on along the minus strand of NC_000020.11, from coordinate 27,061,303 downwards.
CTGTCTAGAGTTTACATGAAGACATTCCCGTTTCCAACGAAATCCTCAAAGCTATCCAAATATCCTCTTGCAGATTTTACAAAAAGTGTGTTTCAGAACTGCTCTATCAAAACAAAGGTTCAACACTGTCAGTTGAGGGCACACATCACAAATAAGTTTCTGAGAATGCTTCTGTCTAGTTTTCATGGGAAGATATTTCATTTTTCACCATAGGCCTGAAAGCGATCCAAATGTCCACATCCAGATACTACAAAAAGAGTGTTTCAAACCTGCTCTATGAAAGGGAATGTTCAACTCTGTGACTTGAATGCAAACATCACAAAGAAGTTTCTGAGAATGCTGCTGTCTGCTTTTTGTATGTAATCCCGTTTCCAACGAAATCCTCCCAGCTAGCCAAATATCCACTTGCAGATTCCGCAAAAAGAGTGTTTCAAAACTGCTCCTTCAAAACGATGGTTTAGTTCTGTTAGTTGAGTACATACATCACAGATAAGTTTCTGAGAATGCTTCTGTCTAGTTTTTATGGGAGGATATTTCCTTTTTCAACACAAGCCTGAATGCGCTCCGAATGGACACTTCCAGATATGACAAAAGGCGTGTTTCAAACCTGCTCTCTCAAAGGGAATGTTCAACTCTGTGACTTCAATGCAAACATCACAAAGAAGTTTCTGAGAATGCTGCTGTCTGCTTTTTACATGTATTCCCGTTTCCAACGAAATCCTCAAAGCTGCCCTAATATCCACTTGCATATTCCACAAAAAGAGTGTTGCAAAACTGCTCTCTCAAAAGAAAGGTTCAACTCTGTTAGCTGAGTAGATCCATCACAGAAAAGTTTCTGACGTTGCTTCTATCTAGATTTTCTTGGAAGATATTTCCATTTTCACCGTCGTCCTGAAAGCGCTCCAAATGTCCACTTCCAGGGAATGCAGAAAGAGTGTTTCCAACCTGCTCTATAAAAGGGAATGTTCAACACTGGGACTTCAATCGAAACATCCCAACGAAGTTTCTGAGAATGCTTCTGTCTAGAGTTTATATGAAGCCATTCCCGTTTGCAACGAAATCCTCAAAGCTATCCAAATATCCTCTTGCAGATTTTACAAAAAGAGTGTTTCAAAACTGCTCTATCAAAAGAAAGGTTCAACTCTGTTAGTTGAGGGCACACATCACAAATAAATTTCTGAGAATGCTTCTGTCTAGTTTTTATGCGAAGATATTCCCTTTGTCACCATAGGCCTCAAAGCGATCCAAATGTCCACTTCCAGATTCCACAAAAAGAGTGTTTCAAACCTGCTCTGTGAAAGGGAATGTTCAACTCTGTGACTTGAATGCAAACATCCCAAAGATGTTTCTGAGAATGCTGCTGTCTCCTTTTTATATGTAATCCCGTTTCCAACGAAATCCTCAAAGCTAGCCAAATATCCACTTGCAGATTCCACGAAAACAGTGTTTCAAAACTGCTCCTTCAAAACGATGGTTCAATTCTGTTAGTTGAGCAAACACATCACAAGTAAGTTTCTGAGAATGCTTCCGTCTAGTTTTTATGGGAAGATATTTCCTTTTTCAACATAGGCCTGAAAGCGCTCCAAATGTCCACTTCCAGATACTACAAAAAGAGTGTTTCAAATCTGCTCTATGAATGGGAATGTTCTACTCTGTGACTTGAATGCAACATCCCAAAGAAGTTTCTGAGAATGCTTCTGTCTAGAGTTTATCTGAAGACATACCCGTTTCCAACGAAATCCTCAAAGCTATCCAAATATCCTCTTGCAGATTCTACAAAAAGAGTGTTTCAAAGCTGCTCTTTGCAAAGAAAGGTTCAACTCTGTCAGTAGAGGGCACACATCACGAACAAGTTTCTGAGAATGCTTCTGTCTAGTTTTTATGGGAAGATATTTCCTTTTTCACGTTAGGCCTGAAAGCACGCCAAATGTTCACTTATAGACACTACAAAAAGAGTGTTTCAAACCTGCTCTGTGAAAGGGAATGTTCAACACTGTGACTTCAATTGAAACATCCCAAAGAAGTTTCTGAGAATGCTTCTGTCTAGAGTTTATCTGAAGACATTCCCGTTTCCCAAGAAATCCTCAAAGCTATCCAAATATCCTCTTGCAGATTCTACAAAAAGAGTGTTTCAAAACTGCTCTTTGCAAAGAAAGGTTCAACTCTGTCAGTAGAGGGCACACATCACAAACAAGTTTCTGAGAATGCTTCTGTCTAGTTTTTATGGGAAGATATTTCCTTTTTCACCTTAGGCCTGAAAGCAATCCAAATGTACACTTACAGACACTACAAAAAGAGTGTTTCAAACCTGCTCTGTGAAAGGGAGTGTTCAATTCTGTGACTTGAATGCAAACATCACAAAGTAGTTTCTGACAATGCTGCTGTCTGCTTTTTATACGTATTCCCGTTTCCAACGAAATCCTCCAAGCTGGCCTAATACCCACTTGCATATTCCACAAAAATAGTGTTTCAAAACTGCTCCCTCAAAAGAAAGGTTCAACTCTGTTTGCTGAGTAGATACATCATGAAAAAAGTTCTGACATTGCTTCTATCTAGTTTTTATTGGAAGATATCTCCTTTTTCACCGTAGACCTGAAAGCGCTCCAAATGTCCACTTCCAGATAGTACAAAAAGAGTGTTTCAAACCTGCTCTATGAATGGGAATGTTCAACACTGGGACTTCAATTGAAACATCCCAAAGCAGTTTCTGAGAATGCTTCTGTCCAGAGTTTACATGAAGACATTCCCGTTTGCAACGAAATCCTCAAAGCTATCCAAATATCCTCTTGCAGATTTTACAAAAAGTGTGTTTCAGAACTGCTCTATCAAAACAAAGGTTCAACACTGTCAGTTGAGGGCACACATCACAAATAAGTTTCTGAGAATGCTTCTGTCTAGTTTTCATGGGAAGATATTTCCTTTTTCACCATAGGCCTGAAAGCGATCCAAATGTCCACATCCAGATACTACAAAAAGAGTGTTTCAAACCTGCTCTATGAAAGGGAATGTTCAACTCTGTGACTTGAATGCAAACATCACAAAGAAGTTTCTGAGAATGCTGCTGTCTGCTTTTTGTATGTAATCCCGTTTCCAACGAAATCCTCCCAGCTAGCCAAATATCCACTTGCAGATTCCGCAAAAAGAGTGTTTCAAAACTGCTCCTTCAAAACGATGGTTTAGTTCGGTTAGTTGAGTACATACATCACAGATAAGTTTCTGAGAATGCTTCTGTCTAGTTTTTATGGGAGGATATTTTCTTTTTCAACACAAGCCTGAATGCGCTCCGAATGGACACTTCCAGATATGACAAAAGGCGTGTTTCAAACCTGCTCTCTCAAAGGGAATGTTCAACTCTGTGACTTCAATGCAAACATCACAAAGAAGTTTCTGAGAATGCTGCTGTCTGCTTTTTACATGTATTCCCGTTTCCAACGAAATCCTCAAAGCTGCCCTAATATCCACTTGCATATTCCACAAAAAGAGTGTTGCAAAACTGCTCTCTCAAAAGAAAGGTTCAACTCTGTTAGCTGAGTAGATCCATCACAGAAAAGTTTCTGACATTGCTTCTATCCAGATTTTATTGGAAGATATTTCCATTTTCACCGTCGTCCTGAAAGCGCTCCAATTGTCCACTTCCAGGGAATGCAGAAAGAGTGTTTCCAACCTGCTCTATAAAAGGGAATGTTCAACACTGGGACTTCAATCGAAACATCCCAACGAAGTTTCTGAGAATGCTTCTGTCTAGAGTTTATATGAAGCCATTCCCGTTTGCAACGAAATCCTCAAAGCTATCCAAATATCCTCTTGCAGATTTTACAAAAAGAGTGTTTCAAAACTGCTCTATCAAAAGAAAGGTTCAACTCTGTTAGTTGAGGGCACACATCACAAATAAATTTCTGAGAATGCTTCTGTCTAGTTTTTACGGGAAGATATTTCCTTTTTCACCATAGGCCTGAAAGCGCTCCAAATGTCCTCATCCAGATACTACAAAAAGAGTGTTTCCAACCTGCTCTATGAAAGGGAATGCTCAACTCTGTGACTTGAATGCAGACATCACAAAGAAGTTTCTGAGAATGCTGCTGTCTCCTTTGTATATGTAATCCCGTTTCCAACGAAATCCTCAAAGCTAGCCAAATATCCACTTGCAGATTCCACGAAAACAGTGTTTCAAAACTGCTCCTTCAAAACGATGGTTCAATTCTGTTAGTTGAGCAAACACATCACAAGTAAGTTTCTGAGAATGCTTCCGTCTAGTTTTTATGGGAAGATATTTCCTTTTTCAACATAGGCCTGAAAGCGCTCCAAATGTCCACTTCCAGATACTACAAAAAGAGTGTTTCAAATCTGCTCTATGAATGGGAATGTTCTACTCTGTGACTTGAATGCAACATCCCAAAGAAGTTTCTGAGAATGCTTCTGTCTAGAGTTTATCTGAAGACATACCCGTTTCCAACGAAATCCTCCAAGCTATCCAAATATCCTCTTGCAGATTCTACAAAAAGTGTGTTTCAAAGCTGCTCTTTGCAAAGAAAGGTTCAACTCTGTCAGTAGAGGGCACACATCACGAACAAGTTTCTGAGAATGCTTCTGTCTAGTTTTTATGGGAAGATATTTCCTTTTTCACGTTAGGCCTGAAAGCACGCCAAATGTTCACTTATAGACACTACAAAAAGAGTGTTTCAAACCTGCTCTGTGAAAGGGAATGTTCAACACTGTGACTTCAATTGAAACATCCCAAAGAAGTTTCTGAGAATGCTTCTGTCTAGAGTTTATCTGAAGACATTCCCGTTTCCCAAGTAAATCCTCAAAGCTATCCAAATATCCTCTTGCAGATTCTACAAAAAGAGTGTTTCAAAACTGGTCTTTGCAAAGAAAGGTTCAACTCTGTCAGTAGAGGGCACACATCACAAACAAGTTTCTGAGAATGCTTCTGTCTAGTTTTTATGGGAAGATATTTCCTTTTTCACCTTAGGCCTGAAAGCAATCCATATGTTCACTTACAGACACTACAAAAAGAGTGTTTCAAACCTGCTCTGTGAAAGGGAGTGTTCAATTCTGTGACTTGAATGCAAACATCACAAAGTAGTTTCTGACAATGCTGCTGTCTGCTTTTTATACGTATTCCCGTTTCCAACGAAATCCTCCAAGCTGGCCTAATACCCACTTGCATATTCCACAAAAAGAGTGTTTCAAAACTGCTCTCTCAAAAGAAAGGTTCAACTCTGTTAGCTGAGTAGATACATCATGAAAAAAGTTCTGACATTGCTTCTATCTAGTTTTTATTGGAAGATATCTCCTTTTTCACCGTAGACCTGAAAGCGCTCCAAATGTCCACTTCCAGATATTACAAAAAGAGTGTTTCAAACCTGCTCTATGAATGGGAATGTTCAACACTGGGACTTCAATTGAAACATCCCAAAGTAGTTTCTGAGAATGCTTCTGTCTAGAGTTTACATGAAGACATTCCCGTTTCCAACGAAATCCTCAAGCTATCCAAATATCCTCTTGCAGATTTTACAAAAAGTGTGTTTCAGAACTGCTCTATCAAAACAAAGGTTCAACACTGTCAGTTGAGGGCACACATCACAAATAAGTTTCTGAGAATGCTTCTGTCTAGTTTTCATGGGAAGATATTTCCTTTTTCACCATAGGCCTGAAAGCGATCCAAATGTCCACATCCAGATACTACAAAAAGAGTGTTTCAAACCTGCTCTATGAAAGGGAATGTTCAACTCTGTGACTTGAATGCAAACATCACAAAGAAGTTTCTGAGAATGCTGCTCTCTGCTTTTTGTATGTAATCCCGTTTCCAACGAAATCCTCCCAGCTAGCCAAATATCCACTTGCAGATTCCGCAAAAAGAGTGTTTCAAAACTGCTCCTTCAAAACGATGGTTTAGTTCTGTTAGTTGAGTACATACATCACAGATAAGTTTCTGAGAATGCTTCTGTCTAGTTTTTATGGGAGGATATTTCCTTTTTCAACACAAGCCTGAATGCGCTCCGAATGGACACTTCCAGATATGACAAAAGGCGTGTTTCAAACCTGCTCTCTCAAAGGGAATGTTCAACTCTGTGACTTCAATGCAAACATCACAAAGAAGTTTCTGAGAATGCTGCTGTCTGCTTTTTACATGTATTCCCGTTTCCAACGAAATCCTCAAAGCTGCCCTAATATCCACTTGCATATTCCACAAAAAGAGTGTTGCAAAACTGCTCTCTCAAAAGAAAGGTTCAACTCTGTTAGCTGAGTAGATCCATCACATAAAAGTTTCTGACATTGCTTCTATCTAGATTTTCTTGGAAGATATTTCCATTTTCACCGTCGTCCTGAAAGCGCTCCAAATGTCCACTTCCAGGGAATGCAGAAAGAGTGTTTCCAACCTGCTCTATAAAAGGGAATGTTCAACACTGGGACTTCAATCGAAACATCCCAACGAAGTTTCTGAGAATGCTTCTGTCTAGAGTTTATATGAAGCCATTCCCGTTTGCAACGAAATCCTCAAAGCTATCCAAATATCCTCTTGCAGATTTTACAAAAAGAGTGTTTCAAAACTGCTCTATCAAAAGAAAGGTTCAACTCTGTTAGTTGAGGGCACACATCACAAATAAACTTCTGAGAATGCTTCTGTCTAGTTTTTACGGGAAGATATTTCCTTTTTCACCATACGCCTGAAAGCGCTCCAAATGTCCTCATCCAGATACTACAAAAAGAGTGTTTCCAACCTGCTCTATGAAAGGGAATGCTCAACTCTGTGAATTGAATGCAGACATCACAAAGAAGTTTCTGAGAATGCTGCTGTCTCCTTTTTATATGTAATCCCGTTTCCAACGAAATCCTCAAAGCTAGCCAAATATCCACTTGCAGATTCCACGAAAACAGTGTTTCAAAACTGCTCCTTCAAAACGATGGTTCAATCCTGTTAGTTGAGCAAACACATCACAAATAAGTTTCTGAGAATGCTTCCGTCTAGTTTTTATGGGAAGATATTTCCTTTTTCAACATAGGCCTGAAAGCGCTCCAAATGTCCACTTCCAGATACTACAAAAAGAGTGTTTCAAATCTGCTCTATGAATGGGAATGTTCTACTCTGTGACTTGAATGCAACATCCCAAAGAAGTTTCTGAGAATGCTTCTGTCTAGAGTTTATCTGAAGACATACCCGTTTCCAACGAAATCCTCAAAGCTATCCAAATATCCTCTTGCAGATTCTACAAAAAGAGTGTTTCAAAGCTGCTCTTTGCAAAGAAAGGTTCAACTCTGTCAGTAGAGGGCACACATCACAAACCAAGTTTCTGAGAATGCTTCTGTCTAGTTTTTATGGGAAGATATTTCCTTTTTCACGTTACGCCTGAAAGCACGCCAAATGTTCACTTATAGACACTACAAAAAGAGTGTTTCAAACCTGCTCTGTGAAAGGGAATGTTCAACACTGTGACTTGAATTGAAACATCCCAAAGAAGTTTCTGAGAATGCTTCTGTCTAGAGTTTATCTGAAGACATTCCCGTTTCCCAAGAAATCCTCAAAGCTATCCAAATATCCTCTTGCAGGTTCTACAAAAAGAGTGTTTCAAAACTTCTCTTTGCAAAGAAAGGTTCAACTCTGTCAGTAGAGGGCACACATCACAAACAAGTTTCTGAGAATGCTTTCTGTCTAGATTTTATGGGAAGATATTTCCTTTTTCACCTTAGGCCTGAAAGCAATCCAAATGTTCACTTACAGACACTACAAAAAGAGTGTTTCAAACCTGCTCTGTGAAAGGGAGTGTTCAATTCTGTGACTTGAATGCAAGCATCACAAAGTAGTTTCTGACAATGCTGCTGTCTGCTTTTTATACGTATTCCCGTTTCCAACGAAATCCTCCAAGCTGGCCTAATACCCACTTGCATATTCCACAAAAAGAGTGTTTCAAAACTGCTCTCTCAAAAGAAAGGTTCAACTCTGTTTGCTGAGTAGATACATCATGAAAAAAGTTCTGACATTGCTTCTATCTAGTTTTTATTGGAAGATATCTCCTTTTTCACCGTAGACCTGAAAGCGCTCCAAATGTCCACTTCCACATACTACAAAAAGAGTGTTTCAAACCTGCTCTATGAAAGGGAATGTTCAACACTGGGACTTCAATTGAAACATCCCAAAGCAGTTTCTGAGAATGCTTCTGTCTAGAGTTTACATGAAGACATTCCCGTTTCCAACGAAATCCTCAAAGCTATCCAAATATCCTCTTGCAGATTTTACAAAAAGTGTGTTTCAGAACTGCTCTATCAAAACAAAGGTTCAACACTGTCAGTTGAGGGCACACATCACAAATAAGTTTCTGAGAATGCTTCTGTCTAGTTTTCATGGGAAGATATTTCCTTTTTCACCATAGGCCTGAAAGCGATCCAAATGTCCACATCCAGATACTACAAAAAGAGTGTTTCAAACCTGCTCTATGAAAGGGAATGTTCAACTCTGCGACTTGAATGCAAACATCACAAAGAAGTTTCTGAGAATGCTGCTGTCTGCTTTTTTATGTAATCCCGTTTCCAACGAAATCCTCCAAGCTAGCCAAATATCCAGTTGCAGATTCCGCAAAAAGAGTGTTTCAAAACTGCTCCTTCAAAACGATGGTTTAGTTCTGTTAGTTGAGTACATACATCACAAATAAGTTTCTGAGAATGCTTCTGTCTAGTTTTTATGGGAGGATATTTCCTTTTTCAACACAAGCCTGAATGCGCTCCGAATGGACACTTCCAGATATGACAAAAGGCGTGTTGCAAACCTGCTCTCTCAAAGGGAATGTTCAACTCTGTGACTTCAATGCAAACATCACAAAGAAGTTTCTGAGAATGCTGCTGTCTGCTTTTTACATGTATTCCCGTTTCCAACGAAATCCTCAAAGCTGCCCTAATATCCACTTGCATATTCCACAAAAAGAGTGTTGCAAAACTGCTCTCTCAAAAGAAAGCTTCAACTCTGTTAGCTGAGTAGATCCATCACATAAAAGTTTCTGACATTGCTTCTATCTAGATTTTCTTGGAAGATATTTCCATTTTCACCGTCGTCCTGAAAGCGCTCCAAATGTCCACTTCCAGGGAATGCAAAAAGAGTGTTTCCAACCTGCTCTATAAAAGGGAATGTTCAACACTGGGACTTCAATCGAAACATCCCAACGAAGTTTCTGAGAATGCTTCTGCCTAGAGTTTATATGAAGCCATTCCCGTTTGCAACGAAATCCTCAAAGCTATCCAAATATCCTCTTGCAGATTTTACAAAAAGAGTGTTTCAAAACTGCTCTATCAAAAGAAAGGTTCAACTCTGTTAGTTGAGGGCACACATCACAAATAAACTTCTGAGAATGCTCTGTCTAGTTTTTACGGGAAGATATTTCCTTTTTCACCATACGCCTGAAAGCGCTCCAAATGTCCTCATCCAGATACTACAAAAAGAGTGTTTCCAACCTGCTCTATGAAAGGGAATGCTCAACTCTGTGACTTGAATGCAGACATCACAAAGAAGTTTCTGAGAATGCTGGCGGCCTGCTTTTTATATGTAATCCCGTTTCCAACGAAATCCTCAAAGCTAGACAAATATCCACTTGCAGATTCCACAAAAAGAGTGTTTCCAAACTGCTCTTCCACAACGATGGTTCAATTCTGTTAGTTGAGTACACACATCACAAATAAGTTTCTGAGAATGCTTCTATCTAGTTTTTATGGGAGGATATTTCCTTTTTCAACACAAGCCGGAATGCGCTCCAAATGGACAACGTCCAGATATGACAAAAGGCGTGTTTCAGACCTGCTCTATTAAAGGGAATGTTGAACTCTGGGACTTCAATGCAAACATGACAAAGAAGTTTCTGACAATGCTGCTGTCTGCTTTTTATATGGATTCCCGTTTCCAACGAAATCCTCCAAGCTGGCCTAATATCCACTTGCATATTCCCCAAAAAGAGTGTTTTAAAACTGGTCTCTCAAAAGAAAGGTTCAACTCTGTTAGCTGAGTAGATACATCATGAAAAATTTCTGACATTGCTTCTATCTAGCTTTTATTGGAAGATATTTCCTTTTTCACAGTAGTCCTGAGAGCGCTCCAAATGTCCACTTCCAGATACTACAAAAAGAGTGTTTCAAACCTGCTCTATGAAAGGGACTGTTCAACACTGTGACTTCAGTTGAAACATCACAATGAAGTTTCTGAGAAAGCTTCTGTCTAGAGTTTATATGAAGCCATTCCCGTTTGCAACGAAATCCTCAAAGCTATCCAAATATCCTCTTGCAGATTTTACAAAAAGTGTGTTTCAGAACTGCTCTATCAAAACAAAGGTTCAACACTGTCAGTTGAGGGCACACATCACATATAAGTTTCTGAGAATGCTTCTCTCTAGTTTTCATGGGAAGATATTTCCTTTTTCACCATAGGCCTGAAAGCGATCCAAATGTCCACATCCAGATACTACAAAAAGAGTGTTTCAAACCTGCTCTATGAAAGGGAATGTTCAACTCTGTGACTTGAATGCAAACATCACAAAGAAGTTTCTGAGAATGCTGCTGTCTGCTTTTTGTATGTAATCCCGTTTCCAACGAAATCCTCCCAGCTAGCCAAATATCCACTTGCAGATTCCGCAAAAAGAGTGTTTCAAAACTGCTCCTTCAAAACGATGGTTTAGTTCTGTTAGTTGAGTACATACATCACAGATAAGTTTCTGAGAATGCTTCTGTCTAGTTTTTATGGGAGGATATTTCCTTTTTCAACACAAGCCTGAATGCGCTCCGAATGGACACTTCCAGATATGACAAAAGGCGTGTTTCAAACCTGCTCTCTCAAAGGGAATGTTCAACTCTGTGACTTCAATGCAAACATCACAAAGAAGTTTCTGAGAATGCTGCTGTCTGCTTTTTACATGTATTCCCGTTTCCAACGAAATCCTCAAAGCTGCCCTAATATCCACTTGCATATTCCACAAAAAGAGTGTTGCGAAACTGCTCTCTCAAAAGAAAGGTTCAACTCTGTTAGCTGAGTAGATCCATCACAGAAAAGTTTCTGACGTTGCTTCTATCTAGATTTTCTTGGAAGATATTTCCATTTTCACCGTCGTCCTGAAAGCGCTCCAAATGTCCACTTCCAGGGAATGCAGAAAGAGTGTTTCCAACCTGCTCTATAAAAGGGAATGTTCAACACTGGGACTTCAATCGAAACATCCCAACGAAGTTTCTGAGAATGCTTCTGTCTAGAGTTTATATGAAGCCATTCCCGTTTGCAACGAAATCCTCAAAGCTATCCAAATATCCTCTTGCAGATTTTACAAAAAGAGTGTTTCAAAACTGCTCTATCAAAAGAAAGGTTCAACTCTGTTAGTTGAGGGCACACATCACAAATAAATTTCTGAGAATGCTTCTGTCTAGTTTTCACGGGAAGATATTTCCTTTTTCACCATACGCCTGAAAGCGCTCCAAATGTCCTCATCCAGATACTACAAAAAGAGTGTTTCCAACCTGCTCTATGAAAGGGAATGCTCAACTCTGTGAATTGAATGCAGAAATCACAAAGAAGTTTCTGAGAATGCTGCTGTCTCCTTTTTATATGTAATCCCGTTTCCAACGAAATCCTCAAAGCTAGCCAAATATCCACTTGCAGATTCCACGAAAACAGTGTTTCAAAACTGCTCCTTCAAAACGATGGTTCAATTCTGTTAGTTGAGCAAACACATCACAAGTAAGTTTCTGAGAATGCTTCCGTCTAGTTTTTATGGGAAGGTATTTCCTTTTTCAACATAGGCCTGAAAGCGCTCCAAATGTCCACTTCCAGATACTACAAAAAGAGTGTTTCAAATCTGCTCTATGAATGGGAATGTTCTACTCTGTGACTTGAATGCAACATCCCAAAGAAGTTTCTGAGAATGCTTCTGTCTAGAGTTTATCTGAAGACATACCCGTTTCCAACGAAATCCTCCAAGCTATCCAAATATCCTCTTGCAGATTCTACAAAAAGAGTGTTTCAAAGCTGCTCTTTGCAAAGAAAGGTTCAACTCTGTCAGTAGAGGGCACACATCATGAACAAGTTTCTGAGAATGCTTCTGTGTAGTTTTTATGGGAAGATATTTCCTTTTTCACGTTAGGCCTGAAAGCACGCCAAATGTTCACTTATAGACACTACAAAAAGAGTGTTTCAAACCTGCTCTGTGAAAGGGAATGTTCAACACTGTGACTTCAATTGAAACATCCCAAAGAAGTTTCTGAGAATGCTTCTGTCTAGAGTTTATCTGAAGACATTCCCGTTTCCCAAGAAATCTTCAAAGCTATCCAAATATCCTCTTGCAGATTCTACAAAAAGAGTGTTTCAAAACTGCTCTTTGCAAAGAAAGGTTCAACTCTGTCAGTAGAGGGCACACATCACAAACAAGTTTCTGAGAATGCTTCTGTCTAGTTTTTATGGGAAGATATTTCCTTTTTCACCTTAGGCCTGAAAGCAATCCATATGTTCACTTACAGACACTACAAAAAGAGTGTTTCAAACCTGCTCTGTGAAAGGGAGTGTTCAATTCTGTGACTTGAATGCAAACATCACAAAGTAGTTTCTGACAATGCTGCTGTCTGCTTTTTATACGTATTCCCGTTTCCAACGAAATCCTCCAAGCTGGCCTAATACCCACTTGCATATTCCACAAAAAGAGTGTTTCAAAACTGCTCTCTCAAAAGAAAGGTTCAACTCTGTTTGCTGAGTAGATACATCATGAAAAAAGTTCTGACATTGCTTCTATCTAGTTTTTATTGGAAGATATCTCCTTTTTCACCGTAGACCTGAAAGCGCTCCAAATGTCCACTTCCAGATAGTACAAAAAGAGTGTTTCAAACCTGCTCTATGAAAGGGAATGTTCAACACTGGGACTTCAATTGAAACATCCCAAAGCAGTTTCTGAGAATGCTTCTGTCTAGAGTTTACATGAAGACATTCCCGTTTCCAACGAAATCCTCAAAGCTATCCAAATATCCTCTTGCAGATTTTACAAAAAGTGTGTTTCAGAACTGCTCTATCAAAACAAAGGTTCAACACTGTCAGTTGAGGGCACACATCACAAATAAGTTTGCTGAGAATGCTGCTGTCTGCTTTTTGTATGTAATCCCGTTTCCAACGAAATCCTCCCAGCTAGCCAAATATCCACTGGCAGATTCCGCAAAAAGAGTGTTTCAAAACTGCTCCTTCAAAACGATGGTTTAGTTCTGTTAGTTGAGTACATACATCACAGATAAGTTTCTGAGAATGCTTCTGTCTAGTTTTATGGGAGGATATTTCCTTTTTCAACACAAGCCTGAATGCGCTCCGAATGGACACTTCCAGATATGACAAAAGGCGTGTTTCAAACCTGCTCTCTCAAAGGGAATGTTCAACTCTGTGACTTCAATGCAAACATCACAAAGAAGTTTCTGAGAATGCTGCTGTCTGCTTTTTACATGTATTCCCGTTTCCAACGAAATCCTCAAAGCTGCCCTAATATCCACTTGCATATTCCACAAAAAGAGTGTTGCAAAACTGCTCTCTCAAAAGAAAGCTTCAACTCTGTTAGCTGAGTAGATCCATCACAGAAAAGTTTCTGACGTTGCTTCTATCTAGATTTTCTTGGAAGATATTTCCATTTTCACCGTCGTCCTGAAAGCGCTCCAAATGTCCACTTCCAGGGAATGCAGAAAGAGTGTTTCCAACCTGCTCTATAAAAGGGAATGTTCAACACTGGGACTTCAATCGAAACATCCCAACGAAGTTTCTGAGAATGCTTCTGTCTAGAGTTTATATGAAGCCATTCCCGTTTGCAACGAAATCCTCAAAGCTATCCAAATATCCTCTTGCAGATTTTACAAAAAGAGTGTTTCAAAACTGCTCTATCAAAAGAAAGGTTCAACTCTGTTAGTTGAGGGCACACATCACAAATAAATTTCTGAGAATGCTTCTGTCTAGTTTTTACGGGAAGATATTTCCTTTTTCACCATACGCCTGAAAGCGCTCCAAATGTCCTCATCCAGATACTACAAAAAGAGTGTTTCCAACCTGCTCTATGAAAGGGAAGGCTCAACTCTGTGACTTGAATGCAGACATCACAAAGAAGTTTCTGAGAATGCTGCTGTCTCCTTTTTATATGTAATCCCGTTTCCAACGAAATCCTCAAAGCTAGCCAAATATCCACTTGCAGATTCCACGAAAACAGTGTTTCAAAACTGCTCCTTCAAAACGATGGTTCAATTCTGTTAGTTGAGCAAACACATCACAAGTAAGTTTCTGAGAATGCTTCCGTCTAGTTTTTATGGGAAGATATTTCCTTTTTCAACATAGGCCTGAAAGCGCTCCAAATGTCCACTTCCAGATACTACAAAAAGAGTGTTTCAAATCTGCTCTATGAATGGGAATGTTCTACTCTGTGACTTGAATGCAACATCCCAAAGAAGTTTCTGAGAATGCTTCTGTCTAGAGTTTATCTGAAGACATACCCGTTTCCAACGAAATCCTCAAAGCTATCCAAATATCCTCTTGCAGATTCTACAAAAAGAGTGTTTCAAAGCTGCTCTTTGCAAAGAAAGGTTCAACTCTGTCAGTAGAGGGCACACATCATGAACAAGTTTCTGAGAATGCTTCTGTCTAGTTTTTATGGGAAGACATTTCCTTTTTCACGTTAGGCCTGAAAGCACGCCAAATGTTCACTTATAGACACTACAAAAAGAGTGTTTCAAACCTGCTCTGTGAAAGGGAATGTTCAACACTGTGACTTCAATTGAAACATCCCAAAGAAGTTTCTGAGAATGCTTCTGTCTAGAGTTTATCTGAAGACATACCCGTTTCCAACGAAATCCTCAAAGCTATCCACATATCCTCTTGCAGATTCTACAAAAAGAGTGTTTCAAAGCTGCTCTTTGCAAAGAAAGGTTCAACTCTGTCAGTAGAGGGCACACATCACGAACAAGTTTCTGAGAATGCTTCTGTCTAGTTTTTATGGGAAGATATTTCCTTTTTCACCTTAGGCCTGAAAGCAATCCATATGTTCACTTACAGACACTACAAAAAGAGTGTTTCAAACCTGCTCTGTGAAAGGGAGTGTTCAATTCTGTGACTTGAATGCAAACATCACAAAGTAGTTTCTGACAATGCTGCTGTCTGCTTTTTATACGTATTCCCGTTTCCAACGAAATCCTCCAAGCTGGCCTAATACCCACTTGCATATTCCACAAAAAGAGTGTTTCAAAACTGCTCTCTCAAAAGAAAGGTTCAACTCTGTTAGCTGAGTAGATACATCATGAAAAAAGTTCTGACATTGCTTCTATCTAGTTTTTATTGGAAGATATCTCCTTTTTCACCGTAGACCTGAAAGCGCTCCAAATGTCCACTTCCAGATAGTACAAAAAGAGTGTTTCAAACCTGCTCTATGAATGGGAATGTTCAACACTGGGACTTCAATTGAAACATCCCAAAGCAGTTTCTGAGAATGCTTCTGTCTAGAGTTTACATGAAGACATTCCCGTTTCCAACGAAATCCTCAAAGCTATCCAAATATCCTCTTGCAGATTTTACAAAAAGTGTGTTTCAGAACTGCTCTATCAAAACAAAGGTTCAACACTGTCAGTTGAGGGCACACATCACAAATAAGTTTCTGAGAATGCTTCTGTCTAGTTTTCATGGGAAGATATTTCCTTTTTCACCATAGGCCTGAAAGCGATCCAAATGTCCACATCCAGATACTACAAAAAGAGTGTTTCAAACCTGCTCTATGAAAGGGAATGTTCAACTCTGTGACTTGAATGCAAACATCACAAAGAAGTTTCTGAGAATGCTGCTGTCTGCTTTTTGTATGTAATCCCGTTTCCAACGAAATCCTCCCAGCTAGCCAAATATCCACTTGCAGATTCCGCAAAAAGAGTGTTTCAAAACTGCTCCTTCAAAACGATGGTTTAGTTCTGTTAGTTGAGTACATACATCACAGATAAGTTTCTGAGAATGCTTCTGTCTAGTTTTTATGGGAGGATATTTCCTTTTTCAACACAAGCCTGAATGCGCTCCGAATGGACACTTCCAGATATGACAAAAGGCGTGTTTCAAACCTGCTCTCTCAAAGGGAATGTTCAACTCTGTGACTTCAATGCAAACATCACAAAGAAGTTTCTGAGAATGCTGCTGTCTGCTTTTTACATGTATTCCCGTTTCCAACGAAATCCTCAAAGCTGCCCTAATATCCACTTGCATATTCCACAAAAAGAGTGTTGCAAAACTGCTCTCTCAAAAGAAAGGTTCAACTCTGTTAGCTGAGTAGATCCATCACAGAAAAGTTTCTGACGTTGCTTCTATCTAGATTTTCTTGGAAGATATTTCCATTTTCACCGTCGTCCTGAAAGCGCTCCAAATGTCCACTTCCAGGGAATGCAGAAAGAGTGTTTCCAACCTGCTCTATAAAAGGGAATGTTCAACACTGGGACTTCAATCGAAACATCCCAACGAAGTTTCTGAGAATGCTTCTGTCTAGAGTTTATATGAAGCCATTCCCGTTTGCAACGAAATCCTCAAAGCTATCCAAATATCCTCTTGCAGATTTTACAAAAAGAGTGTTTCAAAACTGCTCTATCAAAAGAAAGGTTCAACTCTGTTAGTTGAGGGCACACATCACAAATAAATTTCTGAGAATGCTTCTGTCTAGTTTTTACGGGAAGATATTTCCTTTTTCACCATACGCCTGAAAGCGCTCCAAATGTCCTCATCCAGATACTACAAAAAGAGTGTTTCCAACCTGCTCTATGAAAGGGAATGCTCAACTCTGTGACTTGAATGCAGACATCACAAAGAAGTTTGCTGAGAATGCTGCTGACTCCTTTTTATATGTAATCCCGTTTCCAACGAAATCCTCAAAGCTAGCCAAATATCCACTTGCAGATTCCACGAAAACAGTGTTTCAAAACTGCTCCTTCAAAACGATGGTTCAATTCTGTTAGTTGAGCAAACACATCACACGTAAGTTTCTGAGAATGCTTCCGTCTAGTTTTTATGGGAAGATATTTCCTTTTTCAACATAGGCCTGAAAGCGCTCCAAATGTCCACTTCCAGATACTACAAAAAGAGTGTTTCAAATCTGCTCTATGAATGGGAATGTTCTACTCTGTGACTTGAATGCAACATCCCAAAGAAGTTTCTGAGAATGCTTCTGTCTAGAGTTTATCTGAAGACATACCCGTTTCCAACGAAATCCTCCAAGCTATCCAAATATCCTCTTGCAGATTCTACAAAAAGAGTGTTTCAAAGCTGCTCTTTGCAAAGAAAGGTTCAACTCTGTCAGTAGAGGGGACACATCAAGAACAAGTTTCTGAGAATGCTTCTGTCTGGTTTTTATGGGAAGATATTTCCTTTTTCACGTTACGCCTGAAAGCACGCCAAATGTTCACTTATAGACACTACAAAAAGAGTGTTTCAAACCTGCTCTGTGAAAGGGAATGTTCAACACTGTGACTTCAATTGAAACATCCCAAAGAAGTTTCTGAGAATGCTTCTGTCTAGAGTTTATCTGAAGACATTCCCGTTTCCCAAGAAATCCTCAAAGCTATCCAAATATCCTCTTGCAGATTCTACAAAAAGAGTGTTTCAAAACTGCTCTTTGCAAAGAAAGGTTCAACTCTGTCAGTAGAGGGCACACATCACAAACAAGTTTCTGAGAATGCTTCTGTCTAGTTTTTATGGGAAGATATTTCCTTTTTCACCTTAGGCCTGAAAGCAATCCAAATGTTCACTTACAGACACTACAAAAAGAGTGTTTCAAACCTGCTCTGTGAAAGGGAGTGTTCAATTCTGTGACTTGAATGCAAACATCACAAAGTAGTTTCTGACAATGCTGCTGTCTGCTTTTTATACGTATTCCCGTTTCCAACGAAATCCTCCAAGCTGGCCTAATACCCACTTGCATATTCCACAAAAAGAGTGTTTCAAAACTGCTCTCTCAAAAGAAAGGTTCAACTCTGTTTGCTGAGTAGATACATCATGAAAAAAGTTCTGACATTGCTTCTATCTAGTTTTTATTGGAAGATATCTCCTTTTTCACCGTAGACCTGAAAGCGCTCCAAATGTCCACTTCCAGATAGTACAAAAAGAGTGTTTCAAACCTGCTCTATGAAAGGGAATGTTCAACACTGGGACTTCAATTGAAACATCCCAAAGCAGTTTCTGAGAATGCTTCTGTCTAGAGTTTACATGAAGACATTCCCGTTTCCAACGAAATCCTCAAAGCTATCCAAATATCCTCTTGCAGATTTTACAAAAAGTGTGTTTCAGAACTGCTCTATCAAAACAAAGGTTCAACACTGTCAGTTGAGGGCACACATCACAAATAAGTTTCTGAGAATGCTCTGTCTAGTTTTCATGGGAAGATATTTCCTTTTTCACCATAGGCCTGAAAGCGATCCAAATGTCCACATCCAGATACTACAAAAAGAGTGTTTCAAACCTGCTCTATGAAAGGGAATGCTCAACTCTGTGAATTGAATGCAGACATCACAAAGAAGTTTCTCAGAATGCTGGCTGTCTCCTTTTTATATGTAATCCCGTTTCCAACGAAATCCTCAAGCTAGCCAAATATCCACTTGCAGATTCCACGAAAACAGTGTTTCAAAACTGCTCCTTCAAAACGATGGTTCAATCCTGTTAGTTGAGCAAACACATCACAAATAAGTTTCTGAGAATGCTTCCGTCTAGTTTTTATGGGAAGATATTTCCTTTTTCAACATAGGCCTGAAAGCGCTCCAAATGTCCACTTCCAGATACTACAAAAAGAGTGTTTCAAATCTGCTCTATGAATGGGAATGTTCTACTCTGTGACTTGAATGCAACATCCCAAAGAAGTTTCTGAGAATGCTTCTGTCTAGAGTTTATCTGAAGACATACCCGTTTCCAACGAAATCCTCCAAGCTATCCAAATATCCTCTTGCAGATTCTACAAAAAGTGTGTTTCAAAGCTGCTCTTTGCAAAGAAAGGTTCAACTCTGTCAGTAGAGGGCACACATCACGAACAAGTTTCTGAGAATGCTTCTGTCTAGTTTTTATGGGAAGATATTTCCTTTTTCACGTTAGGCCTGAAAGCACGCCAAATGTTCACTTATAGACACTACAAAAAGAGTGTTTCAAACCTGCTCTGTGAAAGGGAATGTTCAACACTGTGACTTCAATTGAAACATCCCAAAGAAGTTTCTGAGAATGCTTCTGTCTAGAGTTTATCTGAAGACATTCCCGTTTCCCAAGAAATCCTCAAAGCTATCCAAATATCCTCTTGCAGATTCTACAAAAAGAGTGTTTCAAAACTGGTCTTTGCAAAGAAAGGTTCAACTCTGTCAGTAGAGGGCACACATCACAAACAAGTTTCTGAGAATGCTTCTGTCTAGTTTTTATGGGAAGATATTTCCTTTTTCACCTTAGGCCTGAAAGCAATCCAAATGTTCACTTACAGACACTACAAAAAGAGTGTTTCAAACCTGCTCTGTGAAAGGGAGTGTTCAATTCTGTGACTTGAATGCAAACATCACAAAGTAGTTTCTGACAATGCTGCTGTCTGATTTTTATACGTATTCCCGTTTCCAACGAAATCCTCCAAGCTGGCCTAATACCCACTTGCATATTCCACAAAAAGAGTGTTTCAAAACTGCTCTCTCAAAAGAAAGGTTCAACTCTGTTTGCTGAGTAGATACATCATGAAAAAAGTTCTGACATTGCTTCTATCTAGTTTTTATTGGAAGATATCTCCTTTTTCACCGTAGACCTGAAAGCGCTCCAAATGTCCACTTCCAGATAGTACAAAAAGAGTGTTTCAAACCTGCTCTATGAAAGGGAATGTTCAACACTGGGACTTCAATTGAAACATCCCAAAGCAGTTTCTGAGAATGCTTCTGTCTAGAGTTTACATGAAGACATTCCCGTTTCCAACGAAATCCTCAAAGCTATCCAAATATCCTCTTGCAGATTTTACAAAAAGTGTGTTTCAGAACTGCTCTATCAAAACAAAGGTTCAACACTGTCAGTTGAGGGCACACATCACAAATAAGTTTCTGAGAATGCTTCTGTCTAGTTTTCATGGGAAGATATTTCCTTTTTCACCATAGGCCTGAAAGCGATCCAAATGTCCACATCCAGATACTACAAAAAGAGTGTTTCAAACCTGCTCTATGAAAGGGAATGTTCAACTCTGTGACTTGAATGCAAACATCACAAAGAAGTTTCTGAGAATGCTGCTGTCTGCTTTTTGTATGTAATCCCGTTTCCAACGAAATCCTCCCAAGCTAGCCAAATATCCACTTGCAGATTCCGCAAAAAGAGTGTTTCAAAACTGCTCCTTCAAAAGGATGGTTTAGTTCTGTTAGTTGAGTACATACATCACAGATAAGTTTCTGAGAATGCTTCTGTCTAGTTTTTATGGGAGGATATTTCCTTTTTCAACACAAGCCTGAATGCGCTCCGAATGGACACTTCCAGATATGACAAAAGGCGTGTTTCAAACCTGCTCTCTCAAAGGGAATGTTCAACTCTGTGACTTCAATGCAAACATCACAAAGAAGTTTCTGAGAATGCTGCTGTCTGCTTTTTACATATATTCCCGTTTCCAACGAAATCCTCAAAGCTGCCCTAATATCCACTTGCATATTCCACAAAAAGAGTGTTGCAAAACTGCTCTCTCAAAAGAAAGGTTCAACTCTGTTAGCTGAGTAGATCCATCACATAAAAGTTTCTGACATTGCTTCTATCTAGATTTTCTTGGAAGATATTTCCATTTTCACCGTCGTCCTGAAAGCGCTCCAAATGTCCACTTCCAGGGAATGCAGAAAGAGTGTTTCCAACCTGCTCTATAAAAGGGAATGTTCAACACTGGGACTTCAATCGAAACATCCCAACGAAGTTTCTGAGAATGCTTTCTGTCTAGAGTTTATATGAAGCCATTCCCGTTTGCAACGAAATCCTCAAAGCTATCCAAATATCCTCTTGCAGATTTTACAAAAAGAGTGTTTCAAAACTGCTCTATCAAAAGAAAGGTTCAACTCTGTTAGTTGAGGGCACACATCACAAATAAACTTCTGAGAATGCTTCTGTCTAGTTTTTACGGGAAGATATTTCCTTTTTCACCATAGGCCTGAAAGCGCTCCAAATGTCCTCATCCAGATACTACAAAAAGAGTGTTTCCAACCTGCTCTATGAAAGGGAATGCTCAACTCTGTGACTTGAATGCAGACATCACAAAGAAGTTTCTGAGAATGCTGCTGTCTCCTTTTTATATGTAATCCCGTTTCCAACGAAATCCTCAAAGCTAGCCAAATATCCACTTGCAGATTCCACGAAAACAGTGTTTCAAAACTGCTCCTTCAAAACGATGGTTCAATTCTGTTAGTTGAGCAAACACATCACAAGTAAGTTTCTGAGAATGCTTCCGTCTAGTTTTTATGGGAAGATATTTCCTTTTTCAACATAGGCCTGAAAGCGCTCCAAATGTCCACTTCCAGATACTACAAAAAGAGTGTTTCAAATCTGCTCTATGAATGGGAATGTTCTACTCTGTGACTTGAATGCAACATCCCAAAGAAGTTTCTGAGAATGCTTCTGTCTAGAGTTTATCTGAAGACATACCCGTTTCCAACGAAATCCTCAAAGCTATCCAAATATCCTCTTGCAGATTCTACAAAAAGAGTGTTTCAAAGCTGCTCTTTGCAAAGAAAGGTTCAACTCTGTCAGTAGAAGGGACACATCAAGAACAAGTTTCTGAGAATGCTTCTGTCTAGTTTTTATGGGAAGATATTTCCTTTTTCACGTTAGGCCTGAAAGCACGCCAAATGTTCACTTATAGACACTACAAAAAGAGTGTTTCAAACCTGCTCTGTGAAAGGGAATGTTCAACACTGTGACTTCAATTGAAACATCCCAAAGAAGTTTCTGAGAATGCTTCTGTCTAGAGTTTATCTGAAGACATACCCGTTTCCAACGAAATCCTCAAAGCTATCCACATATCCTCTTGCAGATTCTACAAAAAGAGTGTTTCAAAGCTGCTCTTTGCAAAGAAAGGTTCAACTCTGTCAGTAGAGGGCACACATCACGAACAAGTTTCTGAGAATGCTTCTGTCTAGTTTTTATGGGAAGATATTTCCTTTTTCACGTTAGGCCTGAAAGCACGCCAAATGTTCAATTATAGACACTACAAAAAGAGTGTTTCAAACCTGCTCTGTGAAAGGGAATGTTCAACACTCTGACTTCAATTGAAACATCCCAAAGAAGTTTCTGAGAATGCTTCTGTCTAGAGTTTATCTGAAGACATTCCCGTTTCCCAAGAAATCCTCAAAGCTATCCAAATATCCTCTTGCAGATTCTACAAAAAGAGTGTTTCAAAACTGCTCTTTGCAAAGAAAGGTTCAACTCTGTCAGTAGAGGGCACACATCACAAACAAGTTTCTGAGAATGCTTCTGTCTAGTTTTTATGGGAAGATATTTCCTTTTTCACCATAGGCCTGAAAGCAATCCAAATGTTCACTTACAGACACTACAAAAAGAGTGTTTCAAACCTGCTCTGTGAAAGGGAGTGTTCAATTCTGTGACTTGAATGCAAACATCACAAAGTAGTTTCTGACAATGCTGCTGTCTGCTTTTTATACGTATTCCCGTTTCCAACGAAATCCTCCAAGCTGGCCTAATACCCACTTGCATATTCCACAAAGACTGTGTCAAAACTGCTCTCTCAAAAGAAAGGTTCAACTCTGTTTGCTGAGTAGATACATCATGAAAAAAGTTCTGACATTGCTTCTATCTAGTTTTTATTGGAAGATATCTCCTTTTTCACCGTAGACCTGAAAGCGCTCCAAATGTCCACTTCCAGATAGTACAAAAAGAGTGTTTCAAACCTGCTCTATGAATGGGAATGTTCAACGCTGGGACTTCAATTGAAACATCCCAAAGCAGTTTCTGAGAATGCTTCTGTCTAGAGTTTACATGAAGACATTCCCGTTTCCAACGAAATCCTCAAAGCTATCCAAATATCCTCTTGCAGATTTTACAAAAAGTGTGTTTCAGAACTGCTCTATCAAAACAAAGGTTCAACACTGTCAGTTGAGTGCACACATCACAAATAAGTTTCTGAGAATGCTTCTGTCTAGTTTTCATGGGAAGATATTTCCTTTTTCACCATAGGCCTGAAAGCGATCCAAATGTCCACATCCAGATACTACAAAAAGAGTGTTTCCAACCTGCTCTATGAAAGGGAATGCTCAACTCTGTGAATTGAATGCAGACATCACAAAGAAGTTTCTGAGAATGCTGCTGTCTCCTTTTTATATGTAATCCCGTTTCCAACGAAATCCTCAAAGCTAGCCAAATATCCACTTGCAGATTCCACGAAAACAGTGTTTCAAAACTGCTCCTTCAAAACGATGGTTCAATCCTGTTAGTTGAGCAAACACATCACAATTAAGTTTCTGAGAATGCTTCCGTCTAGTTTTTATGGGAAGATATTTCCTTTTTCAACATAGGCCTGAAAGCGCTCCAAATGTCCTCTTCCAGATACTACAAAAAGAGTGTTTCAAATCTGCTCTATGAATGGGAATGTTCTACTCTGTGACTTGCATGCAACATCCCAAAGAAGTTTCTGAGAATGCTTCTGTCTAGAGTTTATCTGAAGACATACCCGTTTCCAACGAAATCCTCCAAGCTATCCAAATATCCTCTTGCAGATTCTACAAAAAGAGTGTTTCAAAGCTGCTCTTTGCAAAGAAAGGTTCAACTCTGTCAGTAGAGGGCACACATCACGAACAAGTTTCTGAGAATGCTTCTGTCTAGTTTTTATGGGAAGATATTTCCTTTTTCACGTTAGGCCTGAAAGCACGCCAAATGTTCACTTATAGACACTACAAAAAGAGTGTTTCAAACCTGCTCTGTGAAAGGGAATGTTCAACACTGTGACTTCAATTGAAACATCCCAAAGAAGTTTCTGAGAATGCTTCTGTCTAGAGTTTATCTGAAGACATTCCCGTTTCCCAAGAAATCTTCAAAGCTATCCAAATATCCTCTTGCAGATTCTACAAAAAGAGTGTTTCAAAACTGGTCTTTGCAAAGAAAGGTTCAACTCTGTCAGTAGAGGGCACACATCACAAACAAGTTTCTGAGAATGCTTCTGTCTAGTTTTTATGGGAAGATATTTCCTTTTTCACCTTAGGCCTGAAAGCAATCCATATGTTCACTTACAGACACTACAAAAAGAGTGTTTCAAACCTGCTCTGTGAAAGGGAGTGTTCAATTCTGTGACTTGAATGCAAACATCACAAAGTAGTTTCTGACAATGCTGCTGTCTGCTTTTTATACGTATTCCCGTTTCCAACGAAATCCTCCAAGCTGGCCTAATACCCACTTGCATATTCCACAAAAAGAGTGTTTCAAAACTGCTCTCTCAAAAGAAAGGTTCAACTCTGTGTGCTGAGTAGATACATCATGAAAAAAGTTCTGACATTGCTTCTATCTAGTTTTTATTGGAAGATATCTCCTTTTTCACCGTAGACCTGAAAGCGCTCCAAATGTCCACTTCCAGATAGTACAAAAAGAGTGTTTCAAACCTGCTCTATGAATGGGAATGTTCAACACTGGGACTTCAATTGAAACATCCCAAAGCAGTTTCTGAGAATGCTTCTGTCTAGAGTTTACATGAAGACATTCCCGTTTCCAACGAAATCCTCAAAGCTATCCAAATATCCTCTTGCAGATTTTACAAAAAGTGTGTTTCAGAACTGCTCTATCAAAACAAAGGTTCAACACTGTCAGTTGAGGGCACACATCACAAATAAGTTTCTGAGAATGCTTCTGTCTAGTTTTCATGGGAAGATATTTCCTTTTTCAACATAGGCCTGAAAGCGCTCCAAATGTCCACTTCCAGATACTACAAAAAGAGTGTTTCAAATCTGCTCTATGAATGGGAATGTTCTACTCTGTGACTTGAATGCAACATCCCAAAGAAGTTTCTGAGAATGCTTCTGTCTAGAGTTTATCTGAAGACATACCCGTTTCCAACGAAATCCTCAAAGCTATCCAAATATCCTCTTGCAGATTCTACAAAAAGAGTGTTTCAAAGCTGCTCTTTGCAAAGAAAGGTTCAACTCTGTCAGTAGAGGGCACACATCAAGAACAAGTTTCTGAGAACGCTTCTGTCTGGTTTTTATGGGAAGATATTTCCTTTTTCACGTTACGCCTGAAAGCACGCCAAATGTTCACTTATAGACACTACAAAAAGAGTGTTTCAAACCTGCTCTGTGAAAGGGAATGTTCAACACTGTGACTTCAATTGAAACATCCCAAAGAAGTTTCTGAGAATGCTTCTGTCTAGAGTTTATCTGAAGACATTCCCGTTTCCCAAGAAATCTTCAAAGCTATCCAAATATCCTCTTGCAGATTCTACAAAAAGAGTGTTTCAAAACTGCTCTTTGCAAAGAAAGGTTCAACTCTGTCAGTAGAGGGCACACATCACAAACAAGTTTCTGAGAATGCTTCTGTCTAGTTTTTATGGGAAGATATTTCCTTTTTCACCTTAGGCCTGAAAGCAATCCATATGTTCACTTACAGACACTACAAAAAGAGTGTTTCAAACCTGCTCTGTGAAAGGGAGTGTTCAATTCTGTGACTTGAATGCAAACATCACAAAGTAGTTTCCTGACAATGCTGCTGTCTGCTTTTTATACGTATTCCCGTTTCCAACGAAATCCTCCAAGCTGGCCTAATACCCACTTGCATATTCCACAAAAAGAGTGTTTCAAAACTGCTCTCTCAAAAGAAAGGTTCAACTACTGTTTGCTGAGTAGATACATCATGAAAAAAGTTCTGACATTGCTTCTATCTAGTTTTTATTGGAAGATATCTCCTTGTTCACCGTAGACCTGAAAGCGCTCCAAATGTCCACTTCCAGATAGTACAAAAAGAGTGTTTCAAACCTGCTCTATGAAAGGGAATGTTCAACACTGGGACTTCAATTGAAACATCCCAAAGCAGTTTCTGAGAATGCTTCTGTCTAGAGTTTACATGAAGACATTCCCGTTTCCAACGAAATCCTCAAAGCTATCCAAATATCCTCTTGCAGATTTTACAAAAAGTGTGTTTCAGAACTGCTCTATCAAAACAAAGGTTCAACACTGTCAGTTGAGGGCACACATCACAAATAAGTTTCTGAGAATGCTTCTGTCTAGTTTTCATGGGAAGATATTTCCTTTTTCACCATAGGCCTGAAAGCGATCCAAATGTCCACATCCAGATACTACAAAAAGAGTGTTTCAAACCTGCTCTATGAAAGGGAATGTTCAACTCTGTGACTTGAATGCAAACATCACAAAGAAGTTTCTGAGAATGCTGCTGTCTGCTTTTTGTATGTAATCCCGTTTCCAACGAAATCCTCCCAGCTAGCCAAATATCCACTTGCAGATTCCGCAAAAAGAGTGTTTCAAAACTGCTCCTTCAAAACGATGGTTTAGTTCTGTTACTTGAGTACATACATCACAAATAAGTTTCTGAGAATGCTTCTGTCTAGTTTTTATGGGAGGATATTTCCTTTTTCAACACAAGCCTGAATGCGCTCCGAATGGACACTTCCAGATATGACAAAAGGCGTGTTTCAAACCTGCTCTCTCAAAGGGAATGTTCAACTCTGTGACTTCAATGCAAACATCACAAAGAAGTTTCTGAGAATGCTGCTGTCTGCTTTTTACATGTATTCCCGTTTCCAACGAAATCCTCAAAGCTGCCCTAATATCCACTTGCATATTCCACAAAAAGAGTGTTGCAAAACTGCTCTCTCAAAAGAAAGGTTCAACTCTGTTAGCTGAGTAGATCCATCACATAAAAGTTTCTGACGTTGCTTCTATCTAGATTTTCTTGGAAGATATTTCCATTTTCACCGTCGTCCTGAAAGCGCTCCAAATGTCCACTTCCAGGGAATGCAGAAAGAGTGTTTCCAACCTGCTCTATAAAAGGGAATGTTCAACACTGGGACTTCAATCGAAACATCCCAACGAAGTTTCTGAGAATGCTTCTGTCTAGAGTTTATATGAAGCCATTCCCGTTTGCAACGAAATCCTCAAAGCTATCCAAATATCCTCTTGCAGATTTTACAAAAAGAGTGTTTCAAAACTGCTCTATCAAAAGAAAGGTTCAACTCTGTTAGTTGAGGGCACACATCACAAATAAATTTCTGAGAATGCTTCTGTCTAGTTTTCATGGGAAGATATTTCCTTTTTCACCATAGGCCTGAAAGCGATCCAAATGTCCACATCCAGATACTACAAAAAGAGTGTTTCAAACCTGCTCTATGAAAGGGAATGTTCAACTCTGTGACTTGAATGCTAACATCACAAAGAAGTTTCTGAGAATGCTGCTGTCTGCTTTTTGTATGTAATCCCGTTTCCAACGAAATCCTCCCAGCTAGCCAAATATCCACTTGCAGATTCCGCAAAAAGAGTGTTTCAAAACTGCTCCTTCAAAACGATGGTTTAGTTCTGTTAGTTGAGTACATACATCACAGATAAGTTTCTGAGAATGCTTCTGTCTAGTTTTTATGGGAGGATATTTCCTTTTTCAACACAAGCCTGAATGCGCTCCGAATGGACACTTCCAGATATGACAAAAGGCGTGTTTCAAACCTGCTCTCTCAAAGGGAATGTTCAACTGCTGTGACTTCAATGCAAACATCACAAAGAAGTTTCTGAGAATGCTGCTGTCTGCTTTTTACATGTATTCCCGTTTCCAACGAAATCCTCAAAGCTGCCCTAATA
Source organism: Homo sapiens (assembly GCF_000001405.40). Classification (NCBI taxonomy): domain Eukaryota; kingdom Metazoa; phylum Chordata; class Mammalia; order Primates; family Hominidae; genus Homo; species Homo sapiens. The sequence continues at coordinate 27,033,538 of NC_000020.11, read as the reverse complement.
TCCACTTGCATATTCCACAAAAAGAGTGTTGCAAAACTGCTCTCTCAAAAGAAAGGTTCAACTCTGTTAGCTGAGTAGATCCATCACAGAAAAGTTTCTGACGTTGCTTCTATCTAGATTTTCTTGGAAGATATTTCCATTTTCACCGTCGTCCTGAAAGCGCTCCAAATGTCCACTTCCAGGGAATGCAGAAAGAGTGTTTCCAACCTGCTCTATAAAAGGGAATGTTCAACACTGGGACTTCAATCGAAACATCCCAACGAAGTTTCTGAGAATGCTTCTGTCTAGAGTTTATATGAAGCCATTCCCGTTTGCAATGAAATCCTCAAAGCTATCCAAATATCCTCTTGCAGATTTTACAAAAAGAGTGTTTCAAAACTGCTCTATCAAAAGAAAGGTTCAACTCTGTTAGTTGAGGGCACACATCACAAATAAATTTCTGAGAATGCTTCTGTCTAGTTTTTACGGGAAGATATTTCCTTTTTCACCATACGCCTGAAAGCGCTCCAAATGTCCTCATCCAGATACTACAAAAAGAGTGTTTCAAACCTGCTCTATGAAAGGGAATGCTCAACTCTGTGACTTGAATGCAGACATCACAAAGAAGTTTCTGAGAATGCTGCTGTCTCCTTTTTATAGGTAATCCCGTTTCCAACGAAATCCTCAAAGCTAGCCAAATATCCACTTGCAGATTCCACGAAAACAGGGTTTCAAAACTGCTCCTTCAAAACGATGGTTCAATTCTGTTAGTTGAGCAAACACATCAGAAATAAGTTTCTGAGAATGCTTCCGTCTAGTTTTTATGGGAAGATATTTCGTTTCTCAACATAGGCCTGAAAGCGCTCCAAATGTCCACTTCCAGATACTACAAAAAGAGTGTTTCAAATCTGCTCTATGAATGGGAATGTTCTACTCTGTAACTTGAATGCAACATCCCAAAGAAGTTTCTGAGAATGCTTCTGTCTAGAGTTTATGTGAAGACATACCCGTTTCCAACGAAATCCTCAAAGCTATCCAAATATCCTCTTGCAGATTCTACAAACAGAGTGTTTCAAAGCTGCTCTTTGCAAAGAAAGGTTCAACTCTGTCAGTAGAGGGCACACATCACAAACAAGTTTCTGAGAATGCTTCTGTCTAGTTTTGTATGGGAAGATATTTCCTTTTTCACGTTAGGCCTGAAAGCACGCCAAATGTTCAATTATAGACACTACAAAAAGAGTGTTTCAAACCTGCTCTGTGAAAGGGAATGTTCAACACTGTGACTTCAATTGAAACATCCCAAAGAAGTTTCTGAGAATGCTTCTGTCTAGAGTTTATCTGAAGACATTCCCGTTTCCCAAGAAATCCTCAAAGCTATCCAAATATCCTCTTGCAGATTCTACAAAAAGAGTGTTTCAAAACTGCTCTTTGCAAAGAAAGGTTCAACTCTGTCAGTAGAGGGCACACATCACAAACAAGTTTCTGAGAATGCTTCTGTCTAGTTTTTATGGGAAGATATTTCCTTTTTCACCATAGGCCTGAAAGCAATCCAAATGTTCACTTACAGACACTACAAAAAGAGTGTTTCAAACCTGCTCTGTGAAAGGGAGTGTTCAATTCTGTGACTTGAATGCAAACATCACAAAGTAGTTTCTGACAATGCTGCTGTCTGCTTTTTATACGTATTCCCGTTTCCAACGAAATCCTCCAAGCTGGCCTAATACCCACTTGCATATTCCACAAAGACTGTGTCAAAACTGCTCTCTCAAAAGAAATGTTCAACTCTGTTTGCTGAGTAGATACATCATGAAAAAAGTTCTGACATTGCTTCTATCTAGTTTTTATTGGAAGATATCTCCTTTTTCACCGTAGACCTGAAAGCGCTCCAAATGTCCACTTCCAGATAGTAGAAAAAGAGTGTTTCAAACCTGCTCTATGAATGGGAATGTTCAACACTGGGACTTCAATTGAAACATCCCAAAGCAGTTTCTGAGAATGCTTCTGTCTAGAGTTTACATGAAGACATTCCCGTTTCCAACGAAATCCTCAAAGCTATCCAAATATCCTCTTGCAGATTTTACAAAAAGTGTGTTTCAGAACTGCTCTATCAAAACAAAGGTTCAACACTGTCAGTTGAGTGCACACATCACAAATAAGTTTCTGAGAATGCTTCTGTCTAGTTTTCATGGGAAGATATTTCCTTTTTCACCATAGGCCTGAAAGCGATCCAAATGTCCTCATCCAGATACTACAAAAAGAGTGTTTCCAACCTGCTCTATGAAAGGGAATGCTCAACTCTGTGAATTGAATGCAGACATCACAAAGAAGTTTCTGAGAATGCTGCTGTCTCCTTTTTATATGTAATCCCGTTTCCAACGAAATCCTCAAAGCTAGCCAAATATCCACTTGCAGATTCCACGAAAACAGTGTTTCAAAACTGCTCCTTCAAAACGATGGTTCAATCCTGTTAGTTGAGCAAACACATCACAATTAAGTTTCTGAGAATGCTTCCGTCTAGTTTTTATGGGAAGATATTTCCTTTTTCAACATAGGCCTGAAAGCGCTCCAAATGTCCACTTCCAGATACTACAAAAAGAGTGTTTCAAATCTGCTCTATGAATGGGAATGTTCTACTCTGTGACTTGAATGCAACATCCCAAAGAAGTTTCTGAGAATGCTTCTGTCTAGAGTTTATCTGAAGACATACCCGTTTCCAACGAAATCCTCCAAGCTATCCAAATATCCTCTTGCAGATTCTACAAAAAGAGTGTTTCAAAGCTGCTCTTTGCAAAGAAAGGTTCAACTCTGTCAGTAGAGGGGACACATCAAGAACAAGTTTCTGAGAATGCTTCTGTCTAGTTTTTATGGGAAGATATTTCCTTTTTCACGTTAGGCCTGAAAGCACGCCAAATGTTCACTTATAGACACTACAAAAAGAGTGTTTCAAACCTGCTCTGTGAAAGGGAATGTTCAACACTGTGACTTCAATTGAAACATCCCAAAGGAGTTTCTGAGAATGCTTCTGTCTAGAGTTTATCTGAAGACATTCCCGTTTCCCAAGAAATCCTCAAAGCTATCCAAATATCCTCTTGCAGATTCTACAAAAAGAGTGTTTCAAAACTGCTCTTTGCAAAGAAAGGTTCAACTCTGTCAGTAGAGGGCACACATCACAAACAAGTTTCTGAGAATGCTTCTGTCTAGTTTTTATGGGAAGATATTTCCTTTTTCACCTTAGGCCTGAAAGCAATCCAAATGTTCACTTACAGACACTACAAAAAGAGTGTTTCAAACCTGCTCTGTGAAAGGGAGTGTTCAATTCTGTGACTTGAATGCAAACATCACAAAGTAGTTTCTGACAATGCTGCTGTCTGCTTTTTATACGTATTCCCGTTTCCAACGAAATCCTCCAAGCTGGCCTAATACCCACTTGCATATTCCACAAAAAGAGTGTTTCAAAACTGCTCTCTCAAAAGAAAGGTTCAACTCTGTTTGCTGAGTAGATACATCATGAAAAAAGTTCTGACATTGCTTCTATCTAGTTTTTATTGGAAGATATCTCCTTTTTCACCGTAGACCTGAAAGCGCTCCAAATGTCCACTTCCAGATAGTACAAAAAGAGTGTTTCAAACCTGCTCTATGAAAGGGAATGTTCAACACTGGGACTTCAATTGAAACATCCCAAAGCAGTTTCTGAGAATGCTTCTGTCTAGAGTTTACATGAAGACATTCCCGTTTCCAACGAAATCCTCAAAGCTATCCAAATATCCTCTTGCAGATTTTACAAAAAGTGTGTTTCAGAACTGCTCTATCAAAACAAAGGTTCAACACTGTCAGTTGAGGGCACACATCACAAATAAGTTTCTGAGAATGCTTCTGTCTAGTTTTCATGGGAAGATATTTCCTTTTTCACCATAGGCCTGAAAGCGATCCAAATGTCCACATCCAGATACTACAAAAAGAGTGTTTCAAACCTGCTCTATGAAAGGGAATGTTCAACTCTGCGACTTGAATGCAAACATCACAAAGAAGTTTCTGAGAATGCTGCTGTCTGCTTTTTGTATGTAATCCCGTTTCCAACGAAATCCTCCCAGCTAGCCAAATATCCACTTGCAGATTCCGCAAAAAGAGTGTTTCAAAACTGCTCCTTCAAAACGATGGTTTAGTTCTGTTAGTTGAGTACATACATCACAGATAAGTTTCTGAGAATGCTTCTGTCTAGTTTTTATGGGAGGATATTTCCTTTTTCAACACAAGCCTGAATGCGCTCCGAATGGACACTTCCAGATATGACAAAAGGCGTGTTTCAAACCTGCTCTCTCAAAGGGAATGTTCAACTCTGTGACTTCAATGCAAACATCACAAAGAAGTTTCTGAGAATGCTGCTGTCTGCTTTTTACATGTATTCCCGTTTCCAACGAAATCCTCAAAGCTGCCCTAATATCCACTTGCATATTCCACAAAAAGAGTGTTGCAAAACTGCTCTCTCAAAAGAAAGGTTCAACTCTGTTAGCTGAGTAGATCCATCACAGAAAAGTTTCTGACGTTGCTTCTATCTAGATTTTCTTGGAAGATATTTCCATTTTCACCGTCGTCCTGAAAGCGCTCCAAATGTCCACTTCCAGGGAATGCAGAAAGAGTGTTTCCAACCTGCTCTATAAAAGGGAATGTTCAACACTGGGACTTCAATCGAAACATCCCAACGAAGTTTCTGAGAATGCTTCTGTCTAGAGTTTATATGAAGCCATTCCCGTTTGCAACGAAATCCTCAAAGCTATCCAAATATCCTCTTGCAGATTTTACAAAAAGAGTGTTTCAAAACTGCTCTATCAAAAGAAAGGTTCAACTCTGTTAGTTGAGGGCACACATCACAAATAAATTTCTGAGAATGCTTCTGTCTAGTTTTTACGGGAAGATATTTCCTTTTTCACCATACGCCTGAAAGCGCTCCAAATGTCCTCATCCAGATACTACAAAAAGAGTGTTTCCAACCTGCTCTATGAAAGGGAATGCTCAACTCTGTGAATTGAATGCAGACATCACAAAGAAGTTTCTGAGAATGCTGCTGTCTCCTTTTTATATGTAATCCCGTTTCCAACGAAATCCTCAAAGCTAGCCAAATATCCACTTGCAGATTCCACGAAAACAGTGTTTCAAAACTGCTCCTTCAAAACGATGGTTCAATCCTGTTAGTTGAGCAAACACATCACAAATAAGTTTCTGAGAATGCTTCCGTCTAGTTTTTATGGGAAGATATTTCCTTTTTCAACATAGGCCTGAAAGCGCTCCAAATGTCCACTTCCAGATACTACAAAAAGAGTGTTTCAAATCTGCTCTATGAATGGGAATGTTCTACTCTGTGACTTGAATGCAACATCCCAAAGAAGTTTCTGAGAATGCTTCTGTCTAGAGTTTATCTGAAGTCATACCCGTTTCCAACGAAATCCTCAAAGCTATCCAAATATCCTCTTGCAGATTCTACAAAAAGAGTGTTTCAAAGCTGCTCTTTGCAAAGAAAGGTTCAACTCTGTCAGTAGAGGGGACACATCAAGAACAAGTTTCTGAGAATGCTTCTGTCTAGTTTTTATGGGAAGATATTTCCTTTTTCACGTTACGCCTGAAAGCACGCCAAATGTTCACTTATAGACACTACAAAAAGAGTGTTTCAAACCTGCTCTGTGAAAGGGAATGTTCAACACTGTGACTTCAATTGAAACATCCCAAAGAAGTTTCTGAGAATGCTTCTGTCTAGAGTTTATCTGAAGACATTCCCGTTTCCCAAGAAATCCTCAAAGCTATCCAAATATCCTCTTGCAGATTCTACAAAAAGAGTGTTTCAAAACTGCTCTTTGCAAAGAAAGGTTCAACTCTGTCAGTAGAGGGCACACATCACAAACAAGTTTCTGAGAATGCTTCTGTCTAGTTTTTATGGGAAGATATTTCCTTTTTCACCTTAGGCCTGAAAGCAATCCAAATGTTCACTTACAGACACTACAAAAAGAGTGTTTCAAACCTGCTCTGTGAAAGGGAGTGTTCAATTCTGTGACTTGAATGCAAACATCACAAAGTAGTTTCTGACAATGCTGCTGTCTGCTTTTTATACGTATTCCCGTTTCCAACGAAATCCTCCAAGGTGGCCTAATACCCACTTGCATATTCCACAAAAAGAGTGTTTCAAAACTGCTCTCTCAAAAGAAAGGTTCAACTCTGTTTGCTGAGTAGATACATCATGAAAAAAGTTCTGACATTGCTTCTATCTAGTTTTTATTGGAAGATATCTCCTTTTTCACCGTAGACCTGAAAGCGCTCCAAATGTCCACTTCCAGATAGTACAAAAAGAGTGTTTCAAACCTGCTCTATGAAAGGGAATGTTCAACACTGGGACTTCAATTGAAACATCCCAAAGCAGTTTCTGAGAATGCTTCTGTCTAGAGTTTACATGAAGACATTCCCGTTTCCAACGAAATCCTCAAAGCTATCCAAATATCCTCTTGCAGATTTTACAAAAAGTGTGTTTCAGAACTGCTCTATCAAAACAAAGGTTCAATACTGTCAGTTGAGGGCACACATCACAAATAAGTTTCTGAGAATGCTTCTGTCTAGTTTTCATGGGAAGATATTTCCTTTTTCACCATAGGCCTGAAAGCGATCCAAATGTCCACATCCAGATACTACAAAAAGAGTGTTTCAAACCTGCTCTATGAAAGGGAATGTTCAACTCTGTGACTTGAATGCAAACATCACAAAGAAGTTTCTGAGAATGCTGCTGTCTGCTTTTTGTATGTAATCCCGTTTCCAACGATATCCTCCCAGCTAGCCAAATATCCACTTGCAGATTCCGCAAAAAGAGTGTTTCAAAACTGCCCTTCAAAACGGTGGTTTAGTTCTGTTAGTTGAGTACATACATCACAGATAAGTTTCTGAGAATGCTTCTGTCTAGTTTTTATGGGAGGATATTTCCTTTTTCAACACAAGCCTGAATGCGCTCCGAATGGACACTTCCAGATATGACAAAAGGCGTGTTTCAAACCTGCTCTCTCAAAGGGAATGTTCAACTCTGTGACTTCAATGCAAACATCACAAAGAAGTTTCTGAGAATGCTGCTGTCTGCTTTTTACATGTATTCCCGTTTCCAACGAAATCCTCAAAGCTGCCCTAATATCCACTTGCATATTCCACAAAAAGAGTGTTGCAAAACTGCTCTCTCAAAAGAAAGGTTCAACTCTGTTAGCTGAGTAGATCCATCACAGAAAAGTTTCTGACGTTGCTTCTATCTAGATTTTCTTGGAAGATATTTCCATTTTCACCGTCGTCCTGAAAGCGCTCCAAATGTCCACTTCCAGGGAATGCAGAAAGAGTGTTTCCAACCTGCTCTATAAAAGGGAATGTTCAACACTGGGACTTCAATCGAAACATCCCAACGAAGTTTCTGAGAATGCTTCTGTCTAGAGTTTATATGAAGCCATTCCCGTTTGCAACGAAATCCTCAAAGCTATCCAAATATCCTCTTGCAGATTTTACAAAAAGAGTGTTTCAAAACTGCTCTATCAAAAGAAAGGTTCAACTCTGTTAGTTGAGGGCACACATCACAAATAAACTTCTGAGAATGCTTCTGTCTAGTTTTTACGGGAAGATATTTCCTTTTTCACCATACGCCTGAAAGCGCTCCAAATGTCCTCATCCAGATACTACAAAAAGAGTGTTTCCAACCTGCTCTATGAAAGGGAATGCTCAACTCTGTGAATTGAATGCAGACATCACAAAGAAGTTTCTGAGAATGCTGCTGTCTCCTTTTTATATGTAATCCCGTTTCCAACGAAATCCTCAAAGCTAGCCAAATATCCACTTGCAGATTCCACGAAAACAGTGTTTCAAAACTGCTCCTTCAAAACGATGGTTCAATCCTGTTAGTTGAGCAAACACATCACAAATAAGTTTCAGAGAATGCTTCCGTCTAGTTTTTATGGGAAGATATTTCCTTTTTCAACATAGGCCTGAAAGCGCTCCAAATGTCCACTTCCAGATACTACAAAAAGAGTGTTTCAAATCTGCTCTATGAATGGGAATGTTCTACTCTGTGACTTGAATGCAACATCCCAAAGATGTTTCTGAGAATGCTTCTGTCTAGAGTTTATCTGAAGACATACCCGTTTCCAACGAAATCCTCCAAGCTATCCAAATATCCTCTTGCAGATTCTACAAAAAGTGTGTTTCAAAGCTGCTCTTTGCAAAGAAAGGTTCAACTCTGTCAGTAGAGGGCACACATCACGAACAAGTTTCTGAGAATGCTTCTGTCTAGTTTTTATGGGAAGATATTTCCTTTTTCACGTTACGCCTGAAAGCACGCCAAATGTTCACTTATAGACACTACAAAAAGAGTGTTTCAAACCTGCTCTGTGAAAGGGAATGTTCAACACTGTGACTTCAATTGAAACATCCCAAAGAAGTTTCTGAGAATGCTTCTGTCTAGAGTTTATCTGAAGACATTCCCGTTTCCCAAGAAATCCTCAAAGCTATCCAAATATCCTCTTGCAGATTCTACAAAAAGAGTGTTTCAAAACTGCTCTTTGCAAAGAAAGGTTCAACTCTGTCAGTAGAGGGCACACATCACAAACAAGTTTCTGAGAATGCTTCTGTCTAGTTTTTATGGGAAGATATTTCCTTTTTCACCTTAGGCCTGAAAGCAATCCAAATGTTCACTTACAGACACTACAAAAAGAGTGTTTCAAACCTGCTCTGTGAAAGGGAGTGTTCAGTTCTGTGACTTGCATGCAAACATCACAAAGTAGTTTCTGACAATGCTGCTGTCTGCTTTTTATACGTATTCCCGTTTCCAACGAAATCCTCCAAGCTGGCCTAATACCCACTTGCATATTCCACAAAAATAGTGTTTCAAAACTGCTCCCTCAAAAGAAAGGTTCAACTCTGTTTGCTGAGTAGATACATCATGAAAAAAGTTCTGACATTGCTTCTATCTAGTTTTTATTGGAAGATATCTCCTTTTTCACCGTAGACCTGAAAGCGCTCCAAATGTCCACTTCCAGATAGTACAAAAAGAGTGTTTCAAACCTGCTCTATGAATGGGAATGTTCAACACTGGGACTTCAATTGAAACATCCCAAAGCAGTTTCTGAGAATGCTTCTGTCTAGAGTTTACATGAAGACATTCCCGTTTCCAACGAAATCCTCAAAGCTATCCAAATATCCTCTTGCAGATTTTACAAAAAGTGTGTTTCAGAACTGCTCTATCAAAACAAAGGTTCAACACTGTCAGTTGAGGGCACACATCACAAATAAGTTTCTGAGAATGCTTCTGTCTAGTTTTCATGGGAAGATATATCCTTTTTCACCATAGGCCTGAAAGCGATCCAAATGTCCACATCCAGATACTACAAAAAGAGTGTTTCCAACCTGCTCTATGAAAGGGAATGCTCAACTCTGTGAATTGAATGCAGACATCACAAAGAAGTTTCTGAGAATGCTGCTGTCTCCTTTTTATATGTAATCCCGTTTCCAACGAAATCCTCCCAGCTAGCCAAATATCCACTTGCAGATTCCACGAAAACAGTGTTTCAAAACTGCTCCTTCAAAACGATGGTTCAATCCTGTTAGTTGAGCAAACACATCACAAATAAGTTTCTGAGAATGCTTCCGTCTAGTTTTTATGGGAAGATATTTCCTTTTTCAACATAGGCCTGAAAGCGCTCCAAATGTCCACTTCCAGATACTACAAAAAGAGTGTTTCAAATCTGCTCTATGAATGGGAATGTTCTACTCTGTGACTTGCATGCAACATCCCAAAGAAGTTTCTGAGAATGCTTCTGTCTAGAGTTTATCTGAAGACATACCCGTTTCCAACGAAATCCTCCAAGCTATCCAAATATCCTCTTGCAGATTCTACAAAAAGTGTGTTTCAAAGCTGCTCTTTGCAAAGAAAGGTTCAACTCTGTCAGTAGAGGGCACACATCACGAACAAGTTTCTGAGAATGCTTCTGTCTAGTTTTTATGGGAAGATATTTCCTTTTTCACGTTAGGCCTGAAAGCACGCCAAATGTTCACTTATAGACACTACAAAAAGAGTGTTTCAAACCTGCTCTGTGAAAGGGAGTGTTCAATTCTGTGACTTGAATGCAAACATCACAAAGTAGTTTCTGACAATGCTGCTGTCTGCTTTTTATACGTATTCCCGTTTCCAACGAAATCCTCCAAGCTGGCCTAATACCCACTTGCATATTCCACAAAAAGAGTGTTTCAAAACTGCTCTCTCAAAAGAAAGGTTCAACTCTGTTTGCTGAGTAGATACATCATGAAAAAAGTTCTGACATTGCTTCTATCTAGTTTTTATTGGAAGATATCTCCTTTTTCACCGTAGACCTGAAAGCGCTCCAAATGTCCACTTCCAGATAGTACAAAAAGAGTGTTTCAAACCTGCTCTATGAATGGGAATGTTCAACACTGGGACTTCAATTGAAACATCCCAAAGCAGTTTCTGAGAATGCTTCTGTCTAGAGTTTACATGAAGACATTCCCGTTTCCAACGAAATCCTCAAAGCTATCCAAATATCCTCTTGCAGATTTTACAAAAAGTGTGTTTCAGAACTGCTCTATCAAAACAAATGTTCAACACTGTCAGTTGAGGGCACACATCACAAATAAGTTTCTGAGAATGCTTCTGTCTAGTTTTCATGGGAAGATATTTCCTTTTTCACCATAGGCCTGAAAGCGATCCAAATGTCCACATCCAGATACTACAAAAAGAGTGTTTCAAACCTGCTCTATGAAAGGGAATGTTCAACTCTGTGACTTGAATGCAAACATCACAAAGAAGTTTCTGAGAATGCTGCTCTCTGCTTTTTGTATGTAATCCCGTTTCCAACGAAATCCTCCCAGCTAGCCAAATATCCACTTGCAGATTCCGCAAAAAGAGTGTTTCAAAACTGCTCCTTCAAAACGATGGTTTAGTTCTGTTAGTTGAGTACATACATCACAGATAAGTTTCTGAGAATGCTTCTGTCTAGTTTTTATGGGAGGATATTTCCTTTTTCAACACAAGCCTGAATGCGCTCCGAATGGACACTTCCAGATATGACAAAAGGCGTGTTTCAAACCTGCTCTCTCAAAGGGAATGTTCAACTCTGTGACTTCAATGCAAACATCACAAAGAAGTTTCTGAGAATGCTGCTGTCTGCTTTTTACATGTATTCCCGTTTCCAACGAAATCCTCAAAGCTGCCCTAATATCCACTTGCATATTCCACAAAAAGAGTGTTGCAAAACTGCTCTCTCAAAAGAAAGGTTCAACTCTGTTAGCTGAGTAGATCCATCACAGAAAAGTTTCTGACGTTGCTTCTATCTAGATTTTCTTGGAAGATATTTCCATTTTCACCGTCGTCCTGAAAGCGCTCCAAATGTCCACTTCCAGGGAATGCAGAAAGAGTGTTTCCAACCTGCTCTATAAAAGGGAATGTTCAACACTGGGACTTCAATCGAAACATCCCAACGAAGTTTCTGAGAATGCTTCTGTCTAGGAGTTTATATGAAGCCATTCCCGTTTGCAACGAAATCCTCAAAGCTATCCAAATATCCTCTTGCAGATTTTACAAAAAGAGTGTTTCAAAACTGCTCTATCAAAAGAAAGGTTCAACTCTGTTAGTTGAGGGCACACATCACAAATAAACTTCTGAGAATGCTTCTGTCTAGTTTTTACGGGAAGATATTTCCTTTTTCACCATACGCCTGAAAGCGCTCCAAATGTCCTCATCCAGATACTACAAAAAGAGTGTTTCCAACCTGCTCTATGAAAGGGAATGCTCAACTCTGTGAATTGAATGCAGACATCACAAAGAAGTTTCTGAGAATGCTGCTGTCTCCTTTGTATATGTAATCCCGTTTCCAACGAAATCCTCAAAGCTAGCCAAATATCCACTTGCAGATTCCACGAAAACAGTGTTTCAAAACTGCTCCTTCAAAACGATGGTTCAATCCTGTTAGTTGAGCAAACACATCACAAATAAGTTTCTGAGAATGCTTCCGTCTAGTTTTTATGGGAAGATATTTCCTTTTTCAACATAGGCCTGAAAGCGCTCCAAATGTCCATTTCCAGATACTACAAAAAGAGTGTTTCAAATCTGCTCTATGAATGGGAATGTTCTACTCTGTGACTTGAATGCAACATCCCAAAGAAGTTTCTGAGAATGCTTCTGTCTAGAGTTTATCTGAAGACATACCCGTTTCCAACGAAATCCTCAAAGCTATCCAAATATCCTCTTGCAGATTCTACAAAAAGTGTGTTTCAAAGCTGCTCTTTGCAAAGAAAGGTTCAACTCTGTCTGTAGAGGTCACACATCACGAACAAGTTTCTGAGAATGCTTCTGTCTAGTTTTTATGGGAAGATATTTCCTTTTTCACGTTAGGCCTGAAAGCACGCCAAATGTTCACTTATAGACACTACAAAAAGAGTGTTTCAAACCTGCTCTGTGAAAGGGAATGTTCAACACTGTGACTTCAATTGAAACATCCCAAAGAAGTTTCTGAGAATGCTTCCGTCTAGAGTTTATCTGAAGACATACCCGTTTCCAACGAAATCCTCAAAGCTATCCACATATCCTCTTGCAGATTCTACAAAAAGAGTGTTTCAAAGCTGCTCTTTGCAAAGAAAGGTTCAACTCTGTCAGTAGAGGGCACACATCACGAACAAGTTTCTGAGAATGCTTCTGTCTAGTTTTTATGGGAAGATATTTCCTTTTTCACGTTAGGCCTGAAAGCACGCCAAATGTTCAATTATAGACACTACAAAAAGAGTGTTTCAAACCTGCTCTGTGAAAGGGAATGTTCAACACTGTGACTTCAATTGAAACATCCCAAAGAAGTTTCTGAGAATGCTTCTGTCTAGAGTTTATCTGAAGACATTCCCGTTTCCCAAGAAATCCTCAAAGCTATCCAAATATCCTCTTGCAGATTCTACAAAAAGAGTGTTTCAAAACTGCTCTTTGCAAAGAAAGGTTCAACTCTGTCAGTAGAGGGCACACATCACAAACAAGTTTCTGAGAATGCTTCTGTCTAGTTTTTATGGGAAGATATTTCCTTTTTCACCTTAGGCCTGAAAGCAATCCAAATGTTCACTTACAGACACTACAAAAAGAGTGTTTCAAACCTGCTCTGTGAAAGGGAGTGTTCAGTTCTGTGACTTGAATGCAAACATCACAAAGTAGTTTCTGACAATGCTGCTGTCTGCTTTTTATACGGTATTCCCGTTTCCAACGAAATCCTCCAAGCTGGCCTAATACCCACTTTCATATTCCACAAAAAGAGTGTTTCAAAACTGCTCTCTCAAAAGAAAGGTTCAACTCTGTTTGCTGAGTAGATACATCATGAAAAAAGTTCTGACATTGCTTCTATCTAGTTTTTATTGGAAGATATCTCCTTTTTCACCGTAGACCTGAAAGCGCTCCAAATGTCCACTTCCAGATAGTACAAAAAGAGTGCTTCAAACCTGCTCTATGAATGGGAATGTTCAACACTGGGACTTCAATTGAAACATCCCAAAGCAGTTTCTGAGAATGCTTCTGTGTAGAGTTTACATGAAGACATTCCCGTTTCCAACGAAATCCTCAAAGCTATCCAAATATCCTCTTGCAGATTTTACAAAAAGTGTGTTTCAGAACTGCTCTATCAAAACAAAGGTTCAACACTGTCAGTTGAGGGCACACATCACAAATAAGTTTCTGAGAATGCTTCTGTCTAGTTTTCATGGGAAGATATTTCCTTTTTCACCATAGGCCTGAAAGCGATCCAAATGTCCACATCCAGATACTACAAAAAGAGTGTTTCAAACCTGCTCTATGAAAGGGAATGTTCAACTCTGTGACTTGAATGCAAACATCACAAAGAAGTTTCTGAGAATGCTGCTGTCTGCTTTTTGTATGTAATCCCGTTTCCAACGAAATCCTCCCAGCTAGCCAAATATCCACTTGCAGATTCCGCAAAAAGAGTGTTTCAAAACTGCTCCTTCAAAACGATGGTTTAGTTCTGTTAGTTGAGTACATACATCACAGATAAGTTTCTGAGAATGCTTCTGTCTAGTTTTTATGGGAGGATATTTCCTTTTTCAACACAAGCCTGAATGTGCTCCGAATGGACACTTCCAGATATGACAAAAGGCGTGTTTCAAACCTGCTCTCTCAAAGGGAATGTTCAACTCTGTGACTTCAATGCAAACATCACAAAGAAGTTTCTGAGAATGCTGCTGTCTGCTTTTTACATGTATTCCCGTTTCCAACGAAATCCTCAAAGCTGCCCTAATATCCACTTGCATATTCCACAAAAAGAGTGTTGCAAAACTGCTCTCTCAAAAGAAAGGTTCAACTCTGTTAGCTGAGTAGATCCATCACATAAAAGTTTCTGACATTGCTTCTATCTAGATTTTCTTGGAAGATATTTCCATTTTCACCGTCGTCCTGAAAGCGCTCCAAATGTCCACTTCCAGGGAATGCAGAAAGAGTGTTTCCAACCTGCTCTATAAAAGGGAATGTTCAACACTGGGACTTCAATCGAAACATCCCAACGAAGTTTCTGAGAATGCTTCTGTTTAGAGTTTATATGAAGCCATTCCCGTTTGCAACGAAATCCTCAAAGCTATCCAAATATCCTCTTGCAGATTTTACAAAAAGAGTGTTTCAAAACTGCTCTATCAAAAGAAAGGTTCAACTCTGTTAGTTGAGGGCACACATCACAAATATACTTCTGAGAATGCTTCTGTCTAGTTTTTACGGGAAGATATTTCCTTTTTCACCATAGGCCTGAAAGCGCTCCAAATGTCCTCATCCAGATACTACAAAAAGAGTGTTTCCAACCTGCTCTATGAAAGGGAATGCTCAACTCTGTGAATTGAATGCAGACATCACAAAGAAGTTTCTGGGAATGCTGCTGTCTCCTTTGTATATGTAATCCCGTTTCCAACGAAATCCTCAAAGCTAGCCAAATATCCACTTGCAGATTCCACGAAAACAGTGTTTCAAAACTGCTCCTTCAAAACGATGGTTCAATCCTGTTAGTTGAGCAAACACATCACAAATAAGTTTCTGAGAATGCTTCCGTCTAGTTTTTATGGGAAGATATTTCCTTTTTCAACATAGGCCTGAAAGCGCTCCAAATGTCCACTTCCAGATACTACAAAAAGAGTGTTTCAAATCTGCTCTATGAATGGGAATGTTCTACTCTGTGACTTGAATGCAACATCCCAAAGAAGTTTCTGAGAATGCTTCTGTCTAGAGTTTATCTGAAGACATACCCGTTTCCAACGAAATCCTCCAAGCTATCCAAATATCCTCTTGCAGATTCTACAAAAAGAGTGTTTCAAAGCTGCTCTTTGCAAAGAAAGGTTCAACTCTGTCAGTAGAGGGGACACATCAAGAACAAGTTTCTGAGAATGCTTCTGTCTAGTTTTTATGGGAAGATATTTCCTTTTTCACGTTACAACTGAAAGCACGCCAAATGTTCACTTATAGACACTACAAAAAGAGTGTTTCAAACCTGCTCTGTGAAAGGGAATGTTCAACACTGTGACTTCAATTGAAACATCCCAAAGAAGTTTCTGAGAATGCTTCTGTCTAGAGTTTATCTGAAGACATTCCCGTTTCCCAAGAAATCCTCAAAGCTATCCAAATATCCTCTTGCAGATTCTACAAAAAGAGTGTTTCAAAACTTCTCTTTGCAAAGAAAGGTTCAACTCTGTCAGTAGAGGGCACACATCACAAACAAGTTTCTGAGAATGCTTCTGTCTAGTTTTTATGGGAAGATATTTCCTTTTTCACCTTAGGCCTGAAAGCAATCCAAATGTTCACTTACAGACACTACAAAAAGAGTGTTTCAAACCTGCTCTGTGAAAGGGAGTGTTCAATTCTGTGACTTGAATGCAAACATCACAAAGTAGTTTCTGACAATGCTGCTGTCTGCTTTTTATACGTATTCCCGTTTCCAACGAAATCCTCCAAGCTGGCCTAATACCCACTTGCATATTCCACAAAAAGAGTGTTTCAAAACTGCTCTCTCAAAAGAAAGGTTCAACTCTGTTTGCTGAGTAGATACATCATGAAAAAAGTTCTGACATTGCTTCTATCTAGTTTTTATTGGAAGATATCTCCTTTTTCACCGTAGACCTGAAAGCGCTCCAAATGTCCACTTCCAGATAGTACAAAAAGAGTGTTTCAAACCTGCTCTATGAAAGGGAATGTTCAACACTGGGACTTCAATTGAAACATCCCAAAGCAGTTTCTGAGAATGCTTCTGTCCAGAGTTTACATGAAGACATTCCCGTTTCCAACGAAATCCTCAAAGCTATCCAAATATCCTCTTGCAGATTTTACAAAAAGTGTGTTTCAGAACTGCTCTATCAAAACAAAGGTTCAACACTGTCAGTTGAGGGCACACATCACAAATAAGTTTCTGAGAATGCTTCTGTCTAGTTTTCATGGGAAGATATTTCCTTTTTCACCATAGGCCTGAAAGCGATCCAAATGTCCACATCCAGATACTACAAAAAGAGTGTTTCCAACCTGCTCTATGAAAGGGAATGTTCAACTCTGTGACTTGAATGCAAACATCACAAAGAAGTTTCTGAGAATGCTGCTGTCTGCTTTTTGTATGTAATCCCGTTTCCAACGAAATCCTCCCAGCTAGCCAAATATCCACTTGCAGATTCCGCAAAAAGAGTGTTTCAAAACTGCTCCTTCAAAACGATGGTTTAGTTCTGTTAGTTGAGTACATACATCACAGATAAGTTTCTGAGAATGCTTCTGTCTAGTTTTTATGGGAGGATATTTCCTTTTTCAACACAAGCCTGAATGCGCTCCGAATGGACACTTCCAGATACGACAAAAGGCGTGTTTCAAACCTGCTCTCTCAAAGGGAATGTTCAACTCTGTGACTTCAATGCAAACATCACAAAGAAGTTTCTGAGAATGCTGCTGTCTGCTTTTTACATGTATTCCCGTTTCCAACGAAATCCTCAAAGCTGCCCTAATATCCACTTGCATATTCCACAAAAAGTGTGTTGCAAAACTGCTCTCTCAAAAGAAAGGTTCAACTCTGTTAGCTGAGTAGATCCATCACATAAAAGTTTCTGACGTTGCTTCTATCTAGATTTTCTTGGAAGATATTTCCATTTTCACCGTCGTCCTGAAAGCGCTCCAAATGTCCACTTCCAGGGAATGCAGAAAGAGTGTTTCCAACCTGCTCTATAAAAGGGAATGTTCAACACTGGGACTTCAATCGAAACATCCCAACGAAGTTTCTGAGAATGCTTCTGTCTAGAGTTTATATGAAGCCATTCCCGTTTGCAATGAAATCCTCAAAGCTATCCAAATATCCTCTTGCAGATTTTACAAAAAGAGTGTTTCAAAACTGCTCTATCAAAAGAAAGGTTCAACTCTGTTAGTTGAGGGCACACATCACAAATAAATTTCTGAGAATGCTTCTGTCTAGTTTTTACGGGAAGATATTTCCTTTTTCACCATACGCCTGAAAGCGCTCCAAATGTCCTCATCCAGATACTACAAAAAGAGTGTTTCCAACCTGCTCTATGAAAGGGAATGCTCAACTCTGTGACTTGAATGCAGACATCACAAAGAAGTTTCTGAGAATGCTGCTGTCTCCTTTTTATATGTAATCCCGTTTCCAACGAAATCCTCAAAGCTAGCCAAATATCCACTTGCAGATTCCACGAAAACAGTGTTTCAAAACTGCTCCTTTAAAACGATGGTTCAATTCTGTTAGTTGAGCAAACACATCACAAGTAAGTTTCTGAGAATGCTTCTGTCTAGTTTTTATGGGAAGATATTTCCTTTTTCACATTAGGCCTGAAAGCACGCCAAATGTTCACTTATAGACACTACAAAAAGAGTGTTTCAAACCTGCTCTGTGAAAGGGAATGTTCAACACTGTGACTTCAATTGAAACATCCCAAAGAAGTTTCTGAGAATGCTTCTGTCTAGAGTTTATCTGAAGACATACCCGTTTCCAACGAAATCCTCCAAGCTATCCAAATATCCTCTTGCAGATTCTACAAAAAGAGTGTTTCAAAGCTGCTCTTTGCAAAGAAAGGTTCAACTCTGTCAGTAGAGGGCACACATCATGAACAAGTTTCTGAGAATGCTTCTGTCTAGTTTTTATGGGAAGATATTTCCTTTTTCACGTTAGGCCTGAAAGCACGCCAAATGTTCACTTATACACACTACAAAAAGAGTGTTTCAAACCTGCTCTGTGAAAGGGAATGTTCAACACTGTGACTTCAATTGAAACATCCCAAAGAAGTTTCTGAGAATGCTTCTGTCTAGAGTTTATCTGAAGACATTCCCGTTTCCCAAGAAATCCTCAAAGCTATCCAAATATCCTCTTGCAGATTCTACAAAAAGAGTGTTTCAAAACTGCTCTTTGCAAAGAAAGGTTCAACTCTGTCAGTAGAGGGCACACATCACAAACAAGTTTCTGAGAATGCTTCTGTCTAGTTTTTATGGGAAGATATTTCCTTTTTCACCTTAGGCCTGAAAGCAATCCAAATGTTCACTTACAGACACTACAAAAAGAGTGTTTCAAACCTGCTCTGTGAAAGGGAGTGTTCAATTCTGTGACTTGAATGCAAACATCACAAAGTAGTTTCTGACAATGCTGCTGTCTGCTTTTTATACGTATTCCCGTTTCCAACGAAATCCTCCAAGCTGGCCTAATACCCACTTGCATATTCCACAGAAAGAGTGTTTCGAAACTGCTCTCTCAAAAGAAAGGTTCAACTCTGTTTGCTGAGTAGATACATCATGAAAAAAGTTCTGACATTGCTTCTATCTAGTTTTTATTGGAAGATATCTCCTTTTTCACCGTAGACCTGAAAGCGCTCCAAATGTCCACTTCCAGATAGTACAAAAAGAGTGTTTCAAACCTGCTCTATGAAAGGGAATGTTCAACACTGGGACTTCAATTGAAACATCCCAAAGCAGTTTCTGAGAATGCTTCTGTCTAGAGTTTACATGAAGACATTCCCGTTTCCAACGAAATCCTCAAAGCTATCCAAATATCCTCTTGCAGATTTTACAAAAAGTGTGTTTCAGAACTGCTCTATCAAAACAAAGGTTCAACACTGTCAGTTGAGGGCACACATCACAAATAAGTTTCTGAGAATGCTTCTGTCTAGTTTTCATGGGAAGATATTTCCTTTTTCACCATAGGCCTGAAAGCGATCCAAATGTCCACATCCAGATACTACAAAAAGAGTGTTTCAAACCTGCTCTATGAAAGGGAATGTTCAACTCTGTGACTTGAATGCAAACATCACAAAGAAGTTTCTGAGAATGCTGCTGTCTCCTTTTTATATGTAATCCCGTTTCCAACGAAATCCTCAAAGCTAGCCAAATATCCACTTGCAGATTCCACGAAAACAGTGTTTCAAAACTGCTCCTTCAAAACGATGTTTCAATTCTGTTAGTTGAGCAAACACATCACAAGTAAGTTTCTGAGAATGCTTCCGTCTAGTTTTTATGGGAAGATATTTCCTTTTTCAACATAGGCCTGAAAGCGCTCCAAATGTCCACTTCCAGATACTACAAAAAGAGTGTTTCAAATCTGCTCTATGAATGGGAATGTTCTACTCTGTGACTTGAATGCAACATCCCAAAGAAGTTTCTGAGAATGCTTCTGTCTAGAGTTTATCTGAAGACATACCCGTTTCCAACGAAATCCTCAAAGCTATCCAAATATCCTCTGGCAGATTCTACAAAAAGAGTGTTTCAAAGCTGCTCTTTGCAAAGAAAGGTTCAACTCTGTCAGTAGAGGGCACACATCACGAACAAGTTTCTGAGAATGCTTCTGTCTGGTTTTTATGGGAAGATATTTCCTTTTTCACGTTACGCCTGAAAGCACGCCAAATGTTCACTTATAGACACTACAAAAAGAGTGTTTCAAACCTGCTCTGTGAAAGGGAATGTTCAACACTGTGACTTCAATTGAAACATCCCAAAGAAGTTTCTGAGAATGCTTCTGTCTAGAGTTTATCTGAAGACATTCCCGTTTCCCAAGAAATCTTCAAAGCTATCCAAATATCCTCTTGCAGATTCTACAAAAAGAGTGTTTCAAAACTGCTCTTTGCAAAGAAAGGTTCAACTCTGTCAGTAGAGGGCACACATCACAAACAAGTTTCTGAGAATGCTTCTGTCTAGTTTTTATGGGAAGATATTTCCTTTTTCACCTTAGGCCTGAAAGCAATCCATATGTTCACTTACAGACACTACAAAAAGAGTGTTTCAAACCTGCTCTGTGAAAGGGAGTGTTCAATTCTGTGACTTGAATGCAAACATCACAAAGTAGTTTCTGACAATGCTGCTGTCTGCTTTTTATACGTATTCCCGTTTCCAACGAAATCCTCCAAGCTGGCCTAATACCCACTTGCATATTCCACAAAAAGAGTGTTTCAAAACTGCTCTCTCAAAAGAAAGGTTCAACTCTGTTAGCTGAGTAGATACATCATGAAAAAAGTTCTGACATTGCTTCTATCTAGTTTTTATTGGAAGATATCTCCTTTTTCACCGTAGACCTGAAAGCGCTCAAAATGTCCACTTCCAGATATTACAAAAAGAGTGTTTCAAACCTGCTCTATGAATGGGAATGTTCAACACTGGGACTTCAATTGAAACATCCCAAAGCAGTTTCTGAGAATGCTTCTGTGTAGAGTTTACATGAAGACATTCCCGTTTCCAACGAAATCCTCAAAGCTATCCAAATATCCTCTTGCAGATTTTACAAAAAGTGTGTTTCAGAACTGCTCTATCAAAACAAAGGTTCCACACTGTCAGTTGAGGGCACACATCACAAATAAGTTTCTGAGAATGCTTCTGTCTAGTTTTCATGGGAAGATATTTCCTTTTTCACCATAGGCCTGAAAGCGATCCAAATGTCCACATCCAGATACTACAAAAAGAGTGTTTCAAACCTGCTCTATGAAAGGGAATGTTCAACTCTGTGACTTGAATGCAAACATCACAAAGAAGTTTCTGAGAATGCTGCTGTCTGCTTTTTGTATGTAATCCCGTTTCCAACGAAATCCTCCCAGCTAGCCAAATATCCACTTGCAGATTCCGCAAAAAGAGTGTTTCAAAACTGCTCCTTCAAAACGATGGTTTAGTTCTGTTAGTTGAGTACATACATCACAGATAAGTTTCTGAGAATGCTTCTGTCTAGTTTTTATGGGAGGATATTTCCTTTTTCAACACAAGCCTGAATGCGCTCCGAATGGACACTTCCAGATATGACAAAAGGCGTGTTTCAAACCTGCTCTCTCAAAGGGAATGTTCAACTCTGTGACTTCAATGCAAACATCACAAAGAAGTTTCTGAGAATGCTGCTGTCTGCTTTTTACATGTATTCCCGTTTCCAACGAAATCCTCAAAGCTGCCCTAATATCCACTTGCATATTCCACAAAAAGAGTGTTGCAAAACTGCTCTCTCAAAAGAAAGGTTCAACTCTGTTAGCTGAGTAGATCCATCACAGAAAAGTTTCTGACATTGCTTCTATCTAGATTTTCTTGGAAGATATTTCCATTTTCACCGTCGTCCTGAAAGCGCTCCAAATGTCCACTTCCAGGGAATGCAGAAAGAGTGTTTCCAACCTGCTCTATAAAAGGGAATGTTCAACACTGGGACTTCAATCGAAACATCCCAACGAAGTTTCTGAGAATGCTTCTGTCTAGAGTTTATATGAAGCCATTCCCGTTTGCAACGAAATCCTCAAAGCTATCCAAATATCCTCTTGCAGATTTTACAAAAAGAGTGTTTCAAAACTGCTCTATCAAAAGAAAGGTTCAACTCTGTTAGTTGAGGGCACACATCACAAATAAACTTCTGAGAATGCTTCTGTCTAGTTTTTACGGGAAGATATTTCCTTTTTCACCATACGCCTGAAAGCGCTCCAAATGTCCTCATCCAGATACTACAAAAAGAGTGTTTCCAACCTGCTCTATGAAAGGGAATGCTCAACTCTGTGAATTGAATGCAGACATCACAAAGAAGTTTCTGAGAATGCTGCTGTCTCCTTTTTATATGTAATCCCATTTCCAACGAAATCCTCAAAGCTAGCCAAATATCCACTTGCAGATTCCACGAAAACAGTGTTTCAAAACTGCTCCTTCAAAACGATGGTTCAATCCTGTTAGTTGAGCAAACACATCACAAATAAGTTTCTGAGAATGCTTCCGTCTAGTTTTTATGGGAAGATATTTCCTTTTTCAACATAGGCCTGAAAGCGCTCCAAATGTCCACTTCCAGATACTACAAAAAGAGTGTTTCAAATCTGCTCTATGAATGGGAATGTTCTACTCTGTGACTTGAATGCAACATCCCAAAGAAGTTTCTGAGAATGCTTCTGTCTAGAGTTTATCTGAAGACATACCCGTTTCCAACGAAATCCTCCAAGCTATCCAAATATCCTCTTGCAGATTCTACAAAAAGTGTGTTTCAAAGCTGCTCTTTGCAAAGAAAGGTTCAACTCTGTCAGTAGAGGGCACACATCACGAACAAGTTTCTGAGAATGCTTCTGTCTAGTTTTTATGGGAAGATATTTCCTTTTTCACGTTAGGCCCTGAAAGCACGCCAAATGTTCACTTATAGACACTACAAAAAGAGTGTTTCAAACCTGCTCTGTGAAAGGGAATGTTCAACACTGTGACTTCAATTGAAACATCCCAAAGAAGTTTCTGAGAATGCTTCTGTCTAGAGTTTATCTGAAGACATTCCCGTTTCCCAAGAAATCTTCAAAGCTATCCAAATATCCTCTTGCAGATTCTACAAAAAGAGTGTTTCAAAACTGCTCTTTGCAAAGAAAGGTTCAACTCTGTCAGTAGAGGGCACACATCACAAACAAGTTTCTGAGAATGCTTCTGTCTAGTTTTTATGGGAAGATATTTCCTTTTTCACCTTAGGCCTGAAAGCAATCCATATGTTCACTTACAGACACTACAAAAAGAGTGTTTCAAACCTGCTCTGTGAAAGGGAGTGTTCAATTCTGTGACTTGAATGCAAACATCACAAAGTAGTTTCTGACAATGCTGCTGTCTGCTTTTTATACGTATTCCCGTTTCCAACGAAATCCTCCAAGCTGGCCTAATACCCACTTGCATATTCCACAAAAAGAGTGTTTCAAAACTGCTCTCTCAAAAGAAAGGTTCAACTCTGTTTGCTGAGTAGATACATCATGAAAAAAGTTCTGACATTGCTTCTATCTAGTTTTTATTGGAAGATATCTCCTTTTTCACCGTAGACCTGAAAGCGCTCCAAATGTCCACTTCCAGATAGTACAAAAAGAGTGTTTCAAACCTGCTCTATGAATGGGAATGTTCAACACTGGGACTTCAATTGAAACATCCCAAAGCAGTTTCTGAGAATGCTTCTGTCTAGAGTTTACATGAAGACATTCCCGTTTCCAACGAAATCCTCAAAGCTATCCAAATATCCTCTTGCAGATTTTACAAAAAGTGTGTTTCAGAACTGCTCTATCAAAACAAAGGTTCAACACTGTCAGTTGAGTGCACACATCACAAATAAGTTTCTGAGAATGCTTCTGTCTAGTTTTCATGGGAAGATATTTCCTTTTTCACCATAGGCCTGAAAGCGATCCAAATGTCCACATCCAGATACTACAAAAAGAGTGTTTCCAACCTGCTCTATGAAAGGGAATGCTCAACTCTGTGAATTGAATGCAGACAT
Organism: Homo sapiens; assembly: GCF_000001405.40. Classification (NCBI taxonomy): domain Eukaryota; kingdom Metazoa; phylum Chordata; class Mammalia; order Primates; family Hominidae; genus Homo; species Homo sapiens. The sequence goes on along the minus strand of NC_000020.11, from coordinate 27,009,821 downwards.
CACAAAGAAGTTTCTGAGAATGCTGCTGTCTCCTTTTTATATGTAATCCCGTTTCCAACGAAATCCTCAAAGCTAGCCAAATATCCACTTGCAGATTCCACGAAAACAGTGTTTCAAAACTGCTCCTTCAAAACGATGGTTCAATCCTGTTAGTTGAGCAAACACATCACAATTAAGTTTCTGAGAATGCTTCCGTCTAGTTTTTATGGGAAGATATTTCCTTTTTCAACATAGGCCTGAAAGCGCTCCAAATGTCCACTTCCAGATACTACAAAAAGAGTGTTTCAAATCTGCTCTATGAATGGGAATGTTCTACTCTGTGACTTGAATGCAACATCCCAAAGAAGTTTCTGAGAATGCTTCTGTCTAGAGTTTATCTGAAGACATACCCGTTTCCAACGAAATCCTCAAAGCTATCCAAATATCCTCTTGCAGATTCTACAAAAAGTGTGTTTCAAAGCTGCTCTTTGCAAAGAAAGGTTCAACTCTGTCAGTAGAGGGCACACATCACGAACAAGTTTCTGAGAATACTTCTGTCTAGTTTTTATGGGAAGATATTTCCTTTTTCACGTTAGGCCTGAAAGCACGCCAAATGTTCACTTATAGACACTACAAAAAGAGTGTTTGAAACCTGCTCTGTGAAAGGGAATGTTCAACACTGTGACTTCAATTGAAACATCCCAAAGAAGTTTCTGAGAATGCTTCTGTCTAGAGTTTATCTGAAGACATTCCCGTTTCCCAAGAAATCCTCAAAGCTATCCAAATATCCTCTTGCAGATTCTACAAAAAGAGTGTTTCAAAACTGCTCCTTTGCAAAGAAAGGTTCAACTCTGTCAGTAGAGGGCACACATCACAAACAAGTTTCTGAGAATGCTTCTGTCTAGTTTTTATGGGAAGATATTTCCTTTTTCACCTTAGGCCTGAAAGCAATCCAAATGTTCACTTACAGACACTACAAAAAGAGTGTTTCAAACCTGCTCTGTGAAAGGGAGTGTTCAATTCTGTGACTTGAATGCAAACATCACAAAGTAGTTTCTGACAATGCTGCTGTCTGCTTTTTATACGTATTCCCGTTTCCAACGAAATCCTCCAAGCTGGCCTAATACCCACTTGCATATTCCACAAAAAGAGTGTTTCAAAACTGCTCTCTCAAAAGAAAGGTTCAACTCTGTTTGCTGAGTAGATACATCATGAAAAAAGTTCTGACATTGCTTCTATCTAGTTTTTATTGGAAGATATCTCCTTTTTCACCGTAGACCTGAAAGCGCTCCAAATGTCCACTTCCAGATAGTAGAAAAAGAGTGTTTCAAACCTGCTCTATGAATGGGAATGTTCAACACTGGGACTTCAATTGAAACATCCCAAAGCAGTTTCTGAGAATGCTTCTGTGTAGAGTTTACATGAAGACATTCCCGTTTCCAACGAAATCCTCAAAGCTATCCAAATATCCTCTTGCAGATTTTACAAAAAGTGTGTTTCAGAACTGCTCTATCAAAACAAAGGTTCAACACTGTCAGTTGAGGGCACACATCACAAATAAGTTTCTGAGAATGCTTCTGTCTAGTTTTCATGGGAAGATATTTCCTTTTTCACCATAGGCCTGAAAGCGATCCAAATGTCCACATCCAGATACTACAAAAAGAGTGTTTCAAACCTGCTCTATGAAAGGGAATGTTCAACTCTGTGACTTGAATGCAAACATCACAAAGAAGTTTCTGAGAATGCTGCTGTCTGCTTTTTGTATGTAATCCCGTTTCCAACGAAATCCTCCCAGCTAGCCAAATATCCACTTGCAGATTCCGCAAAAAGAGTGTTTCAAAACTGCTCCTTCAAAACGATGGTTTAGTTCTGTTAGTTGAGTACATACATCACAGATAAGTTTCTGAGAATGCTTCTGTCTAGTTTTTCTGGGAGGATATTTCCTTTTTCAACACAAGCCTGAATGCGCTCCGAATGGACACTTCCAGATATGACAAAAGGCGTGTTTCAAACCTGCTCTCTCAAAGGGAATGTTCAACTCTGTGACTTCAATGCAAACATCACAAAGAAGTTTCTGAGAATGCTGCTGTCTGCTTTTTACATGTATTCCCGTTTCCAACGAAATCCTCAAAGCTGCCCTAATATCCACTTGCATATTCCACAAAAAGAGTGTTGCAAAACTGCTCTCTCAAAAGAAAGGTTCAACTCTGTTAGCTGAGTAGATCCATCACATAAAAGTTTCTGACATTGCTTCTATCTAGATTTTCTTGGAAGATATTTCCATTTTCACCGTCGTCCTGAAAGCGCTCCAAATGTCCACTTCCAGGGAATGCAGAAAGAGTGTTTCCAACCTGCTCTATAAAAGGGAATGTTCAACACTGGGACTTCAATCGAAACATCCCAACGAAGTTTCTGAGAATGCTTCTGTCTAGAGTTTATATGAAGCCATTCCCGTTTGCAACGAAATCCTCAAAGCTATCCAAATATCCTCTTGCAGATTTTACAAAAAGAGTGTTTCAAAACTGCTCTATCAAAAGAAAGGTTCAACTCTGTTAGTTGAGGGCACACATCACAAATAAATTTCTGAGAATGCTTCTGTCTAGTTTTTACGGGAAGATATTTCCTTTTTCACCATACGCCTGAAAGCGCTCCAAATGTCCTCATCCAGATACTACAAAAAGAGTGTTTCCAACCTGCTCTATGAAAGGGAATGCTCAACTCTGTGACTTGAATGCAGACATCACAAAGAAGTTTCTGAGAATGCTGCTGTCTCCTTTTTATATGTAATCCCGTTTCCAACGAAATCCTCAAAGCTAGCCAAATATCCACTTGCAGATTCAACGAAAACAGTGTTTCAAAACTGCTCCTTCAAAACGATGGTTCAATTCTGTTAGTTGAGCAAACACATCACAAGTAAGTTTCTGAGAATGCTTCCGTCTAGTTTTTATGGGAAGATATTTCCTTTTTCAACATAGGCCTGAAAGCAGCTCCAAATGTCCACTTCCAGATACTACAAAAAGAGTGTTTCAAATCTGCTCTATGAATGGGAATGTTCTACTCTGTGACTTGAATGCAACATCCCAAAGAAGTTTCTGAGAATGCTTCTGTCTAGAGTTTATCTGAAGACATACCCGTTTCCAACGAAATCCTCAAAGCTATCCAAATATCTTCTTGCAGATTCTACAAAAAGAGTGTTTCAAAGCTGCTCTTTGCAAAGAAAGGTTCAACTCTGTCAGTAGAGGGGACACATCAAGAACAAGTTTCTGAGAATGCTTCTGTCTAGTTTTTATGGGAAGATATTTCCTTTTTCACCTTAGGCCTGAAAGCACGCCAAATGTTCACTTATAGACACTACAAAAAGAGTGTTTCAAACCTGCTCTGTGAAAGGGAGTGTTCAATTCTGTGACTTGAATGCAAACATCACAAAGTAGTTTCTGACAATGCTGCTGTCTGCTTTTTATACGTATTCCCGTTTCCAACGAAATCCTCCAAGCTGGCCTAATACCCACTTGCATATTCCACAAAAAGAGTGTTTCAAAACTGCTCTCTCAAAAGAAAGGTTCAACTCGGTTAGCTGAGTAGATACATCATGAAAAAAGTTCTGACATTGCTTCTATCTAGTTTTTATTGGAAGATATCTCCTTTTTCACCGTAGACCTGAAAGCGCTCCAAATGTCCACTTCCAGATAGTACAAAAAGAGTGTTTCAAACCTGCTCTATGAATGGGAATGTTCAACACTGGGACTTCAATTGAAACATCCCAAAGCAGTTTCTGAGAATGCTTCTGTGTAGAGTTTACATGAAGACATTCCCGTTTCCAACGAAATCCTCAAAGCTATCCAAATATCCTCTTGCAGATTTTACAAAAAGTGTGTTTCAGAACTGCTCTATCAAAACAAAGGTTCAACACTGTCAGTTGAGGGCACACATCACAAATAAGTTTCTGAGAATGCTTCTGTCTAGTTTTCATGGGAAGATATTTCCTTTTTCACCATAGGCCTGAAAGCGATCCAAATGTCCACATCCAGATACTACAAAAAGAGTGTTTCAAACCTGCTCTATGAAAGGGAATGTTCAACTCTGTGACTTGAATGCAAACATCACAAAGAAGTTTCTGAGAATGCTGCTGTCTGCTTTTTGTATGTAATCCCGTTTCCAACGAAATCCTCCCAGCTAGCCAAATATCCACTTGCAGATTCCGCAAAAAGAGTGTTTCAAAACTGCTCCTTCAAAACGATGGTTTAGTTCTGTTAGTTGAGTACATACATCACAGATAAGTTTCTGAGAATGCTTCTGTCTAGTTTTTATGGGAGGATATTTCCTTTTTCAACACAAGCCTGAATGCGCTCTGAATGGACACTTCCAGATATGACAAAAGGCGTGTTTCAAACCTGCTCTCTCAAAGGGAATGTTCAACTCTGTGACTTCAATGCAAACATCACAAAGAAGTTTCTGAGAATGCTGCTGTCTGCTTTTTACATGTATTCCCGTTTCCAACGAAATCCTCAAAGCTGCCCAAATATCCACTTGCATATTCCACAAAAAGAGTGTTGCAAAACTGCTCTCTCAAAAGAAAGGTTCAACTCTGTTAGCTGAGTAGATCCATCACATAAAAGTTTCTGACATTGCTTCTATCTAGATTTTCTTGGAAGATATTTCCATTTTCACCGTCGTCCTGAAAGCGCTCCAAATGTCCACTTCCAGGGAATGCAGAAAGAGTGTTTCCAACCTGCTCTATAAAAGGGAATGTTCAACACTGGGACTTCAATCGAAACATCCCAACGAAGTTTCTGAGAATGCTTCTGTCTAGAGTTTATATGAAGCCATTCCCGTTTGCAACGAAATCCTCAAAGCTATCCAAATATCCTCTTGCAGATTTTACAAAAAGAGTGTTTCAAAACTGCTCTATCAAAAGAAAGGTTCAACTCTGTTAGTTGAGGGCACACATCACAAATAAATTTCTGAGAATGCTTCTGTCTAGTTTTTACGGGAAGATATTTCCTTTTTCACCATACGCCTGAAAGCTCTCCAAATGTCCTCATCCAGATACTACAAAAAGAGTGTTTCCAACCTGCTCTATGAAAGAGAATGCTCAACTCTGTGACTTGAATGCAGACATCACAAAGAAGTTTCTGAGAATGCTGCTGTCTCCTTTTTATATGTAATCCCGTTTCCAACGAAATCCTCAAAGCTAGCCAAATATCCACTTGCAGATTCCACGAAAACAGTGTTTCAAAACTGCTCCTTCAAAACGATGGTTCAATTCTGTTAGTTGAGCAAACACATCACAAGTAAGTTTCTGAGAATGCTTCCGTCTAGTTTTTATGGGAAGATATATCCTTTTTCAACATAGGCCTGAAAGCGCTCCAAATGTCCACTTCCAGATACTACAAAAAGAGTGTTTCAAATCTGCTCTATGAATGGGAATGTTCTACTCTGTGACTTGCATGCAACATCCCAAAGAAGTTTCTGAGAATGCTTCTGTCTAGAGTTTATCTGAAGACATACCCGTTTCCAACGAAATCCTCAAAGCTATCCAAATATCCTCTTGCAGATTCTACAAAAAGAGTGTTTCAAAGCTGCTCTTTGCAAAGAAAGGTTCAACTCTGTCAGTAGAGGGCACACATCACGAACAAGTTTCTGAGAATGCTTCTGTCTAGTTTTTATGGGAAGATATTTCCTTTTTCACGTTAGGCCTGAAAGCACGCCAAATGTTCACTTATAGACACTACAAAAAGAGTGTTTCAAACCTGCTCTGTGAAAGGGAATGTTCAACACTGTGACTTCAATTGAAACATCCCAAAGAAGTTTCTGAGAATGCTTCTGTCTAGAGTTTATCTGAAGACATTCCCGTTTCCCAAGAAATCCTCAAAGCTATCCAAATATCCTCTTGCAGATTCTACAAGAAGAGTGTTTCAAAACTGCTCTTTGCAAAGAAAGGTTCAACTCTGTCAGTAGAGGGCACACATCACAAACAAGTTTCTGAGAATGCTTCTGTCTAGTTTTTATGGGAAGATATTTCCTTTTTCACCTTAGGCCTGAAAGCAATCCAAATGTTCACTTACAGACACTACAAAAAGAGTGTTTCAAACCTGCTCTGTGAAAGGGAGTGTTCAATTCTGTGACTTGAATGCAAACATCACAAAGTAGTTTCTGACAATGCTGCTGTCTGCTTTTTATACGTATTCCCGTTTCCAACGAAATCCTCCAAGCTGGCCTAATACCCACTTGCATATTCCACAAAAAGAGTGTTTCAAAACTGCTCTCTCAAAAGAAAGGTTCAACTCTGTTTGCTGAGTAGATACATCATGAAAAAAGTTCTGACATTGCTTCTATCTAGTTTTTATTGGAAGATATCTCCTTTTTCACCGTAGACCTGAAAGCGCTCCAAATGTCCACTTCCAGATAGTACAAAAAGAGTGTTTCAAACCTGCTCTATGAAAGGGAATGTTCAACACTGGGACTTCAATTGAAACATCCCAAAGCAGTTTCTGAGAATGCTTCTGTCTAGAGTTTACATGAAGACATTCCCGTTTCCACCGAAATCCTCAAAGCTATCCAAATATCCTCTTGCAGATTTTACAAAAAGTGTGTTTCAGAACTGCTCTATCAAAACAAAGGTTCAACACTGTCAGTTGAGGGCACACATCACAAATAAGTTTCTGAGAATGCTGCTGTCTGCTTTTTCTATGTAATCCCGTTTCCAACGAAATCCTCCCAGCTAGCCAAATATCCACTTGCAGATTCCGCAAAAAGAGTGTTTCAAAACTGCTCCTTCAAAACGATGGTTTAGTTCTGTTAGTTGAGTACATATATCACAAATAAGTTTCTGAGAATGCTTCTGTATAGTTTTTATGGGAGGATATTTCCTTTTTCAACACAAGCCTGAATGCGCTCCGAATGGACACTTCCAGATATGACAAAAGGCGTGTTTCAAACCTGCTCTCTCAAAGGGAATGTTCAACTCTGTGACTTCAATGCAAACATCACAAAGAGGTTTCTGAGAATGCTGCTGTCTGCTTTTTACATGTATTCCCGTTTCCAACGAAATCCTCAAAGCTGCCCTAATATCCACTTGCATATTCCACAAAAAGAGTGTTGCAAAACTGCTCTCTCAAAAGAAAGGTTCAACTCTGTTAGCTGAGTAGATCCATCACATAAAAGTTTCTGACATTGCTTCTATCTAGATTTTCTTGGAAGATATTTCCATTTTCACCGTCGTCCTGAAAGCGCTCCAAATGTCCACTTCCAGGGAATGCAAAAAGAGTGTTTCCAACCTGCTCTATAAAAGGGAATGTTCAACACTGGGACTTCAATCGAAACATCCCAACGAAGTTTCTGAGAATGCTTCTGTCTAGAGTTTATATGAAGCCATTCCCGTTTGCAACGAAATCCTCAAAGCTATCCAAATATCCTCTTGCAGATTTTACAAAAAGAGTGTTTCAAAACTGCTCTATCAAAAGAAAGGTTCAACTCTGTTAGTTGAGGGCACACATCACAAATAAACTTCTGAGAATGCTTCTGTCTAGTTTTTACGGGAAGATATTTCCTTTTTCACCATACGCCTGAAAGCGCTCCAAATGTCCTCATCCAGATACTACAAAAAGAGTGTTTCCAACCTGCTCTATGAAAGGGAATGCTCAACTCTGTGAATTGAATGCAGACATCACAAAGAAGTTTCTGAGAATGCTGCTGTCTCCTTTGTATATGTAATCCCGTTTCCAACGAAATCCTCAAAGCTAGCCAAATATCCACTTGCAGATTCCACGAAAACAGTGTTTCAAAACTGCTCCTTCAAAACGATGGTTCAATCCTGTTAGTTGAGCAAACACATCACAAATAAGTTTCTGAGAATGCTTCCGTCTAGTTTTTATGGGAAGATATTTCCTTTTTCAACATAGGCCTGAAAGCGCTCCAAATGTCCACTTCCAGATACTACAAAAAGAGTGTTTCAAATCTGCTCTATGAATGGGAATGTTCTACTCTGTGACTTGAATGCAACATCCCAAAGAAGTTTCTGAGAATGCTTCTGTCTAGAGTTTATCTGAAGACATACCCGTTTCCAACGAAATCCTCAAAGCTATCCAAATATCCTCTTGCAGATTCTACAAAAAGTGTGTTTCAAAGCTGCTCTTTGCAAAGAAAGGTTCAACTCTGTCAGTAGAGGGCACACATCACGAACAAGTTTCTGAGAATGCTTATCTGTCTAGTTTTTATGGGAAGATATTTCCTTTTTCACGTTAGGCCTGAAGCACGCCAAATGTTCACTTATAGACACTACAAAAAGAGTGTTTCAAACCTGCTCTGTGAAAGGGAATGTTCAACACTGTGACTTCAATTGAAACATCCCAAAGAAGTTTCTGAGAATGCTTCTGTCTAGAGTTTATCTGAAGACATACCCGTTTCCAACGAAATCCTCAAAGCTATCCACATATCCTCTTGCAGATTCTACAAAAAGAGTGTTTCAAAGCTGCTCTTTGCAAAGAAAGATTCAACTCTGTCAGTAGAGGGCACACATCACGAACAAGTTTCTGAGAATGCTTCTGTCTAGTTTTTATGGGAAGATATTTCCTTTTTCACGTTAGGCCTGAAAGCACGCCAAATGTTCAATTATAGACACTACAAAAAGAGTGTTTCAAACCTGCTCTGTGAAAGGGAATGTTCAACACTGTGACTTCAATTGAAACATCCCAAAGAAGTTTCTGAGAATGCTTCTGTCTAGAGTTTATCTGAAGACATTCCCGTTTCCCAAGAAATCCTCAAAGCTATCCAAATATCCTCTTGCAGATTCTACAAAAAGAGTGTTTCAAAACTGGTCTTTGCAAAGAAAGGTTCAACTCTGTCAGTAGAGGGCACACATCACAAACAAGTTTCTGAGAATGTTTCTGTCTAGTTTTTATGGGAAGATATTTCCTTTTTCACCTTAGGCCTGAAAGCAATCCAAATGTTCACTTACAGACACTACAAAAAGAGTGTTTCAAACCTGCTCTGTGAAAGGGAGTGTTCAGTTCTGTGACTTGAATGCAAACATCACAAAGTAGTTTCTGACAATGCTGCTGTCTGCTTTTTATACGTATTCCCGTTTCCAACGAAATCCTCCAAGCTGGCCTAATACCCACTTGCATATTCCACAAAAAGAGTGTTTCAAAACTGCTCTCTCAAAAGAAAGGTTCAACTCTGTTTGCTGAGTAGATACATCATGAAAAAAGTTCTGACATTGCTTCTATCTAGTTTTTATTGGAAGATATCTCCTTTTTCACCGTAGACCTGAAAGCGCTCCAAATGTCCACTTCCAGATAGTACAAAAAGAGTGTTTCAAACCTGCTCTATGAATGGGAATGTTCAACACTGGGACTTCAATTGAAACATCCCAAAGCAGTTTCTGAGAATGCTTCTGTGTAGAGTTTACATGAAGACATTCCCGTTTCCAACGAAATCCTCAAAGCTATCCAAATATCCTCTTGCAGATTTTACAAAAAGTGTGTTTCAGAACTGCTCTATCAAAACAAAGGTTCAACACTGTCAGTTGAGGGCACACATCACAAATAAGTTTCTGAGAATGCTTCTGTCTAGTTTTCATGGGAAGATATTTCCTTTTTCACCATAGGCCTGAAAGCGATCCAAATGTCCACATCCAGATACTACAAAAAGAGTGTTTCAAACCTGCTCTATGGAAGGGAATGTTCAACTCTGTGACTTGAATGCAAACATCACAAAGAAGTTTCTGAGAATGCTGCTGTCTGCTTTTTGTATGTAATCCCGTTTCCAACGAAATCCTCCCAGCTAGCCAAATATCCACTTGCAGATTCCGCAAAAAGAGTGTTTCAAAACTGCTCCTTCAAAACGATGGTTTAGTTCTGTTAGTTGAGTACATACATCACAGATAAGTTTCTGAGAATGCTTCTGTCTAGTTTTTATGGGAGGATATTTCCTTTTTCAACACAAGCCTGAATGCGCTCCGAATGGACACTTCCAGATATGACAAAAGGCGTGTTTCAAACCTGCTCTCTCAAAGGGAATGTTCAACTCTGTGACTTCAATGCAAACATCACAAAGAAGTTTCTGAGAATGCTGCTGTCTGCTTTTTACATGTATTCCCGTTTCCAACGAAATCCTCAAAGCTGCCCTAATATCCACTTGCATATTCCACAAAAAGAGTCTTGCAAAACTGCTCTCTCAAAAGAAAGGTTCAACTCTGTTAGCTGAGTAGATCCATCACATAAAAGTTTCTGACATTGCTTCTATCTAGATTTTCTTGGAAGATATTTCCATTTTCACCGTCGTCCTGAAAGCGCTCCAAATGTCCACTTCCAGGGAATGCAGAAAGAGTGTTTCCAACCTGCTCTATAAAAGGGAATGTTCAACACTGGGACTTCAATCGAAACATCCCAACGAAGTTTCTGAGAATGCTTCTGTCTAGAGTTTATATGAAGCCATTCCCGTTTGCAACGAAATCCTCAAAGCTATCCAAATATCCTCTTGCAGATTTTACAAAAAGAGTGTTTCAAAACTGCTCTATCAAAAGAAAGGTTCAACTCTGTTAGTTGAGGGCACACATCACAAATAAATTTCTGAGAATGCTTCTGTCTAGTTTTTACGGGAAGATATTTCCTTTTTCACCATACGCCTGAAAGCGCTCCAAATGTCCTCATCCAGATACTACAAAAAGAGTGTTTCCAACCTGCTCTATGAAAGGGAATGCTCAACTCTGTGACTTGAATGCAGACAGCACAAAGAAGTTTCTGAGAATGCTGCTGTCTCCTTTTTATATGTAATCCCGTTTCCAACGAAATCCTCAAAGCTAGCCAAATATCCACTTGCAGATTCCACGAAAACAGTGTTTCAAAACTGCTCCTTCAAAACGATGGTTCAATTCTGTTAGTTGAGCAAACACATCACAAGTAAGTTTCTGAGAATGCTTCCGTCTAGTTTTTATGGGAAGATATTTCCTTTTTCAACATAGGCCTGAAAGCGCTCCAAATGTCCACTTCCAGATACTACAAAAAGAGTGTTTCAAATCTGCTCTATGAATGGGAATGTTCTACTCTGTGACTTGAATGCAACATCCCAAAGAAGTTTCTGAGAATGCTTCTGTCTAGAGTTTATCTGAAGACATACCCGTTTCCAACGAAATCCTCAAAGCTATCCAAATATCCTCTTGCAGATTCTACAAAAAGAGTGTTTCAAAGCTGCTCTTTGCAAAGAAAGGTTCAACTCTGTCAGTAGAGGGGACACATCAAGAACAAGTTTCTGAGAATGCTTCTGTCTGGTTTTTATGGGAAGATATTTCCTTTTTCACGTTACGCCTGAAAGCACGCCAAATGTTCACTTATAGACACTACAAAAAGAGTGTTTCAAACCTGCTCTGTGAAAGGGAATGTTCAACACTGTGACTTCAATTGAAACATCCCAAAGAAGTTTCTGAGAATGCTTCTGTCTAGAGTTTATCTGAAGACATTCCCGTTTCCCAAGAAATCCTCAAAGCTATCCAAATATCCTCTTGCAGATTCTACAAAAAGAGTGTTTCAAAACTGCTCTTTGCAAAGAAAGGTTCAACTCTGTCAGTAGAGGGCACACATCAAGAACAAGTTTCTGAGAATGCTTCTGTCTAGTTTTTATGGGAAGATATTTCCTTTTTCACGTTAGGCCTGAAAGCACGCCAAATGTTCACTTATAGACACTACAAAAAGAGGGTTTCAAACCTGCTCTATGAAAGGGAATGTTCAACACTGGGACTTCAATTGAAACATCCCAAAGCAGTTTCTGAGAATGCTTCTGTCTAGAGTTTATCTGAAGACATTCCCGTTTCCCAAGAAATCCTCAAAGCTATCCAAATATCCTCTTCCAGATTCTACAAAAAGAGTGTTTCAAAACTGCTCTTTGCAAAGAAAGGTTCAACTCTGTCAGTAGAGGGCACACATCACAAACAAGTTTCTGAGAATGCTTCTGTCTAGTTTTTATGGGAAGATATTTCCTTTTTCACCTTAGGCCTGAAAGCAATCCAAATGTTCACTTACAGACACTACAAAAAGAGTGTTTCAAACCTGCTCTGTGAAAGGGAGTGTTCAATTCTGTGACTTGAATGCAAACATCACAAAGTAGTTTCTGACAATGCTGCTGTCTGCTTTTTATACGTATTCCCGTTTCCAACGAAATCCTCCAAGCTGGCCTAATACCCACTTGCATATTCCACAAAAAGAGTGTTTCAAAACTGCTCTCTCAAAAGAAAGGTTCAACTCTGTTTGCTGAGTAGATACATCATGAAAAAAGTTCTGACATTGCTTCTATCTAGTTTTTATTGGAAGATATCTCCTTTTTCACCGTAGACCTGAAAGCGCTCCAAATGTCCACTTCCAGATAGTACAAAAAGAGTGTTTCAAACCTGCTCTATGAAAGGGAATGTTCAACACTGGGACTTCAATTGAAACATCCCAAAGCTGTTTCTGAGAATGCTTCTGTGTAGAGTTTACATGAAGACATTCCCGTTTCCAACGAAATCCTCAAAGCTATCCAAATATCCTCTTGCAGATTTTACAAAAAGTGTGTTTCAGAAGTGCTCTATCAAAACAAAGGTTCAACACTGTCAGTTGAGGGCACACATCACAAATAAGTTTCTGAGAATGCTTCTGTCTAGTTTTCATGGGAAGATATTTCCTTTTTCACCATAGGCCTGAAAGCGATCCAAATGTCCACATCCAGATACTACAAAAAGAGTGTTTCAAACCTGCTCTATGAAAGGGAATGTTCAACTCTGTGACTTGAATGCAAACATCACAAAGAAGTTTCTGAGAATGCTGCTGTCTGCTTTTTGTATGTAATCCCGTTTCCAACGAAATCCTCCCAGCTAGCCAAATATCCACTTGCAGATTCCGCAAAAAGAGTGTTTCAAAACTGCTCCTTCAAAACGATGGTTTAGTTCTGTTAGTTGAGTACATACATCACAGATAAGTTTCTGAGAATGCTTCTGTCTAGTTTTTATGGGAGGATATTTCCTTTTTCAACACAAGCCTGAATGCGCTCCGAATGGACACTTCCAGATATGACAAAAGGCGTGTTTCAAACCTGCTCTCTCAAAGGGAATGTTCAACTCTGTGACTTCAATGCAAACATCACAAAGAAGTTTCTGAGAATGCTGCTGTCTGCTTTTTACATGTATTCCCGTTTCCAACGAAATCCTCAAAGCTGCCCTAATATCCACTTGCATATTCCACAAAAAGAGTGTTGCAAAACTGCTCTCTCAAAAGAAAGGTTCAACTCTGTTAGCTGAGTAGATCCATCACATAAAAGTTTCTGACATTGCTTCTATCTAGATTTTCTTGGAAGATATTTCCATTTTCACCGTCGTCCTGAAAGCGCTCCAAATGTCCACTTCCAGGGAATGCAGAAAGAGTGTTTCCAACCTGCTCTATAAAAGGGAATGTTCAACACTGGGACTTCAATCGAAACATCCCAACGAAGTTTCTGAGAATGCTTCTGTCTAGAGTTTATATGAAGCCATTCCCGTTTGCAACGAAATCCTCAAAGCTATCCAAATATCCTCTTGCAGATTTTACAAAAAGAGTGTTTCAAAACTGCTCTATCAAAAGAAAGGTTCAACTCTGTTAGTTGAGGGCACACATCACAAATAAATTTCTGAGAATGCTTCTGTCTAGTTTTTACGGGAAGATATTTCCTTTTTCACCATAGGCCTGAAAGCGCTCCAAATGTCCTCATCCAGATACTACAAAAAGAGTGTTTCCAACCTGCTCTATGAAAGGGAATGCTCAACTCTGTGAATTGAATGCAGACATCACAAAGAAGTTTCTGAGAATGCTGCTGTCTCCTTTTTATATGTAATCCCGTTTCCAACGAAATCCTCAAAGCTAGCCAAATATCCACTTGCAGATTCCACGAAAACAGTGTTTCAAAACTGCTCCTTCAAAACGATGGTTCAATCCTGTTAGTTGAGCAAACACATCACAAATAAGTTTCTGAGAATGCTTCCGTCTAGTTTTTATGGGAAGATATTTCCTTTTTCAACATAGGCCTGAAAGCGCTCCAAATGTCCACTTCCAGATACTGCAAAAAGAGTGTTTCAAATCTGCTCTATGAATGGGAATGTTCTACTCTGTGACTTGAATGCAACATCCCAAAGAAGTTTCTGAGAATGCTTCTGTCTAGAGTTTATCTGAAGACATACCCGTTTCCAACGAAATCCTCCAAGCTATCCAAATATCCTCTTGCAGATTCTACAAAAAGTGTGTTTCAAAGCTGCTCTTTGCAAAGAAAGGTTCAACTCTGTCAGTAGAGGGCACACATCACGAACAAGTTTCTGAGAATGCTTCTGTCTAGTTTTTATGGGAAGATATTTCCTTTTTCACGTTACGCCTGAAAGCACGCCAAATGTTCACTTATAGACACTACAAAAAGAGTGTTTCAAACCTGCTCTGTGAAAGGGAATGTTCAACACTGTGACTTCAATTGAAACATCCCAAAGAAGTTTCTGAGAATGCTTCTGTCTAGAGTTTATCTGAAGACATTCCCGTTTCCCAAGAAATCCTCAAAGCTATCCAAATATCCTCTTGCAGATTCTACAAAAAGAGTGTTTCAAAACTGGTCTTTGCAAAGAAAGGTTCAACTCTGTCAGTAGAGGGCACACATCACAAACAAGTTTCTGAGAATGCTTCTGTCTAGTTTTTATGGGAAGACATTTCCTTTTTCACCTTAGGCCTGAAAGCAATCCAAATGTTCACTTACAGACACTACAAAAAGAGTGTTTCAAACCTGCTCTGTGAAAGGGAGTGTTCAATTCTGTGACTTGAATGCAAACATCACAAAGTAGTTTCTGACAATGCTGCTGTCTGCTTTTTATACGTATTCCCGTTTCCAACGAAATCCTCCAAGCTGGCCTAATACCCACTTGCATATTCCACAAAAAGAGTGTTTCAAAACTGCTCTCTCAAAAGAAAGGTTCAACTCTGTTTGCTGAGTAGATACATCATGAAAAAAGTTCTGACATTGCTTCTATCTAGTTTTTATTGGAAGATATCTCCTTTTTCACCGTAGACCTGAAAGCGCTCCAAATGTCCACTTCCAGATAGTACAAAAAGAGTGTTTCAAACCTGCTCTATGAAAGGGAATGTTCAACACTGGGACTTCAATTGAAACATCCCAAAGCAGTTTCTGAGAATGCTTCTGTCCAGAGTTTACATGAAGACATTCCCGTTTCCAACGAAATCCTCAAAGCTATCCAAATATCCTCTTGCAGATTTTACAAAAAGTGTGTTTCAGAACTGCTCTATCAAAACAAAGGTTCAACACTGTCAGTTGAGGGCACACATCACAAATAAGTTTCTGAGAATGCTTCTGTCTAGTTTTCATGGGAAGATATTTCCTTTTTCACCATAGGCCTGAAAGCGATCCAAATGTCCACATCCAGATACTACAAAAAGAGTGTTTCAAACCTGCTCTATGAAAGGGAATGTTCAACTCTGTGACTTGAATGCAAACATCACAAAGAAGTTTCTGAGAATGCTGCTGTCTGCTTTTTGTATGTAATCCCGTTTCCAACGAAATCCTCCCAGCTAGCCAAATATCCACTTGCAGATTCCGCAAAAAGAGTGTTTCAAAACTGCTCCTTCAAAACGATGGTTTAGTTCTGTTAGTTGAGTACATACATCACAGATAAGTTTCTGAGAATGCTTCTGTCTAGTTTTTATGGGAGGATATTTCCTTTTTCAACACAAGCCTGAATGCGCTCCGAATGGACACTTCCAGATATGACAAAAGGCGTGTTTCAAACCTGCTCTCTCAAAGGGAATGTTCAACTCTGTGACTTCAATGCAAACATCACAAAGAAGTTTCTGAGAATGCTGCTGTCTGCTTTTTACATGTATTCCCGTTTCCAACGAAATCCTCAAAGCTGCCCTAATATCCACTTGCATATTCCACAAAAAGAGTGTTGCAAAACTGCTCTCTCAAAAGAAAGGTTCAACTCTGTTAGCTGAGTAGATCCATCACATAAAAGTTTCTGACATTGCTTCTATCTAGATTTTCTTGGAAGATATTTTCATTTTCACCGTCGTCCTGAAAGCGCTCCAAATGTCCACTTCCAGGGAATGCAGAAAGAGTGTTTCCAACCTGCTCTATAAAAGGGAATGTTCAACACTGGGACTTCAATCGAAACATCCCAACGAAGTTTCTGAGAATGCTTCTGTCTAGAGTTTATATGAAGCCATTCCCGTTTGCAACGAAATCCTCAAAGCTATCCAAATATCCTCTTGCAGATTTTACAAAAAGAGTGTTTCAAAACTGCTCTATCAAAAGAAAGGTTCAACTCTGTTAGTTGAGGGCACACATCACAAATAAATTTCTGAGAATGCTCTGTCTAGTTTTCATGGGAAGATATTTCCTTTTTCACCATAGGCCTGAAAGCGATCCAAATGTCCACATCCAGATACTACAAAAAGAGTGTTTCCAACCTGCTCTATGAAAGGGAATGCTCAACTCTGTGAATTGAATGCAAACATCACAAAGAAGTTTCTGAGAATGCTGGCTGTCTCCTTTTTATATGTAATCCCGTTTCCAACGAAATCCTCCCAGCTAGCCAAATATCCACTTGCAGATTCCACGAAAACAGTGTTTCAAAACTGCTCCTTCAAAACGATGTTTCAATCCTGTTAGCTGAGCAAACACATCACAAATAAGTTTCTGAGAATGCTTCCGTCTAGTTTTTATGGGAAGATATTTCCTTTTTCAACATAGGCCTGAAAGCGCTCCAAATGTCCACTTCCAGATACTACAAAAAGAGTGTTTCAAATCTGCTCTATGAATGGGAATGTTCTACTCTGTGACTTGAATGCAACATCCCAAAGAAGTTTCTGAGAATGCTTCTGTCTAGAGTTTATCTGAAGACATACCCGTTTCCAACGAAATCCTCAAAGCTATCCAAATATCCTCTTGCAGATTCTACAAAAAGTGTGTTTCAAAGCTGCTCTTTGCAAAGAAAGGTTCAACTCTGTCAGTAGAGGGCACACATCACGAACAAGTTTCTGAGAATGCTTCTGTCTAGTTTTTATGGGAAGATATTTCCTTTTTCACGTTAGGCCTGAAAGCACGCCAAATGTTCAATTATAGACACTACAAAAAGAGTGTTTCAAACCTGCTCTGTGAAAGGGAATGTTCAACACTGTGACTTCAATTGAAACATCCCAAAGAAGTTTGCTGAGAATGCTTCTGTCTAGAGTTTATCTGAAGACATTCCCGTTTCCCAAGAAATCTTCAAAGCTATCCAAATATCCTCTTGCAGATTCTACAAAAAGAGTGTTTCAAAACTGCTCTTTGCAAAGAAAGGTTCAACTCTGTCAGTAGAGGGCACACATCACAAACAAGTTTCTGAGAATGCTTCTGTCTAGTTTTTATGGGAAGATATTTCCTTTTTCACCTTAGGCCTGAAAGCAATCCATATGTTCACTTACAGACACTACAAAAAGAGTGTTTCAAACCTGCTCTGTGAAAGGGAGTGTTCAATTCTGTGACTTGAATGCAAACATCACAAAGTAGTTTCTGACAATGCTGCTGTCTGCTTTTTATACGTATTCCCGTTTCCAACGAAATCCTCCAAGCTGGCCTAATACCCACTTGCATATTCCACACAAAGAGTGTTTCAAAACTGCTCTCTCAAAAGAAAGGTTCAACTCTGTTAGCTGAGTAGATACATCATGAAAAAAGTTCTGACATTGCTTCTATCTAGTTTTTATTGGAAGATATCTCCTTTTTCACCGTAGACCTGAAAGCGCTCCAAATGTCCACTTCCAGATAGTACAAAAAGAGTGTTTCAAACCTGCTCTATGAATGGGAATGTTCAACACTGGGACTTCAATTGAAACATCCCAAAGCAGTTTCTGAGAATGCTTCTGTGTAGAGTTTACATGAAGACATTCCCGTTTCCAACGAAATCCTCAAAGCTATCCAAATATCCTCTTGCAGATTTTACAAAAAGTGTGTTTCAGAACTGCTCTATCAAAACAAAGGTTCAACACTGTCAGTTGAGGGCACACATCACAAATAAGTTTCTGAGAATGCTTCTGTCTAGTTTTCATGGGAAGATATTTCCTTTTTCACCATAGGCCTGAAAGCGATCCAAATGTCCACATCCAGATACTACAAAAAGAGTGTTTCAAACCTGCTCTATGAAAGGGAATGTTCAACTCTGTGACTTGAATGCAAACATCACAAAGAAGTTTCTGAGAATGCTGCTGTCTGCTTTTTGTATGTAATCCCGTTTCCAACGAAATCCTCCCAGCTAGCCAAATATCCACTTGCAGATTCCGCAAAAAGAGTGTTTCAAAACTGCTCCTTCAAAACGATGGTTTAGTTCTGTTAGTTGAGTACATACATCACAGATAAGTTTCTGAGAATGCTTCTGTCTAGTTTTTATGGGAGGATATTTCCTTTTTCAACACAAGCCTGAATGCGCTCCGAATGGACACTTCCAGATATGACAAAAGGCGTGTTTCAAACCTGCTCTCTCAAAGGGAATGTTCAACTCTGTGACTTCAATGCAAACATCACAAAGAAGTTTCTGAGAATGCTGCTGTCTGCTTTTTACATGTATTCCCGTTTCCAACGAAATCCTCAAAGCTGCCCTAATATCCACTTGCATATTCCACAAAAAGAGTGTTGCAAAACTGCTCTCTCAAAAGAAAGGTTCAACTCTGTTAGCTTGAGTAGATCCATCACAGAAAAGTTTCTGACGTTGCTTCTATCTAGATTTTCTTGGAAGATATTTCCATTTTCACCGTCGTCCTGAAAGCGCTCCAAATGTCCACTTCCAGGGAATGCAGAAAGAGTGTTTCCAACCTGCTCTATAAAAGGGAATGTTCAACACTGGGACTTCAATCGAAACATCCCAACGAAGTTTCTGAGAATGCTTCTGTCTAGAGTTTATATGAAGCCATTCCCGTTTGCAACGAAATCCTCAAAGCTATCCAAATATCCTCTTGCAGATTTTACAAAAAGAGTGTTTCAAAACTGCTCTATCAAAAGAAAGGTTCAACTCTGTTAGTTGAGGGCACACATCACAAATAAATTTCTGAGAATGCTTCTGTCTAGTTTTTACGGGAAGATATTTCCTTTTTCACCATACGCCTGAAAGCGCTCCAAATGTCCTCATCCAGATACTACAAAAAGAGTGTTTCCAACCTGCTCTATGAAAGGGAATGCTCAACTCTGTGACTTGAATGCAGACATCACAAAGAAGTTTCTGAGAATGCTGCTGTCTCCTTTTTATATGTAATCCCGTTTCCAACGAAATCCTCAAAGCTAGCCAAATATCCACTTGCAGATTCCACGAAAACAGTGTTTCAAAACTGCTCCTTCAAAACGATGGTTCAATTCTGTTAGTTGAGCAAACACATCACAAGTAAGTTTCTGAGAATGCTTCCGTCTAGTTTTTATGGGAAGATATTTCCTTTTTCAACATAGGCCTGAAAGCGCTCCAAATGTCCACTTCCAGATACTACAAAAAGAGTGTTTCAAATCTGCTCTATGAATGGGAATGTTCTACTCTGTGACTTGAATGCAACATCCCAAAGAAGTTTCTGAGAATGCTTCTGTCTAGAGTTTATCTGAAGACATACCCGTTTCCAACGAAATCCTCAAAGCTATCCAAATATCCTCTTGCAGATTCTACAAAAAGTGTGTTTCAAAACTGCTCTTTGCAAAGAAAGGTTCAACTCTGTCAGTAGAGGGCACACATCACGAACAAGTTTCTGAGAATGCTTCTGTCTAGTTTTTATGGGAAGATATTTCCTTTTTCACGTTAGGCCTGAAAGCACGCCAAATGTTCACTTATAGACACTACAAAAAGAGTGTTTCAAACCTGCTCTGTGAAAGGGAATGTTCAACACTGTGACTTCAATTGAAACATCCCAAAGAAGTTTCTGAGAATGCTTCTGTCTAGAGTTTATCTGAAGACATTCCCGTTTCCCAAGAAATCCTCAAAGCTATCCAAATATCCTCTTGCAGATTCTACAAAAAGAGTGTTTCAAAACTGCTCTTTGCAAAGAAAGGTTCAACTCTGTCAGTAGAGGGCACACATCAAGAACAAGTTTCTGAGAATGCTTCTGTCTAGTTTTTATGGGAAGATATTTCCTTTTTCACGTTACGCCTGAAAGCACGCCAAATGTTCACTTACAGACACTACAAAAAGAGAGTTTCAAACCTGCTCTGTGAAAGGGAGTGTTCAATTCTGTGACTTGAATGCAAACATCACAAAGTAGTTTCTGACAATGCTGCTGTCTGCTTTTTATACGTATTCCCGTTTCCAACGAAATCCTCCAAGCTGGCCTAATACCCACTTGCATATTCCACACAAAGAGTGTTTCAAAACTGCTCTCTCAAAAGAAAGGTTCAACTACTGTTAGCTGAGTAGATACATCATGAAAAAAGTTCTGACATTGCTTCTATCTAGTTTTTATTGGAAGATATCTCCTTTTTCACCGTAGACCTGAAAGCGCTCCAAATGTCCACTTCCAGATAGTACAAAAAGAGTGTTTCAAACCTGCTCTATGAATGGGAATGTTCAACACTGGGACTTCAATTGAAACATCCCAAAGCAGTTTCTGAGAATGCTTCTGTGTAGAGTTTACATGAAGACATTCCCGTTTCCAACGAAATCCTCAAAGCTATCCAAATATCCTCTTGCAGATTTTACAAAAAGTGTGTTTCAGAACTGCTCTATCAAAACAAAGATTCAACACTGTCAGTTGAGGGCACACATCACAAATAAGTTTCTGAGAATGCTTCTGTCTAGTTTTCATGGGAAGATATTTCCTTTTTCACCATAGGCCTGAAAGCGATCCAAATGTCCACATCCAGATACTACAAAAAGAGTGTTTCAAACCTGCTCTATGAAAGGGAATGTTCAACTCTGTGACTTGAATGCAAACATCACAAAGAAGTTTCTGAGAATGCTGCTCTCTGCTTTTTGTATGTAATCCCGTTTCCAACGAAATCCTCCCAGCTAGCCAAATATCCACTTGCAGATTCTGCAAAAAGAGTGTTTCAAAACTGCTCCTTCAAAACGATGGTTTAGTTCTGTTAGTTGAGTACATACATCACAGATAAGTTTCCTGAGAATGCTTTCTGTCTAGTTTTTATGGGAGGATATTTCCTTTTTCAACACAAGCCTGAATGCGCTCCGAATGGACACTTCCAGATATGACAAAAGGCGTGTTTCAAACCTGCTCTCTCAAAGGGAATGTTCAACTGCTGTGACTTCAATGCAAACATCACAAAGAAGTTTCTGAGAATGCTGCTGTCTGCTTTTTACATGTATTCCCGTTTCCAACGAAATCCTCAAAGCTGCCCTAATATCCACTTGCATATTCCACAAAAAGAGTGTTGCAAAACTGCTCTCTCAAAAGAAAGGTTCAACTCTGTTAGCTGAGTAGATCCATCACAGAAAAGTTTCTGACGTTGCTTCTATCTAGATTTTCTTGGAAGATATTTCCATTTTCACCGTCGTCCTGAAAGCGCTCCAAATGTCCACTTCCAGGGAATGCAGAAAGAGTGTTTCCAACCTGCTCTATAAAAGGGAATGTTCAACACTGGGACTTCAATCGAAACATCCCAACGAAGTTTCTGAGAATGCTTCTGTCTAGAGTTTATATGAAGCCATTCCCGTTTGCAACGAAATCCTCAAAGCTATCCAAATATCCTCTTGCAGATTTTACAAAAAGAGTGTTTCAAAACTGCTCTATCAAAAGAAAGGTTCAACTCTGTTAGTTGAGGGCACACATCACAAATAAATTTCTGAGAATGCTTCTGTCTAGTTTTTACGGGAAGATATTTCCTTTTTCACCATACGCCTGAAAGCGCTCCAAATGTCCTCATCCAGATACTACAAAAAGAGTGTTTCCAACCTGCTCTATGAAAGGGAATGCTCAACTCTGTGACTTGAATGCAGACATCACAAAGAAGTTTCTGAGAATGCTGCTGTCTCCTTTTTATATGTAATCCCGTTTCCAACGAAATCCTCAAAGCTAGCCAAATATCCACTTGCAGATTCCACGAAAACAGTGTTTCAAAACTGCTCCTTCAAAACGATGGTTCAATTCTGTTAGTTGAGCAAACACATCACAAGTAAGTTTCTGAGAATGCTTCCGTCTAGTTTTTATGGGAAGATATTTCCTTTTTCAACATAGGCCTGAAAGCGCTCCAAATGTCCACTTCCAGATACTACAAAAAGAGTGTTTCAAATCTGCTCTATGAATGGGAATGTTCTACTCTGTGACTTGAATGCAACATCCCAAAGAAGTTTCTGAGAATGCTTCTGTCTAGAGTTTATCTGAAGACATACCCGTTTCCAACGAAATCCTCAAAGCTATCCAAATATCCTCTTGCAGATTCTACAAAAAGAGTGTTTCAAAGCTGCTCTTTGCAAAGAAAGGTTCAACTCTGTCAGTAGAGGGCACACATCACGAACAAGTTTCTGAGAATGCTTCTGTCTAGTTTTTATGGGAAGATATTTCCTTTTTCACGTTAGGCCTGAAAGCACGCCAAATGTTCACTTATAGACACTACAAAAAGAGTGTTTCAAACCTGCTCTGTGAAAGGGAATGTTCAACACTGTGACTTCAATTGAAACATCCCAAAGAAGTTTCTGAGAATGCTTCTGTCTAGAGTTTATCTGAAGACATTCCCGTTTCCCAAGAAATCCTCAAAGCTATCCAAATATCCTCTTGCAGATTCTACAAAAAGAGTGTTTCAAAACTGCTCTTTGCAAAGAAAGGTTCAACTCTGTCAGTAGAGGGCACACATCACAAACAAGTTTCTGAGAATGCTTCTGTCTAGTTTTTATGGGAAGATATTTCCTTTTTCACCTTAGGCCTGAAAGCAATCCAAATGTTCACTTACAGACACTACAAAAAGAGTGTTTCAAACCTGCTACTGTGAAAGGGAGTGTTCAATTCTGTGACTTGAATGCAAACATCACAAAGTAGTTTCTGACAATGCTGCTGGCTGCTTTTTATACGTATTCCCGTTTCCAACGAAATCCTCCAAGCTGGCCTAATACCCACTTGCATATTCCACACAAAGAGTGTTTCAAAACTGCTCTCTCAAAAGAAAGGTTCAACTCTGTTAGCTGAGTAGATACATCATGAAAAAAGTTCTGACATTGCTTCTATCTAGTTTTTATTGGAAGATATCTCCTTTTTCACCGTAGACCTGAAGCGCTCCAAATGTCCACTTCCAGATAGTACAAAAAGAGTGTTTCAAACCTGCTCTATGAAAGGGAATGTTCAACACTGGGACTTCAATTGAAACATCCCAAAGCAGTTTCTGAGAATGCTTCTGTCTAGAGTTTACATGAAGACATTCCCGTTTCCAACGAAATCCTCAAATCTATCCAAATATCCTCTTGCAGATTTTACAAAAAGTGTGTTTCAGAACTGCTCTATCAAAACAAAGGTTCAACACTGTCAGTTGAGGGCACACATCACAAATAAGTTTCTGAGAATGCTTCTGT
The DNA here is from genome assembly GCF_000001405.40 of Homo sapiens. Lineage (NCBI taxonomy): Eukaryota > Metazoa > Chordata > Mammalia > Primates > Hominidae > Homo > Homo sapiens. Next base: position 26,986,330 of record NC_000020.11, on the reverse strand, counting down.
CTAGTTTTCATGGGAAGATATTTCCTTTTTCACCATAGGCCTGAAAGCGATCCAAATGTCCACATCCAGATACTACAAAAAGAGTGTTTCAAACCTGCTCTATGAAAGGGAATGTTCAACTCTGTGACTTGAATGCAAACATCACAAAGAAGTTTCTGAGAATGCTGCTCTCTGCTTTTTGTATGTAATCCCGTTTCCAACGAAATCCTCCCAGCTAGCCAAATATCCACTTGCAGATTCCGCAAAAAGAGTGTTTCAAAACTGCTCCTTCAAAACGATGGTTTAGTTCTGTTAGTTGAGTACATACATCACAGATAAGTTTCTGAGAATGCTTCTGTCTAGTTTTTATGGGAGGATATTTCCTTTTTCAACACAAGCCTGAATGCGCTCCGAATGGACACTTCCAGATATGACAAAAGGCGTGTTTCAAACCTGCTCTCTCAAAGGGAATGTTCAACTCTGTGACTTCAATGCAAACATCACAAAGAAGTTTCTGAGAATGCTGCTGTCTGCTTTTTACATGTATTCCCGTTTCCAACGAAATCCTCAAAGCTGCCCTAATATCCACTTGCATATTCCACAAAAAGAGTGTTGCAAAACTGCTCTCTCAAAAGAAAGGTTCAACTCTGTTAGCTGAGTAGATCCATCACAGAAAAGTTTCTGACGGTTGCTCTATCCAGATTTTATTGGAAGATATTTCCATTTTCACCGTCGTCCTGAAAGCGCTCCAATTGTCCACTTCCAGGGAATGCAGAAAGAGTGTTTCCAACCTGCTCTATAAAAGGGAATGTTCAACACTGGGACTTCAATCGAAACATCCCGACGAAGTTTCTGAGAATGCTTTCTGTCTAGAGTTTATATGAAGCCATTCCCGTTTGCAACGAAATCCTCAAAGCTATCCAAATATCCTCTTGCAGATTTTACAAAAAGAGTGTTTCAAAACTGCTCTATGAAAAGAAAGGTTCAACTCTGTTAGTTGAGGGCACACATCAGAAATAAACTTCTGAGAATGCTTCTGTCTAGTTTTTACGGGAAGATATTTCCTTTTTCACCATACGCCTGAAAGCGCTCCAAATGTCCTCATCCAGATACTACAAAAAGAGTGTTTCCAACCTGCTCTATGAAAGGGAATGCTCAACTCTGTGAATTGAATGCAGACATCACAAAGAAGTTTCTGAGAATGCTGCTGTCTCCTTTTTATATGTAATCCCGTTTCCAACGAAATCCTCCCAGCTAGCCAAATATCCACTTGCAGATTCCACGAAAACAGTGTTTCAAAACTGCTCCTTCAAAACGATGGTTCAATCCTGTTAGTTGAGCAAACACATCACAAATAAGTTTCTGAGAATGCTTCCGTCTAGTTTTTATGGGAAGATATTTCCTTTTTCAACATAGGCCTGAAAGCGCTCCAAATGTCCACTTCCAGATACTACAAAAAGAGTGTTTCAAATCTGCTCTATGAATGGGAATGTTCTACTCTGTGACTTGAATGCAACATCCCAAAGAAGTTTCTGAGAATGCTTCTGTCTAGAGTTTATCTGAAGACATACCCGTTTCCAACGAAATCCTCCAAGCTATCCAAATATCCTCTTGCAGATTCTACAAAAAGAGTGTTTCAAAGCTGCTCTTTGCAAAGAAAGGTTCAACTCTGTCAGTAGAGGGGACACATCAAGAACAAGTTTCTGAGAATGCTTCTGTCTAGTTTTTATGGGAAGATATTTCCTTTTTCACGTTACGCCTGAAAGCACGCCAAATGTTCACTTATAGACACTACAAAAAGAGTGTTTCAAACCTGCTCTGTGAAAGGGAATGTTCAACACTGTGACTTCAATTGAAACATCCCAAAGAAGTTTCTGAGAATGCTTCTGTCTAGAGTTTATCTGAAGACATTCCCGTTTCCCAAGAAATCCTCAAAGCTATCCAAATATCCTCTTGCAGATTCTACAAAAGGAGTGTTTCAAAACTGCTCTTTGCAAAGAAAGGTTCAACTCTGTCAGTAGAGGGCACACATCACAAACAAGTTTCTGAGAGTGCTTCTGTCTAGTTTTTATGGGAAGATATTACCTTTTTCACCATAGGCCTGAAAGCAATCCAAATGTTCACTTACAGACACTACAAAAAGAGTGTTTCAAACCTGCTCTGTGAAAGGGAGTGTTCAATTCTGTGACTTGAATGCAAACATCACAAAGTAGTTTCTGACAATGCTGCTGTCTGCTTTTTATACGTATTCCCGTTTCCAACGAAATCCTCCAAGCTGGCCTAATACCCACTTGCATATTCCACAAAGACTGTGTCAAAACTGCTCTCTCAAAAGAAAGGTTCAACTCTGTTTGCTGAGTAGATACATCATGAAAAAAGTTCTGACATTGCTTCTATCTAGTTTTTATTGGAAGATATCTCCTTTTTCACCGTAGACCTGAAAGCGCTCCAAATGTCCACTTCCAGATAGTACAAAAAGAGTGTTTCAAACCTGCTCTATGAAAGGGAATGTTCAACACTGGGACTTCAATTGAAACATCCCAAAGCAGTTTCTGAGAATGCTTCTGTCTAGAGTTTACATGAAGACATTCCCGTTTCCAACGAAATCCTCAAAGCTATCCAAATATCCTCTTGCAGATTTTACAAAAAGTGTGTTTCAGAACTGCTCTATCAAAACAAAGGTTCAACACTGTCAGTTGAGGGCACACATCACAAATAAGTTTCTGAGAATGCTTCTGTCTAGTTTTCATGGGAAGATATTTCCTTTTTCACCATAGGCCTGAAAGCGATCCAAATGTCCACATCCAGATACTACAAAAAGAGTGTTTCAAACCTGCTCTATGAAAGGGAATGTTCAACTCTGTGACTTGAATGCAAACATCACAAAGAAGTTTCTGAGAATGCTGCTGTCTGCTTTTTGTATGTAATCCCGTTTCCAACGAAATCCTCCCAGCTAGCCAAATATCCACTTGCAGATTCCGCAAAAAGAGTGTTTCAAAACTGCTCCTTCAAAACGATGGTTTAGTTCTGTTAGTTGAGTACATACATCACAGATAAGTTTCTGAGAATGCTTCTGTCTAGTTTTTATGGGAGGATATTTCCTTTTTCAACACAAGCCTGAATGCGCTCCGAATGGACACTTCCAGATATGACAAAAGGCGTGTTTCAAACCTGCTCTCTCAAAGGGAATGTTCAACTCTGTGACTTCAATGCAAACATCACAAAGAAGTTTCTGAGAACGCTGCTGTCTGCTTTTTACATGTATTCCCGTTTCCAACGAAATCCTCAAAGCTGCCCTAATATCCACTTGCATATTCCACAAAAAGAGTGTTGCAAAACTGCTCTCTCAAAAGAAAGGTTCAACTCTGTTAGCTGAGTAGATCCATCACATAAAAGTTTCTGACGTTGCTTCTATCTAGATTTTCTTGGAAGATATTTCCATTTTCACCGTCGTCCTGAAAGCGCTCCAAATGTCCACTTCCAGGGAATGCAGAAAGAGTGTTTCCAACCTGCTCTATAAAAGGGAATGTTCAACACTGGGACTTCAATCGAAACATCCCAACGAAGTTTCTGAGAATGCTTCTGTCTAGAGTTTATATGAAGCCATTCCCGTTTGCAACGAAATCCTCAAAGCTATCCAAATATCCTCTTGCAGATTTTACAAAAAGAGTGTTTCAAAACTGCTCTATCAAAAGAAAGGTTCAACTCTGTTAGTTGAGGGCACACATCACAAATAAATTTCTGAGAATGCTTCTGTCTAGTTTTTACGGGAAGATATTTCCTTTTTCACCATAGGCCTGAAAGCGCTCCAAATGTCCTCATCCAGATACTACAAAAAGAGTGTTTCCAACCTGCTCTATGAAAGGGAATGCTCAACTCTGTGACTTGAATGCAGACATCACAAAGAAGTTTCTGAGAATGCTGCTGTCTCCTTTTTATATGTAATCCCGTTTCCAACGAAATCCTCAAAGCTAGCCAAATATCCACTTGCAGATTCCACGAAAACAGTGTTTCAAAACTGCTCCTTCAAAACGATGGTTCAATTCTGTTAGTTGAGCAAACACATCACAAGTAAGTTTCTGAGAATGCTTCCGTCTAGTTTTTATGGGAAGATATTTCCTTTTTCAACATAGGCCTGAAAGCGCTCCAAATGTCCACTTCCAGATACTACAAAAAGAGTGTTTCAAATCTGCTCTATGAATGGGAATGTTCTACTCTGTGACTTGAATGCAACATCCCAAAGAAGTTTCTGAGAATGCTTCTGTCTAGAGTTTATCTGAAGACATACCCGTTTCCAACGAAATCCTCAAAGCTATCCAAATATCCTCTTGCAGATTCTACAAAAAGAGTGTTTCAAAGCTGCTCTTTGCAAAGAAAGGTTCAACTCTGTCAGTAGAGGGCACACATCATGAACAAGTTTCTGAGAATGCTTCTGTCTAGTTTTTATGGGAAGATATTTAATTTTTCACGTTAGGCCTGAAAGCACGCCAAATGTTCACTTATAGACACTACAAAAAGAGTGTTTCAAACCTGCTCTGTGAAAGGGAATGTTCAACACTGTGACTTCAATTGAAACATCCCAAAGAAGTTTCTGAGAATGCTTCTGTCTAGAGTTTATCTGAAGACATTCCCGTTTCCCAAGAAATCTTCAAAGCTATCCAAATATCCTCTTGCAGATTCTACAAAAAGAGTGTTTCAAAACTGCTCTTTGCAAAGAAAGGTTCAACTCTGTCAGTAGAGGGCACACATCACAAACAAGTTTCTGAGAATGCTTCTGTCTAGTTTTTATGGGAAGATATTTCCTTTTTCACCTTAGGCCTGAAAGCAATCCATATGTTCACTTACAGACACTACAAAAAGAGTGTTTCAAACCTGCTCTGTGAAAGGGAGTGTTCAATTCTGTGACTTGAATGCAAACATCACAAAGTAGTTTCTGACAATGCTGCTGTCTGCTTTTTATACGTATTCCCGTTTCCAACGAAATCCTCCAAGCTGGCCTAATACCCACTTGCATATTCCACAAAAAGAGTGTTTCAAAACTGCTCTCTCAAAAGAAAGGTTCAACTCTGTTTGCTGAGTAGATACATCATGAAAAAAGTTCTGACATTGCTTCTATCTAGTTTTTATTGGAAGATATCTCCTTTTTCACCGTAGACCTGAAAGCGCTCCAAATGTCCACTTCCAGATAGTACAAAAAGAGTGTTTCAAACCTGCTCTATGAAAGGGAATGTTCAACACTGGGACTTCAATTGAAACATCCCAAAGCAGTTTCTGAGAATGCTTCTGTCTAGAGTTTACATGAAGACATTCCCGTTTCCAACGAAATCCTCAAAGCTATCCAAATATCCTCTTGCAGATTTTACAAAAAGTGTGTTTCAGAACTGCTCTATCAAAACAAAGGTTCAACACTGTCAGTTGAGGGCACACATCACAAATAAGTTTACTGAGAATGCTTGGCTGTCTGCTTTTTGTATGTAATCCCGTTTCCAACGAAATCCTCCCAGCTAGCCAAATATCCACTTGCAGATTCCGCAAAAAGAGTGTTTCAAAACTGCTCCTTCAAAACGATGGTTTAGTTCTGTTAGTTGAGTACATACATCACTGATAACTTTCTGAGAATGCTTCTGTCTAGTTTTTATGGGAGGATATTTCCTTTTTCAACACAAGCCTGAATGCGCTCCGAATGGACACTTCCAGATATGACAAAAGGCGTGTTTCAAACCTGCTCTCTCAAAGGGAATGTTCAACTCTGTGACTTCAATGCAAACATCACAAAGAAGTTTCTGAGAATGCTGCTGTCTGCTTTTTACATGTATTCCCGTTTCCAACGAAATCCTCAAAGCTGCCCTAATATCCACTTGCATATTCCACAAAAAGAGTGTTGCAAAACTGCTCTCTCAAAAGAAAGGTTCAACTCTGTTAGCTGAGTAGATCCATCACATAAAAGTTTCTGACATTGCTTCTATCTAGATTTTCTTGGAAGATATTTCCATTTTCACCGTCGTCCTGAAAGCGCTCCAAATGTCCACTTCCAGGGAATGCAGAAAGAGTGTTTCCAACCTGCTCTATAAAAGGGAATGTTCAACACTGGGACTTCAATCGAAACATCCCAACGAAGTTTCTGAGAATGCTTCTGTCTAGAGTTTATATGAAGCCATTCCCGTTTGCAACGAAATCCTCAAAGCTATCCAAATATCCTCTTGCAGATTTTACAAAAAGAGTGTTTCAAAACTGCTCTATCAAAAGAAAGGTTCAACTCTGTTAGTTGAGGGCACACATCACAAATAAATTTCTGAGAATGCTTCTGTCTAGTTTTTACGGGAAGATATTTCCTTTTTCACCATACGCCTGAAAGCGCTCCAAATGTCCTCATCCAGATACTACAAAAAGAGTGTTTCAAACCTGCTCTATGAAAGGGAATGTTCAACACTGTGACTTCAATTGAAACATCCCAAAGCAGTTTCTGAGAATGCTGCTGACTCCTTTTTATTTGTAATCCCGTTTCCAACGAAATCCTCAAAGCTAGCCAAATATCCACTTGCAGATTCCACGAAAACAGTGTTTCAAAACTGCTCCTTCAAAACGATGGTTCAATTCTGTTAGTTGAGCAAACACATCACACGTAAGTTTCTGAGAATGCTTCCGTCTAGTTTTTATGGGAAGATATTTCCTTTTTCAACATAGGCCTGAAAGCGCTCCAAATGTCCACTTCCAGATACTACAAAAAGAGTGTTTCAAATCTGCTCTATGAATGGGAATGTTCTACTCTGTGACTTGAATGCAACATCCCAAAGAAGTTTCTGAGAATGCTTCTGTCTAGAGTTTATCTGAAGACATACCCGTTTCCAACGAAATCCTCAAAGCTATCCAAATATCCTCTTGCAGATTCTACAAAAAGAGTGTTTCAAAGCTGCTCTTTGCAAAGAAAGGTTCAACTCTGTCAGTAGAGGGCACACATCACAAACAAGTTTCTGAGAATGCTTCTGTCTAGTTTTTATGGGAAGATATTTCCTTTTTCACCTTAGGCCTGAAAGCACGCCAAATGTTCACTTATAGACACTACAAAAAGAGTGTTTCAAACCTGCTCTGTGAAAGGGAGTGTTCAATTCTGTGACTTGAATGCAAACATCACAAAGTAGTTTCTGACAATGCTGCTGTCTGCTTTTTATACGTATTCCCGTTTCCAACGAAATCCTCCAAGCTGGCCTAATACCCACTTGCATATTCCACAAAAAGAGTGTTTCAAAACTGCTCTCTCAAAAGAAAGGTTCAACTCTGTTTGCTGAGTAGATACATCATGAAAAAAGTTCTGACATTGCTTCTATCTAGTTTTTATTGGAAGATATCTCCTTTTTCACCGTAGACCTGAAAGCGCTCCAAATGTCCACTTCCAGATAGTACAAAAAGAGTGTTTCAAACCTGCTCTATGAAAGGGAATGTTCAGCACTGGGACTTCAATTGAAACATCCCAAAGCAGTTTCTGAGAATGCTTCTGTCTAGAGTTTACATGAAGACATTCCCGTTTCCAACGAAATCCTCAAAGCTATCCAAATATCCTCTTGCAGATTTTACAAAAAGTGTGTTTCAGAACTGCTCTATCAAAACAAAGGTTCAACACTGTCAGTTGAGGGCACACATCACAAATAAGTTTCTGAGAATGCTTCTGTCTAGTTTTCATGGGAAGATATTTCCTTTTTCACCATAGGCCTGAAAGCGATCCAAATGTCCACATCCAGATACTACAAAAAGAGTGTTTCAAACCTGCTCTATGAAAGGGAATGTTCAACTCTGTGACTTGAATGCAAACATCACAAAGAAGTTTCTGAGAATGCTGCTGTCTGCTTTTTGTATGTAATCCCGTTTCCAACGAAATCCTCCCAGCTAGCCAAATATCCACTTGCAGATTCCGCAAAAAGAGTGTTTCAAAACTGCTCCTTCAAAACGATGGTTTAGTTCTGTTAGTTGAGTACATACATCACAGATAAGTTTCTGAGAATGCTTCTGTCTAGTTTTTATGGGAGGATATTTCCTTTTTCAACACAAGCCTGAATGCGCTCCGAATGGACACTTCCAGATATGACAAAAGGCGTGTTTCAAACCTGCTCTCTCAAAGGGAATGTTCAACTCTGTGACTTCAATGCAAACATCACAAAGAAGTTTCTGAGAATGCTGCTGTCTGCTTTTTACATGTATTCCCGTTTCCAACGAAATCCTCAAAGCTGCCCTAATATCCACTTGCATATTCCACAAAAAGAGTGTTGCAAAACTGCTCTCTCAAAAGAAAGGTTCAACTCTGTTAGCTGAGTAGATCCATCACAGAAAAGTTTCTGACGTTGCTTCTATCTAGATTTTCTTGGAAGATATTTCCATTTTCACCGTCGTCCTGAAAGCGCTCCAAATGTCCACTTCCAGGGAATGCAGAAAGAGTGTTTCCAACCTGCTCTATAAAAGGGAATGTTCAACACTGGGACTTCAATCGAAACATCCCAACGAAGTTTCTGAGAATGCTTCTGTCTAGAGTTTATATGAAGCCATTCCCGTTTGCAACGAAATCCTCAAAGCTATCCAAATATCCTCTTGCAGATTTTACGAAAAGAGTGTTTCAAAACTGCTCTATCAAAAGAAAGGTTCAACTCTGTTAGTTGAGGGCACACATCACAAATAAACTTCTGAGAATGCTTCTGTCTAGTTTTTACGGGAAGATATTTCCTTTTTCACCATACGCCTGAAAGCGCTCCAAATGTCCTCATCCAGATACTACAAAAAGAGTGTTTCCAACCTGCTCTATGAAAGGGAATGCTCAACTCTGTGAATTGAATGCAGACATCACAAAGAAGTTTCTGAGAATGCTGCTGTCTCCTTTTTATATGTAATCCCGTTTCCAACGAAATCCTCAAAGCTAGCCAAATATCCACTTGCAGATTCCACGAAAACAGTGTTTCAAAACTGCTCCTTCAAAACGATGGTTCAATCCTGTTAGTTGAGCAAACACATCACAAATAAGTTTCTGAGAATGCTTCCGTGTAGTTTTTATGGGAAGATATTTCCTTTTTCAACATAGGCCTGAAAGCGCTCCAAATGTCCACTTCCAGATACTACAAAAAGAGTGTTTCAAATCTGCTCTATGAATGGGAATGTTCTACTCTGTGACTTGAATGCAACATCCCAAAGAAGTTTCTGAGAATGCTTCTGTCTAGAGTTTATCTGAAGACATACCCGTTTCCAACGAAATCCTCCAAGCTATCCAAATATCCTCTTGCAGATCCTACAAAAAGAGTGTTTCAAAGCTGCTCTTTGCAAAGAAAGGTTCAACTCTGTCAGTAGAGGGGACACATCAAGAACAAGTTTCTGAGAATGCTTCTGTCTAGTTTATATGGGAAGATATTTCCTTTTTCACGTTACGCCTGAAAGCACGCCAAATGTTCACTTATAGACACTACAAAAAGAGTGTTTCAAACCTGCTCTGTGAAAGGGAATGTTCAACACTGTGACTTCAATTGAAACATCCCAAAGAAGTTTCTGAGAATGCTTCTGTCTAGAGTTTATCTGAAGACATTCCCGTTTCCCAAGAAATCCTCAAATCTATCCAAATATCCTCTTGCTGATTCTACAAAAAGAGTGTTTCAAAACTGCTCTTTGCAAAGAAAGGTTCAACTCTGTCAGTAGAGGGCACACATCACAAACAAGTTTCTGAGAATGCTTCTGTCTAGTTTTTATGGGAAGATATTACCTTTTTCACCTTAGGCCTGAAAGCAATCCAAATGTTCACTTACAGACACTACAAAAAGAGTGTTTCAAACCTGCTCTGTGAAAGGGAGTGTTCAATTCTGTGACTTGAATGCAAACATCACAAAGTAGTTTCTGACAATGCTGCTGTCTGCTTTTTATACGTATTCCCGTTTCCAACGAAATCCTCCAAGCTGGCCTAATACCCACTTGCATATTCCACAAAGACTGTGTCAAAACTGCTCTCTCAAAAGAAAGGTTCAACTCTGTTTGCTGAGTAGATACATCATGAAAAAAGTTCTGACATTGCTTCTATCTAGTTTTTATTGGAAGATATCTCCTTTTTCACCGTAGACCTGAAAGCGCTCCAAATGTCCACTTCCAGATAGTACAAAAAGAGTGTTTCAAACCTGCTCTATGAAAGGGAATGTTCAACACTGGGACTTCAATTGAAACATCCCAAAGCAGTTTCTGAGAATGCTTCTGTCTAGAGTTTACATGAAGACATTCCCGTTTCCAACGAAATCCTCAAAGCTATCCAAATATCCTCTTGCAGATTTTACAAAAAGTGTGTTTCAGAACTGCTCTATCAAAACAAAGGTTCAACACTGTCAGTTGAGGGCACACATCACAAATAAGTTTCTGAGAATGCTTCTGTCTAGTTTTCATGGGAAGATATTTCCTTTTTCACCATAGGCCTGAAAGCGATCCAAATGTCCACATCCAGATACTACAAAAAGAGTGTTTCAAACCTGCTCTATGAAAGGGAATGTTCAACTCTGTGACTTGAATGCAAACATCACAAAGAAGTTTCTGAGAATGCTGCTGTCTGCTTTTTGTATGTAATCCCGTTTCCAACGAAATCCTCCCAGCTAGCCAAATATCCACTTGCAGATTCCGCAAAAAGAGTGTTTCAAAACTGCTCCTTCAAAACGATGGTTTAGTTCTGTTAGTTGAGTACATACATCACAGATAAGTTTCTGAGAATGCTTCTGTCTAGTTTTTATGGGAGGATATTTCCTTTTTCAACACAAGCCTGAATGCGCTCCGAATGGACACTTCCAGATATGACAAAAGGCGTGTTTCAAACCTGCTCTCTCAAAGGGAATGTTCAACTCTGTGACTTCAATGCAAACATCACAAAGAAGTTTCTGAGAATGCTGCTGTCTGCTTTTTACATGTATTCCCGTTTCCAACGAAATCCTCAAAGCTGCCCTAATATCCACTTGCATATTCCACAAAAAGAGTGTTGCAAAACTGCTCTCTCAAAAGAAAGGTTCAACTCTGTTAGCTGAGTAGATCCATCACAGAAAAGTTTCTGACGTTGCTTCTATCTAGATTTTCTTGGAAGATATTTCCATTTTCACCGTCGTCCAGAAAGCGCTCCAAATGTCCACTTCCAGGGAATGCAGAAAGAGTGTTTCCAACCTGCTCTATAAAAGGGAATGTTCAACACTGGGACTTCAATCGAAACATCCCAACGAAGTTTCTGAGAATGCTTCTGTCTAGAGTTTATATGAAGCCATTCCCGTTTGCAACGAAATCCTCAAAGCTATCCAAATATCCTCTTGCAGATTTTACAAAAAGAGTGTTTCAAAACTGCTCTATCAAAAGAAAGGTTCAACTCGGTTAGTTGAGGGCACACATCACAAATAAATTTCTGAGAATGCTTCTGTCTAGTTTTTACGGGAAGATATTTCCTTTTTCACCATACGCCTGAAAGCGATCCAAATGTCCTCATCCAGATACTACAAAAAGAGTGTTTCCAACCTGCTCTATGAAAGGGAATGCTCAACTCTGTGACTTGAATGCAGACATCACAAAGAAGTTTCTGAGAATGTTGCTGTCTCCTTTTTATATGTAATCCCGTTTCCAACGAAATCCTCAAAGCTAGCCAAATATCCACTTGCAGATTCCACGAAAACAGTGTTTCAAAACTGCTCCTTCAAAACGATGGTTCAATTCTGTTAGTTGAGCAAACACATCACAAGTAAGTTTCTGAGAATGCTTCCGTCTAGTTTTTATGGGAAGATATTTCCTTTTTCAACATAGGCCTGAAAGCGCTCCAAATGTCCACTTCCAGATACTACAAAAAGAGTGTTTCAAATCTGCTCTATGAATGGGAATGTTCTACTCTGTGACTTGAATGCAACATCCCAAAGAAGTTTCTGAGAATGCTTCTGTCTGGAGTTTATCTGAAGACATACCCGTTTCCAACGAAATCCTCCAAGCTATCCAAATATCCTCTTGCAGATTCTACAAAAAGAGTGTTTCAAAGCTGCTCTTTGCAAAGAAAGGTTCAACTCTGTCAGTAGAGGGGACACATCAAGAACAAGTTTCTGAGAATGCTTTCTGTCTAGTTTTTATGGGAAGATATTTCCTTTTTCACGTTAGGCCTGAAAGCACGCCAAATGTTCACTTATAGACACTACAAAAAGAGTGTTTCAAACCTGCTCTGTGAAAGGGAATGTTCAACACTGTGACTTCAATTGAAACATCCCAAAGAAGTTTCTGAGAATGCTTCTGTCTAGAGTTTATCTGAAGACATTCCCGTTTCCCAAGAAATCTTCAAAGCTATCCAAATATCCTCTTGCAGATTCTACAAAAAGAGTGTTTCAAAACTGCTCTTTGCAAAGAAAGGTTCAACTCTGTCAGTAGAGGGCACACATCACAAACAAGTTTCTGAGAATGCTTCTGTCTAGTTTTTATGGGAAGATATTTCCTTTTTCACCTTAGGCCTGAAAGCAATCCAAATGTTCACTTACAGACACTACAAAAAGAGTGTTTCAAACCTGCTCTGTGAAAGGGAGTGTTCAGTTCTGTGACTTGAATGCAAACATCACAAAGTAGTTTCTGACAATGCTGCTGTCTGCTTTTTATACGTATTCCCGTTTCCAACGAAATCCTCCAAGCTGGCCTAATACCCACTTTCATATTCCACAAAAAGAGTGTTTCAAAACTGCTCTCTCAAAAGAAAGGTTCAACTCTGTTTGCTGAGTAGATACATCATGAAAAAAGTTCTGACATTGCTTCTATCTAGTTTTTATTGGAAGATATCTCCTTTTTCACCGTAGACCTGAAAGCGCTCCAAATGTCCACTTCCAGATAGTACAAAAAGAGTGTTTCAAACCTGCTCTATGAATGGGAATGTTCAACACTGGGACTTCAATTGAAACATCCCAAAGCAGTTTCTGAGAATGCTTCTGTGTAGAGTTTACATGAAGACATTCCCGTTTCCAACGAAATCCTCAAAGCTATCCAAATATCCTCTTGCAGATTTTACAAAAAGTGTGTTTCAGAACTGCTCTATCAAAACAAAGGTTCAACACTGTCAGTTGAGGGCACACATCACAAATAAGTTTCTGAGAATGCTTCTGTCTAGTTTTCATGGGAAGATATTTCCTTTTTCACCATAGGCCTGAAAGCGATCCAAATGTCCACATCCAGATACTACAAAAAGAGTGTTTCAAACCTGCTCTATGAAAGGGAATGTTCAACTCTGTGACTTGAATGCAAACATCACAAAGAAGTTTCTGAGAATGCTGCTGTCTGCTTTTTGTATGTAATCCCGTTTCCAACGAAATCCTCCCAGCTAGCCAAATATCCACTTGCAGATTCCGCAAAAAGAGTGTTTCAAAACTGCTCCTTCAAAACGATGGTTTAGTTCGGTTAGTTGAGTACATACATCACAGATAAGTTTCTGAGAATGCTTCTGTCTAGTTTTTATGGGAGGATATTTCCTTTTTCAACACAAGCCTGAATGCGCTCCGAATGGACACTTCCAGATATGACAAAAGGCGTGTTTCAAACCTGCTCTCTCAAAGGGAATGTTCAACTCTGTGACTTCAATGCAAACATCACAAAGAAGTTTCTGAGAATGCTGCTGTCTGCTTTTTACATGTATTCCCGTTTCCAACGAAATCCTCAAAGCTGCCCTAATATCCACTTGCATATTCCACAAAAAGAGTGTTGCAAAACTGCTCTCTCAAAAGAAAGGTTCAACTCTGTTAGCTGAGTAGATCCATCACAGAAAAGTTTCTGACATTGCTTCTATCTAGATTTTATTGGAAGATATTTCCATTTTCACCGTCGTCCTGAAAGCGCTCCAAATGTCCACTTCCAGGGAATGCAGAAAGAGTGTTTCCAACCTGCTCTATAAAAGGGAATGTTCAACACTGGGACTTCAATCGAAACATCCCAACGAAGTTTCTGAGAATGCTTCTGTCTAGAGTTTATATGAAGCCATTCCCGTTTGCAACGAAATCCTCAAAGCTATCCAAATATCCTCTTGCAGATTTTACAAAAAGAGTGTTTCAAAACTGCTCTATCAAAAGAAAGGTTCAACTCTGTTAGTTGAGGGCACACATCTCAAATAAACTTCTGAGAATGCTTCTGTCTAGTTTTTACGGGAAGATATTTCCTTTTTCACCATACGCCTGAAAGCGCTCCAAATGTCCTCATCCAGATACTACAAAAAGAGTGTTTCCAACCTGCTCTATGAAAGGGAATGCTCAACTCTGTGAATTGAATGCAGACATCACAAAGAAGTTTCTGAGAATGCTGCTGTCTCCTTTTTATATGTAATCCCGTTTCCAACGAAATCCTCAAAGCTAGCCAAATATCCACTTGCAGATTCCACGAAAACAGTGTTTCAAAACTGCTCCTTCAAAACGATGGTTCAATCCTGTTAGTTGAGCAAACACATCACAAATAAGTTTCTGAGAATGCTTCCGTCTAGTTTTTATGGGAAGATATTTCCTTTTTCAACATAGGCCTGAAAGCGCTCCAAATGTCCACTTCCAGATACTACAAAAAGAGTGTTTCAAATCTGCTCTATGAATGCGAATGTTCTACTCTGTGACTTGAATGCAACATCCCAAAGAAGTTTCTGAGAATGCTTCTGTCTAGAGTTTATCTGAAGACATACCCGTTTCCAACGAAATCCTCAAAGCTATCCAAATATCCTCTTGCAGATTCTACAAAAAGAGTGTTTCAAAGCTGCTCTTTGCAAAGAATGGTTCAACTCTGTCAGTAGAGGGGACACATCAAGAACAAGTTTCCTGAGAATGCTTTTGTCTAGTTTTTATGGGAAGATATTTCCTTTTTCACGTTAGGCCTGAAGCACGCCAAATGTTCACTTATAGACACTACAAAAAGAGTGTTTCAAACCTGCTCTGTGAAAGGGAATGTTCAACACTGTGACTTCAATTGAAACATCCCAAAGAAGTTTCTGAGAATGCTTCTGTCTAGAGTTTATCTGAAGACATTCCCGTTTCCCAAGAAATCCTCAAAGCTATCCAAATATCCTCTTGCAGATTCTACAAAAAGAGTGTTTCAAAACTGCTCTTTGCAAAGAAAGGTTCAACTCTGTCAGTAGAGGGCACACATCACAAACAAGTTTCTGAGAATGCTTCTGTCTAGTTTTTATGGGAAGATATTTCCTTTTTCACCTTAGGCCTGAAAGCAATCCAAATGTTCACTTACAGACACTACAAAAAGAGTGTTTCAAACCTGCTCTGTGAAAGGGAGTGTTCAATTCTGTGACTTGAATGCAAACATCACAAAGTAGTTTCTGACAATG